>NC_000023.11:73977693-74280723 GCF_000001405.40 Homo sapiens | reverse complement strand
TGTATCATAAGTGTTATATCAATTGTTTTTTCCCATTATAATGTAAAAAATTGCACTTAAAAATGGTTAGGTTAAACTAAGCAACATCTTGTGTTTTTCTCCCTTTTTCCCATTCTCCCTTTTAATACCTGCCACAGTTGCTCAATGCAATGGAGGCTGACCAAGCTGAGTGTCAGGAAGGTCATAGATGATGCAAACACTCTTTTCTCTTTTTGTAACTTCTCACTAGGCTGGATTGTGAAGGATATTTGAAAAGTATTTTAGAGTCCACCAGATCATCCATGTGAGTGACCATGCAGCAAAAGAAGGAGGGTCCTCTCAGTGATTAAGGTAACATAGTGATTAAGGTAAGTAGGGAAAGAGAGGCTTACTTTGCCCTGATTCTTGTCAGGGAGGCTCTTAGAGATGCCATTTCCAGAGCATAAGTGACAGGCCAGCATTTTCAAAGCTTGCAACTTATTCTATAATATATCCTTCTTAAAACAATTCATGTAGATTATATGCTCACCCAGTCTGGGATCACTCCTGCAGAAGATCAGAAGAACTGAAATATAGGTGACATAAGCTCCTGCTTTTGTAAATGTTTTGTTGAAACACAGTTGTGTTCATCCATTATTGTCGATGGCAGCTTTCATGCTACAGCAGAGTTGAGTAGTTGGGAGAGAAACCAAATGGACCATAGAGTTTGAAATATTACTGTCTGGCCCTTCACAGAAAGTTTGCCAATTCCTGGCATAGGTTAAATAAATGTACTATATCCACAAATCCTCCTCTCCCCATTTTCCTTTCAATGGGACTTGCATTTACAGTTGATCCTAGAATGTATGGAATCTCATAGTAATCAGCTTGCTTCTGAATTTCTTCCCACTCAAATTAAGCTCACTCAGAAAGCACATTCACAAATTGGGCTACATATACAGAAGGAGCTATGTTTTATATGCCTCACTGTAGTCAACTCATTTATCCTATATGTATGGTTCCCCCATTTTTTCCTTCTTTTCAGGGGTAACTTTTAAACTTGAGCCATTCATGAGTATCCAAAAAGTTACAACTTATGTTCTCTAATTAAGACTTCATCCTTATTTTAGTATACTTCCCCTCTCTGGCTTTTTTGCATATTTCTGCAGATGTCTTGACCTTTCTGGGGAGTAAGCCCCCTTAGAAGATTAATTTTCTGTAGTTCTCTATTGAGGAAATACATGACATTTAGCTTTTTAATAATTTGATGCCATTCATTGAGTACCTACTGTGTGCTTTATGTACCCTGTCTCGTTGAATTTTTACAAAAAACTGAAAGAGTTAGTTTTGTGTTATTACTACCTCCATCTCAAAGATGAGTCTTGGAAAGCTTAAGTAACTTTAGGTCACATTGTAATCAGTGGCAGAACTGGGACTTAAGAACATAATTCATGACTGCATTTTCTTTTCTTTCTTTCTCTTTCTTTCTCTCTCTCTCTTTTTTTTTTTTTTTTAAAGAGATAGCATCTCACTCACTATGTTGCCCAGACTGGTCTTGAACTCTTGGGCTCAAGCAATTCTTCCACCTCCGCCTCCCAAAGTGTTAGGATTATAGGCATGAGCCCTCATGCCTGCCCCTTGCATTTTCTATTTAAGTGATCTTGAAGTTTTTTTTTTTCTTTTTTAAATCTCGGAATTTGGCCTTTAGTAAGCATAGAATAGCAAAGTGTAATACCTGAGCTGGGGGAAAAAGTCCTTGAATTCTTTAGGAAAGACTTAATTGGTGGGTACAAAGTGAAATGCTCACTGGAATCAGGAATCAGAAACCAGTTCTGATCACCTATCCCTACATATCCTTCTTCACTCTGCCCTGGCATATCATGGTTGATGTACATAGCAATGATCATCCCTTCTGTAATCCCACTTGACAGTTTAGAAGTGGATTGATAATACTCTTCTGGCTTAAAACCCTTCTTCTCTGGGCAGGTGTGGTGGCTCCTACATTATCCCAGCACCTTGGGAGGCCGAGATGGGAGGATTGTGTGAGCCCAGGAGTTTGAGACCAGCCTGGGTAACATAGCAAGACCCTGTCTCCACAAAAAAATAAAAAATTAACTGGGCACGGTGGTGCTCACGCCTGTAATCCCAGCACCTGGGGAGGCCGAGGCGGGTGGATCACGAGGTCAAGAGATCGAGACCATCCTGGCCAACATGGTGAAACCCCGTCTGTACTAAAAATACAAAAATTAGCCAGGCGTGATAGCAGGCGCCTGTAGTTCCAGCTATGGGAGGCTGAGGCAGGAGAATCAGATGAACCTGGGAGACGGAGGTTGCAGTGAGCTGAGATCACGCCACTGCACTCCAGCCTGGTGACAGAGTGACACTCCGTCTCAAAAAAAAAAAGAAACGATCACATCCAGATGTCCTGTTACTGGAAGGGCACCATAGTTTATCCTGCACCTAACACTAATACACCTACTCTGGGAATTCTTCTACCTACAACTATTTATTTATCTGATCCCATCTGGTATTAAAGTTCTAAAAGTTAACAGAATTCTTAAAGGTTCCCAATGCCTCCCAGAAACCCCATCATCTCAAAATCACTAGCTATTAAAAGAAGCAAAAAAAAAAAAAAAAAAAGGTGGCTCCTGACCTAGTCTCTTTGAGTATGAAGACCTATTTACTATGTAAAGCTGTCACCTGCCTTGAAAAGATTAAGACAGCAAGAAAGTTCTTAGAAAGTGGGTATGTGGCTGGCCTCAGATAAGGATAAATTGCTGAGAAGAAGGAGTTGGGTTTTTTTTGTGTTTTTTTGTTTCTTGTTTTTGAGACAGGGTCTTGCTCTATCTCCCAGGCTGGAGTGCAATGGTGCGATCACAGCTCACTGCAGCCTCAACCTCCCAGACTCAAATAATCCTCCCTCCTCAGCCTCCCAAGTAGCTAGGACTACAGGATGCACCACCGTGCCCATTGTTTCTATATCAGGGTCTTATAATATGGCAGACACAATGGCCTCCCACAGAGAAATGAGCCATAAAAGGACCCTGTAAAAGCAAGGATGGCTCATTGTTTTAAGACAGCCAAATGTATGGCACTTGGAGAATTTCAAAGAGTAGAAGGCCTTCTTGATTGCACTCCCCTTTAACAGCCTTGCCTCTTATGGGGCTATGTGGATCGTTGAAATGGTTCACAAGTAAAGTGAAAAATGGTTATGCGTAGTGTGTCAGCCCCACCCTAAGCTCCCAGAGCCTCCATTCTGAGTACAAAGGTCAGTTTTCTTCTCGGGACAGGCCAAGGATGATGGGGTTTTAATTTCTCTCCTGATCCATGGCAAAGCATTCCTAAACTAGGCACTGGAAGTCTTGGTAACTGGAAAGAGACATTCACCAAGATGAGGAAGGCCAAAACCAAGTGCCTTATATAGTCCCTAGAAAGCATTTCATTTTATGGAACAATCTTTGGTCTCTCTTTTTTTTTTTTTTTTTGTGAGACAGTGACTCAGGCTGGAGTACAGTGATTAGGTCACTGCTCATTGCAGCCTCAACTTCCCGTGCTCAGGTGATCCTCTCACCTCAACTTCCCGAGTAGTTGGGACTGCAAGCAAGCGCCACCATGCCCAGCTAATTTTTTGTATTTTTTTGTAGAGACGGGGTTTTCCCATGTTGCCCAGGCTGGTCTCAAACTTCTGGACTCAAGCAATCCACCTGCCTTCGCCTCCCAAAGTGCTGGGATTACAGGTGTAAGCTACCATGCCCAGCTCTGGTCTCCTTTCTTAATCCTGTTGAATAAGGAAGATTTTTTTTATCTGAACCCTCCTCTTACTCTTCTTTCTGTTCTCCTTCCATGATCACTTTGTCCATCTTCCTCTTTGTCATAGGCATGTCCTATTTCTAATTCCCTTTCTCTTTTCTTTGGTAGGCTAGCCTTCGAGACTGCATTACCCTCCCCAACTTAAAATCTTTTGATAACCCAGGCAGCTGGGTTATCCCCAATTTAAAGTCTTTTTGTTGTAGCTGTATGGCATTTATCTAGAGCATGGGGTACACACAGTAGGTTTCTCTCCTCTCTTTTTTAACATATTTATTATGTTTATGCATGTAAAGAGTTTGTTGTTGGCCAGGCCTGATGGCTCACGCCTCTAATCCCAGCACTTTGGGAGGCTGAGGCGGGAGGTCAGGAGTTCGAGAGCAGCCTGGCCAACGTGATGAAACCCTGTCTCTACTAAAAATACAAAAATTAGTGGAACAGGGTGGCTCATGCCTGTAATTGCAGCTACTCAGGAGGCTGAAGTAGGAGAATCACTTGAGCCTGGGAGCTGAGATCGTGCCATTACACTCCAGTCTGGGTGACAGAGGGAAACTCTGTTTCAAAATCAACAACAACAAAAAAAAGTTTAAAAATTGGAAACCACCAAAAGGTAGTATTAAAAGGGAAATAAAAATTACTCATAATCCCAGAACGCAGTCATATGCTATTTTTAGTCTTATTTTATTCAGCCATTTTTCTCTTTACACAAACTTTTTTTTTTTTTTTTGAGATGGAGTCTCACTCTGTTGCCTGAGCTGGAGTGCAGTGGTGCGATCTCGGCTCACTGCAACCTCCGCCTCTTGGGTTCAAGCGATTCTCCTGCCTCAGCCTCCTGAGTAGCTGGGACTACAGGCGACCGCCATTACACTCAGCTAATTTTTTGTATTTTTAGTAGAGACGGGGTTTCACCATGTTCACTGGGCTGGTCTCGAACTCCTGACCTCATGATTCGCCCACCTCGGCCTCCCAAAGTGGTGGGATTACAAGCATGAGCCACTGTGCCCTCCCTACAGGTTTTAAAATTTATTATTATCTAAATATTCATTTTAAATGTTAATTTTAGTGTACTTCTTTGATTATTTTCTTTAGAGAAATTTCTGATTTCAGAACCAAGTTTATTAGCATTCACTGTATACATTAGCACCATTAAAACTAGCTAGACCCAAGAAGCAGTATTGAATGGGTACCCCTTCTTTACTTTCCTCTGATTCACTCTACTCTGGTGCTCACAGCTAAGTAAGTATGTACAGCAATGGCCTGTCATTTGGTCGATTATCTTTTGTGCTCTGAAATGTCTTTGTTTTTTCATCTGCTCTCAATACCTCTGTGCTCTGATCCTTTGTATATAAGGGTAACCATATTTGTTCTTTCCTGTGAAATAATAATTCTTTTCCTTCCATTCAGAGTAGCTGCCTGACTCATACAATGAATAAAGTCACATAGACTCAAAGAGTGGAGATGGAGGTCGGATGTGGTGGCTCGTGCCTGTAATCCCAACACTTTGAGAGGCTGAGGTGGGAGGATCGCTTGAGCTTGAGCACAGGAGTTTGAGATCAGTCTGGGCAACGTAGTGAGATCTCATCTCTGCCAAAAAATAAAAATTAGCTGGGTGTGGTGGTGCATGGCTGTAGTCTCATGTAGTCCCAGCTACTTGGGAGGCTGAGGTGGGGGGTCACACATACTTTTTGTTGTTACTGCTTCATCATTGGTTCTGATCACTCAGTGTTCTTTCCCTTACACCAGATCATAATACAGTATTCTGACTAGGCAACTTAGCTCAGTTTATTACGAATAGCCTTAATTAATTTGGTAAATTACTATGAATGAACATTTCATTCATTCTGCTAGGTCTAGGTTTTGCCAGCTGTTCCATTAAGGGACACTATGGCACGGGTTGGCAAACTTTTTCTGTAAAGGGCTAGGTAGTCTCTCTATTCAACTCTGCTGTTGTAGCATGAAAACATCCATAGACAATATGGATACAAATGAGCATGATTATGTTCTGATAAAACCTGATTTACAAAAACAGGTAGTAGGTTGGATTTGGCCCAGGGGCCATAGCATGCTGACCCCTGCTCTACAGTATACATACACAAAGACTTTCAAACAAAGATGTATACAATAAAACAACCATTCAGAGTTATTTGATTCACAGTGTGTATAATATAATAAAAATAATACAGCTGTATTTGAGTCAGCACTGAAAAGTCTCTTGTGATCTGTGTCTTACGTGCATGAATTGCAGAATATTCATACGAATACCATGAATATTCTTCACGGGCCATGTTATTACCATCCCTTAGAGGAATCTCTTCCTTGTCGTGGGTCTTTCTTTGTATGGCTTAGAAGTGATGTTGTCTTTATATTGTGTTATTTGTTCTTAACTTTACATTATCAGCTCTGGTGTGCTTACCTTTTTCACCAACGTGTCTTCTACCCTACTTACCTCATAAGTGAATCTAATACAGAGGTTATTTTGGATATAATCATTATCTTAACAGGCAAGATAGTGGGCTGTGCTATTTCAAACCCTAAATTTGGCTTTCAGGATTATGAAGTATTAATTCTTCCACTGATATCTCAAAAGGTGATCTGGACAAAGGAACAGGTATCTCAGGTAAGCAATTGTTGAATATGAAAGTAAATATTCTTCTTTGATCGTTTGTTGTATTTGTTATGTTTAATAGCTTTCCTAATAATGAACCAACTTTGCATTTCTGGAAGAAGATTCGTACTTTTTTGAGACGGAGTCTTCTTTTTTTTTTTTTGAGATGTAGTCTCGCTCTGTCGCCCAGGCTGGAGTGTAGTGGTGCAATCTCAGGTCACTGCAGCCTCTGCCTCCTGGGTTCAAGCAATTCTCCAGCCTCAGCCTCCCGAGTGGCTGGGATTACAGGTGTGCATCGCCATGCCCAGCTAATTTTTTGTATTTTTTTTAGTAGAGACGGGGTTTCACCATGCTGGCCAGGCTAGTCTCGAACTCCTGACCTCGTGATCTGCCCACCTCAGCCTCCCAAAGTGTTGGGATTACAGGCATGAGCCACCACGCCCGGCCAGATTCATAGTTTTCAAGAATTTTGAATTATATTTGCTAAATTTGATATTTCAAATTTTATTTTCTATTTTATTTATTATTTTTTTCCTTTATTTATTTATTTTTTTTGAGACAGGGTCTCACTCTGTTGTCCAGGCTGGAGTGTGGTGGTGCTATCATGGCTCACTGCAGCCTTGACCTCCCAGGCTCAAGGGATCCTCCTACCTCTCAGCCTCCTGAGTAGCTGGGACCATAGGTGTGCACCACCACACCCAGATAATTTTTGTATTTTTCGTAGAGACGGGGTTTCTCCATGTTGCCTAGGCTGTTCTCAAACTCCTGGGCTCAAGCTATTTGCCCACCTTAGCCTTCCAAAGTGTTGGGATTACAGGGTGGGCTACCATGCCCGGCCTTTTTCTGTGTTCAAAAGTGAGTTGTTTTGCGGGGGATGGCAGTCTTTTTCAATTGTTGATGTTAGGGTCATTAATGAAATCTTTTGTTGCCTATTGTTTTAAACTGAACCAATCTCAAATATATCCCATGCCATTAAATATACTTTAATAACATCTTTTAAAAATTGGCACATAATACACCACTGCATGAATGTAAAAATTTAACTTGTATCTGATATTTGGAACCTTGTTTTAATTACTGCTCTTTTAATTGTGTGTAAATAGTGCTACAGTGAATAACTCTATAGATAAATTTTTGTACATATGTGTGTTTTATTTCCTGAGGTTGGATAAAATATATGGTCCTTCTATTAGTGTATAAGAATGCCCGTTTTTTTTTTTTAACTTTTTCACCAGTACACTATGTTAAGGTTTCAGAAGAATTTGCCAATTGTAAAGGTAAAAAATGGCCTTTGATATTTTAATTTGTATTTCTTTGATTCCTAACAAGATAGAACAGATAAAAATCTTGGGTCTTATTTTTGAGTTTATTTTTCACACTTAGTTTTAGTCTATCATATGTTGCAGATATTTCCCCCAGTTTGGCCTATAAATTATTAATTTGTATGTAGCTCAAATATCTTTTTCTTTATGGTTTATTCTCCACTTGCATTTTATAATAGGAAGATAAATATATTTTTTATAGTTCATAATTCCTTTATACTTTTTATTATTTTTTTAAATACAAATCTTTCCCATTGGGAACCTTTTTGGTGTGTGGTATGTAACTGATTTTTCTAAATGTTCAGCACATTCAGGGTTTGGGGGGTTGTAGTAAGGGTACTTGTGGAGCTCTCAACAGCAGGACTTTAAAAATCTTTTCTCCAGTGCTCTGCTTTTAACATGACTTAAATATTCTCTCAGCCTGTTTCAGTTTTCCTGCCATTGGCTTATGCTATCTTCTATGAGGGGAGTTAGCAAACTTTTTCTATAAAAAGCCCAGTGGTAAATATTTTAGGTTTTGTGGGCCATATGGTTTCTGCTCTTGTAGCATGAAAGCAGTCATAGACAATACATAAATGAGTGAGTATGGCTGTGTTCCAACAAAACTAGTTACAGAAAAAGGTAGTGGGCTGGATTTGGTTTATTGGCGGTAGTTTGCCAATACCTGCTTTATGACACTGTACTCTTACAACTTCTGCTCACCTAGTTTCTGCTTCGTCATAGTGGGCTTTCTCATAGTTATGCCTCTGATTTTCCCTTGTAACTTCTTAGAATACCTTCTTCACCTCTCATCTTTGCTACTGATTACCTGTTTCCATATTTCACAATTTTAAGTTTCCGAGAGCACAGGCGATAGCTAAATTAAGATGCTTTGCATGTTACCACTATTATGTACTTTGCTTGGCTGTCTACCCTGTTGCTTCAATATAACCAATTCCAAATAGCTGCATTCCTTTTGAGGGTCTCTTCCTTGCAATCCAGAGTTCATTGCAAGAAATGGGGTGATTTGGATCATTTTAAGGAAGTTTATGGAATTCAACTCTAGTGTGGTATCATTAATGTAATTAAGCTCTTCTCTCCTTATGTGTATCATGTTGGTCCTACTACAGTTTGGTTTCCTCATACTCTGTCTTCCTCTAACCTCCTGGTTACTGAATACTTAGATTTTTTTTCTCATTCATAACTTGAGCTTTTGCAACTACTATAGGTGTGACCTTCCTTCTACATTATCTTTCTCTCTACAGACTATCGACTTTAGCTCTTGCTACTCTCCATGTTGCCAAGTTGTCATTAAACTGAGAATCTGATTCCCTGTGGGTTAAGTTTCCTGAGACCGCAGGGATAGTAGTTGCTATTTGGCAGGTCTAGGACATTTCCCCCTACTGATTACTATGTGCAAATGTATCTCTTTCCCTATTTATGATGCAAAATTGCTTTAGCCTAACACAATCCAGCTACTATAAGTGTATCCAGAATCAAGCTCTAAAACTAGAATGCAACCCAGTCATGTAGCATCCAGAAGTACCTGAACCATCTTTGGAACTTGACAGTTTCACAGTTAACTCTGCAACCTTACTCTCCTTATATCCTGATGCTATTTTATATGCCTGTTAGGTTGTATCAGATCTACATTCTGATCTATAGTTTGGAGATTATAATTTTCTAAGCAACCCTTTGTGAGGTCACAGATACTTTTTGTTTGTTACTGGTTATAGGCATTATTGGTTCTCATCACTCAGTATTCTTTCCCTTTTCCCTTACACCAGATCATAATATAGTATTCTCTCTCTCTTTTTTTTTTTTTTTGGAAACAGGGTCTTGCTCTGTTGCCCAGGCTGGAGTGCCGTGGTGCAATCTTGGCTCACTGCAACCTCCGCCTCCCGGCTCAAGTGATTCTCTCACCTCAGCCTCCCAAGTAGCTGGGAATACAGGCGTGTGCTACCATGCCCAGCTCATTTTTGTATTTTTTGTAGAGATAGGGTTTCACTATGTTACCCAGGCTGTTCTCAAACTCCTGAGCTCAAAGCGATCTGCCTGCCTCAGCCTCCCAAAGTGCTGGGACTATAAGCATGAGCCACCATGCCTGGCCCATAATATAGTATTCTGACTTGACAACTTAGCTAAGTTTATTAGGAATGTCTTTATTTAATTAATTTGGTAAATTACTAGGAATGTAGTAGTTTACATTACTGCTATGAACTCCCTTCTTGCTACATACTCACTTCCTCATTTCTATTCTTTATCCCATTGCTAATGGATAGTTTCTGCTTATTTATTTATTTATTTATTTATTTTTTAACTAATAGAGACAGGGTCACGCTGTGTTGCCCAGGTTATTATTGAACTCCTGGCCTCAAGTGATCTTCCTGCCTTAACCTCCCAAAGTGCTAAGATTACAGGCATGAGCCACCATGCCTGGCCAGTTTTTGCTTATTTATAGCTTCTGACTCCTGTGCCTATTCCTCACAAGTTGATCTTATTTAAATCTTTCATGCTTCTTACGTAGCTGTGGTATGTTCTTTTACCATGTATCCATTCACTTCAGCTGAGTTTCTGTTCTTCTGTTTTTCCCAATTGCAAATTTAATCTAATTTTCTCACGTCATCCTTGTTTGGGGAGGGCTTTCATGTTACAAGTCATAGGCTGTTGATCAGCGTGTAGACATATGCCTTTGAGTCTGAGCTTTACTTTCCCTTGGTCTGATCAACTTTGGATTTGGAGGAGGGGTAGTTGGTCATAAGAATGCTTTCTTAGCAGGCTTGTTTGCCTGGCTAAGGAAGTTTTTCTTTAGAAAGATTTTGGGTGTGGGTAACACTATGACACATTCACTCTATCTGGTTTAGCTCTTTAAAGCTGCTTGATTGCAGCATCTACCAAGTCTCTTAAAGACTCACCTTCCCCTGGGTAAAAGTTCTAAAAGTTCCATGATATCACAAGCTGGTTTGCACAACATCATCAAAACAAAGAGGATTCTCTTCAGGTTCGTAGCCAGCTTCCTAAACTGCATTCCTCTTAGGGGGCTGTTCTGCTTCTTACTATTGGTTAGGCACTTGTGATTGCTAGAAACAGATTCTCTGTTGAGCTCACATAATGACAGGTTATTTGCAGGCCACCTGTGGGGAAATAATGGTGACTTGGATCACATGCAGTTTCACATACAGGTGATCTTTTGTGTCTGTGTGTTTCACATCTGTGGATTCAGCCATCTGTGGATCAAAAATATTTGGCTAAAAAATATGGATGGTTGTGTCTGTACTGAACATATACAGACTTTTTTTAGTTGTTATTCCCCAAACAATAGAGTATAACCACTATTTACATAGCATTTATATCGTATTAGGTATTATAAGTAATCTAGAGATGATTTAAAGTATATGAGAGGATGTGTATAGGCTGTATGCATTTACTAGAATATTTTATATAAAAGATTTGAATATCTGCGGGGGATTCTGGAACCAGTTCCTCTGTGGATACCAAGGGACACCTGTTTAGGGGGACCTTAATGTGATTATGCCTGTTAGGGATGGGAACTGGATTCAGAGAAGCTCTAGAAAACTCAGCAGCCAGAGCTTGTACATCTTTCCATTAGCATTGCGCCATTTATTTAACTGAGCTACTTTGTCTCTCTGCGTATCTTTTTTTTTTTCTTTGAGATGGAGTTTTGCTCTTGTTGCCCAGGCTGGAGTGCAATGGCACAATCTCGCCTCACCACAACCTCTGCCTCCTGGGTTCAAGCGATTCTCCTGCTTCAGCCTCTCAAGCAGCTGGGATTACGGGCACCCGCCACCACGCCTGGCTAATTTTGTATTTTTAGTAGAGACGGGGTTTCTCCCTGTCTTGAACTCCTGACCTCAGGTGATCCGCCTGCCTCAGCCTCCCAAAGTACTGGGATTATAGGTGTGAGCCACTGTACCCGGCCTCTCTGCTTATCTTTGGTGTCTTATAATTTCTGCTTTTTAAATATTGGCTCGCCCATCCACTTTGTTTTTTCTCCATCTCTCTTTTTTTTTTTTTTTGAGACGGAGTCTCGCTCTGTTACCCAGGCTAGAGTGCAGTGGTAAGATCTCAGCTCACTGCAACCTCTGCCTCCTGGGTTCAAGTGATTCTCCTGCCTCAACCTCGAATACCTGGGATTACAGGCACCAGCCACCATGCCTGGCTAATTTTTGTATTTTTAGTAGAGATGGGGTTTCACCAAATTGGCCAGCCTGGTCTCGAACTCCTGACATCAGGTCATCCTCCCGCCTCGGCCTCCCAAAGTGCTGAGATTACAAGCATGAGCCATTGCGCCCAGCCCTCCATCTCATATTTTTAGCCTATTTATAGGTTCTGCTTACTTATGGCTTCATCTTCCTCATAAGTTTTGCTTGCTTATGACCCTCTTGACCTCACCTCTGCATTGTGTTGGCTTGCTGTGTATCCTTTCAGCTTCAGTTTCCTTTGCGAACTGTGATTACTTTTAATAGCTCGATTCCAATTCCTGAAAAGACAAATTTACTAGGCCTGTTGTATCCCAGTTTAGTTAAGATATTTATATACCCACAGCAACAGTTTGTGGATCTTCACTTTTGTTTTCTGCCATTAATATGATGATTACCCTGTTTTGCTGCTTTTACTTTGCTTGTTTCTTATAGCTTAGCTTATAAAGTATCCATTAACAACTGACTGTTGGACTTCTCTCTCTTTGTTTCAAGGACTGCAATTGCAAATGCCTGTAGGATCCAGATGCCATAAATGTATAAGATGGTTCTGGTGTTTTCTTCTTTTCTTGAAACACTGTCTTGTGTGTGTGAGGGGGGTGATCTTTTGTTCAGTCATTTTTGATAGAGACATTAGAAGAGCGATTTCTTTAAAATATAAACAAGGGTGCAAATGGGATGGTAAAGGGCAACTGACGCTACTAGGAGGATAGTAGGGAGTGTTTGACATTGTGTGTAATTGGGACATACATATTTCCTCCAAAAGGGAAGACTTTAGTACTTCTGCTGATTGTTGCCTAGTGGAAATGTCTGCCTAAGATTACCAGTTGTCTACAAAAAGCCTGATTGGCTTCAGGTTTTTTTTTTTTTAATTTAGATATGATTTAACGTATATGATAGGATGTGTATAGGTTGTATGCAATTACTAGAACATTTTCTATAAAGGTCATGAATATCTGTGGTGGATCCTGGAACCAATGGGGTTGGGAGGGCAGCTTCAATTGTTTTAAAATGTTTCAGGCCAACAGAATATGCTTATAAATGCTTTTATAACCTCATAGCTTCTGTTTCTTTATAGTTTTGGCTTATTTGTAATGTTTCCTTTTTCTCATGTGGTACAAAACATGGTTATGTACCATTACCTCTTCAACTCAGCCAGTGGCTTGGCAGTTTCCCTTGTGCAGTGTTTAAAACTGGGCCACAGTTTTGAATGCAGTTGTGGATATTAAAATGAAATAGATTAGGAAAGAATAGATTAAGATAGAATACAGATAAGAAAATAAGAAAATATCAGCCTTCATCTGGCAAAGAAAATACCAGCCTTCATCTGGCAAAGGGCATCATCAGGCATCACCAGGAGGTGCTCTGTATCCATAGGTTCCCTATCTGTGGGTTCCACCACCACTGATAAAAAATATTTGGAAAAAAATACAACAATGCAAAATAATACAAATTTTAAAAAATACAATATATTTATGTGGTGTTTACATTGTATTCGTTATTATAAGTAATCTAGAGATGATTTAAAGGGACGGGAAGATATATGTAGGTTATATGTAAATATACCATTTTATATAAGGAACGTGTATATCCATGGATTTTAGAATCTGTAGGGATTCCTGGAACCAGTCTTCCATGGATACCGAGGGATGACTGTATTGTTCTGTGAAATTTTTGTCCCAGCTACATATTTGTATGTATGTATGTTTTTGGTCCGGTATAATTGTATAATATTTCTTACTATGGGTTAAACAACTTTATAAGACATTGTGAGGAACCTGGTATCCTCTGGACTAGATCATTCCCGTAGACAGTTCCATTGTGCACACATAGTATTTCGTTAAAATCAGGTGACTGTTTAAAAATTAAAAAGATTTTAGATAAAAATCTAGATTTTTACTTTCTCCTGAAATATCAGAAGATGGGGTCTAAATTCACACTGAGGCCAAGCAGTGGTAGGCTCATTTTAAAGAAGGGCTTTCTGCTCTCTGGTTTACCCCATTGTATACTAATTAGCCTGGTCTTACTTTTATATATTACCTGAATAGCCACTTAGGGCATTTTGAACACGTGGCTTGCATTGCTTTGTCTTTTTGAAATCCGCTGTGGCAGGCCCAAACCTTGCCTTTGGTGGGCTTAAGTAAGGTCTGGTTTCCAGTACAAAGGCAAAGGCAAATGAGGATTATTAGTATTCCATTTTGCCCTATGGATATTCTCAGTGCTTTCTACTGGAAACTCACAACCAATTCTGAATATGCCACATACTGTGTGATTTGCCCTTGCTGTCCAACCCTGTTCTTGCTGCCATTTAAAAATAATCAGGCCAGGTGTGGTGGCTCATTTCTGTAATCCCAGCACTTTGGGAGGCCAAGGTGGGTGGATCATTTGAGCTCTGGAGTTCGAGACCAGCCAGGGCCACATAGCAAGACCTCGTCTCTACTAAAAATTAAAAAAAAAAAAAATTAGCTGGGCATGGCGGTGGTTCATGCCTGTAGTCCTAGCACTTTGGGTGCCAAGGCGGGAGGATCGTTTGAGCTCAGCAGTTCAAGACCAGCCTGGGCATCATAGTGAGACCCTGTCTCTATTTATAAAAAAAAAATGAAAAAAAAAAAAAAAAAAAAAAAAAAAGAAAACAATCAGGCCAGGTGCGGTGGTTCCTACCTATAATCCCAGCACTTCAGGAGGTCAAGGTGGGTGGATCACTTGAGCCCAAGAGTTTGAGACCAGCCTGGGCAACATAGTAAGACCCTGCCTGTACTAAAAATTTTAAAAAGCATTAGCTGGGCATGGTGGCTGGTACCTGTAGTCCCAGGCTGACGTAGGAGGATAGCTCGAGCCTGGGAGGTGGAGGTTGCAGTGAACCATGATAGTGCCACTGCACTGAAGCCTGAGCAACAGAGCGAGACCCTGTCTCCAAAAAAAAAAAAAAAAAAAAAAAAAGAATCACGTACGAGGAAGAGGTTGTGAAGCTATACATAAGACAATTGGCAATCTTGTATTTCACAAGAATCTAATTAGAGAATTTGGGTGGCCAATCCCCTCAGCATAGTAAGGGAGTCAAGGAAGCTTTTAAGAACCTCATCAGTTTTCTACCTTCCCTGAACAAGTGTCTCTTATTTGTAACTAAATTTGTCAGCTTAACAGTAAGCAGTAACTGGTATTAGACTCAATTTTTCAACTAGATTTGTAATTTGGCACAGTAATGAAATCTTAAGCCCATGCACCTATTCTGGGCTTCTTGTTTGTTTGTTTTGAGACGGAGTCTAGCTGCATGCAGCTGGAATGGAGTGGCACAATCTTGGCTCACTGCAACCTCTGCCTCCCGGGTTCAAGCGATTCTCTTGCCTCAGCCTCCCGAATAGCTAGGATTACAGGCACACACCACCATGCCCAGCTAATTTTTGTATTTTTAGTAGAGATGGGGTTTCACCATGTTGGCCAGGCTGGTCTCCAACTCCTGACCTCAAGTGATCCGCCTGCCTCAGCCTCCCAAAGTGCTGGGATTACAGGCGTGAGCCACTGTGCCTTGCCACCTATTCTGTTTTGAACTTCATTTTCCTAACAACATCCTGAATTACTGAGCTTTTGTATCACTTCATGTTAAAGTTTTCATTCTTATGTACCAAAGTACTAATTTGAATTTGTAATGAGTCTGATGGTATATTTCAATTTTTTGCTTTGAGGGACTGGCTGCTACATTGCAGAATATCTTATATCCCTGACTGCTTTCCACTAAGTGTCAGTGGTGACCCCAATCCAATTATTATGACAACTGAACATGCTTATGCATCCCTCATGCCTTTATTTTTTATTTTGGGAAATCTTTCAGCTTCAGTTTTTGCTGATATTTATGTGATTCTTTGTTCTGCAATTCAAATTTCTGGGAGCCAAACAGTCTCCTTGGTTCAGATTACTGTTTTTTGACTAGAGCTTCTCACTTCAGATTCTGTCATAAGATTATGGCTTAACCTATGGTTGTCCTTTGATTTGGTGCCATATGAAATAAAACATTATTTTCTATGGCTATGTATTAAGAATTTTGTGCAATTCTGTTTTTCTTAGAAGGCTGAGGGTGTGTTGTCAGACACCATGACTGATGTGACAGGTGTATTTTATTATGCGGCCGCCAGGCAGACAGGCATTTCTTCATATTTATATATTACTTAAATTTAATATTATTTACATAATTTTTTTTTTTTTGAGACAGAGTCTTGCTCTGTCGCCCAAGCTGGAGTGCAGTGGCACGATCTCGGCTCACTACAACCTCCGCCTCCTGGGTTCAAGCGATTCTCCTGCCTCAGCCTCCTGAGTAGCTGGGATTACAGGCACCCGACATCATGCCTGGCTAATTTTTGTATTTTTGTATAGATGGGAGGTTTCACCATGTTGGCCAGGCTGGTCAAGTGATCCGCCTGCCTTGGCCTCCCAAAGTGCTGGGATTATAGGGGTGAGCCACCACGCCTGGCTATTTACATATTTTTAAACTAGAGCCCCTTAACATATTACAATTTTCATGTATGGAATCTCTAATGTATTCACCCCTGCCAGTCTAGATAGTAACACAAATTGCTGTCTAGTTCTTGTGTCCCAGAATGATGGTATGGGGTAGCCTGAAGCATGAGCCAAATTAATAGAAACAGAAAGTAGTTGCCAGGGTGTGTCAGGGTTGTTGCCAGGGGCCGGGGGAGGGGGAAAAGGGTCATTGTTTAATGGGAATAGAGTTTCAGTTTTGCAAGATGAAAAAGTTCTGGAGATTGGTTGCACAAAAATGTGAATATACTTAATACTACTGAACTGTATATACTTAAAGTGGATAAAATGGTAAGAAAAATAGAGCAACAATATTTCACTAAGTAGGCAGTTTACACTGAATATCCTTGGGGACATCAGAATATCCTTGAGAATATTAAAATACAGCATCTTCAAACAAAAGTAAGTTAAAGGACTATCTTTGATGCAGCCTCCCAGTTCTCTATATCAGGGTCCAGCAAACTGGCCCAAGAGCCAAATCTGGCCAACCGCTTGTTTTTATACAGTCTGTGAGCAAAGACTGTTGTTTACATTTTTTAATTGTTGAAAAAAAATCAGAATTATAAAACTTAATTACATCAAAATTACAAGAAATTCAAGTGTCAGTGTCCATAAATAAAGTTTTATTGGAACACAGTCACATTCATTCATTTTTTTTTTTATTTTGAGACGGAGTTTTGCTCTTGTTGGCCATGCTGGAGTGCAATGGTGTGATCTTGGCTCACCGCAACCTCCGCCTCCCGGGTTCAAGTGATTCTCCTGCCTCAGCCTCCCAAGTAGCTGGGATTAGAGGCATGCGCCACCACGCCCGGCTAATTTTGTATTTTTAGTAGAGACAGGGTTTCTCCATGTCGGTCAGGCTGGTCTCGAACTCCTGACCTCAGGTGATCCACCTGCCTTGGCCTTCCAAAGTGCTGGGATTACAGGCATGAGCCACCGCACCCGGCCTCATACTCATTCTTATGTGTGTCATGTATCGCTGCTTTTATGCTACAGTAGCAGAATGGAGTAATTGGGACAGAGACCATATAGCCTACAAATCCTAAAATATTTGCTGCTTGGCCATTAATAAAACATTTAAAGTCAGACTATTACAAAAGTTGCCAGGTCCCTCACAGCATCATCTTTGATAGCTTTAAATGCCTAATTGGCAGCCTTGTCATGGACTAGTAGGGACTATTATCATTCTGTTCTCTTATGTTTGGTGGGGATTCTTATTTCCTTACTCCCTACTGTGACACTTTAACCAGTTCCAGAAAACTCATTCTTGGTGAGCTTCAGTTGTGGCTGAAATCCCTTTAGCAATTTCTATAGGCTCTTGTATTGTTAAGAACCAGACATCTCTTGGGCCAGCCAAGCAATTGGGACCACCTAAGCAATTTGGACCACCCATGGCTGGGCTTGGTCAGCCTCTAAGATGGACAGGGATCTCATAAGAATTCAAGTAAGGAATTTGAGTAAAGACAATTAAAATTTAAAGAAAAATTTTAATTCAGTTTCCTGAGTTTGGAAATTAGTTCCAAGACAGATCTGGGAATGTCAGCGCAAGAGTTTGTGTCATCCATCCTAGTATACCACCTTTAACATTTTTTAATTCCTCTGTGTGTTTGTTCAGTGCCTTCCTCATTGTTGACTCAACCTTTACTTTACCTCCTAGCTTAGTCTGCATTCTGCTTCCCCTTCAATTTTCAGCTATTCATAATTAAATGTTGCTTGTTGCCCCAGTGTATGAGATAGTGCCCAAAGGTATTTATTTCATGTTTTCCAGCTTTCTTGCATTTCACAGATTCTATTTATTTTGCATTTCATAGACTTTATTCCTTAGTGTAAGAATTTCAGTGGCATAACTCTGCCCTGCTTGGGAGTCACTTTTTGAATCTTTTAATGATATATAATGGCACTTGGAAAGTGTCCCCCACACCTGATACTTTCTGCTTTGGACTACAAGGCAGATCGTATTCTAAAAATCATTGCTGTCTAGGACTGCTTCCCAGAACTATGTTCTCCAGAACTATAGGTGGAACAGTTTACCTTAGATGGGAATGTGAGTGTGGCCACCACTTGATTCAGATGTGTTCATATTGCATTTCTACATCTTGGCCGCTAAGCACATGTGCCCTTCATCTTATATATACGTTTCTGAAGATGCTTCTGTTTATACTATTCCAACTCTTACTGAAGCAGCAGTGTTAGAATGTCAGCCAGATGCTATAGTCTGAAGTAATGTCATGAGACCGTTTTAGAAATTTACCTGCCACTTTCACAAGCCCAGGAGGCGGAGGCAGGAGTATTGCTGAGCCCAGGAGTTGAAGACTGCAATGAGCTATGATCGCGTCACTGCACCCCAACTTGGGTGATAGAGCAAGACCCTGTCTCAAAAAAAAAAAAAAGGTAAAGAGATACTAATAAATAATTCAGATAACACATAAAGAAATAAATATAGTCAAGATAAGCTATAATCTTGTCACTCAACTAAAACTATGAAACTTTTGGTGTATAGACTTTTATTACTTTTATTTTTTTGAGACAGAGTCTCAGTCTGTCACCCAGGCTGGAGTGCAGTGGCAAGATCTCGGCTCATTACAAACCCTGCCTCTCAGGTTCAAGCTATTCTCATGCCTCAGCCTCCTGAGTAGCTGGGATTACAGGTTTGTGCCACCACACCCAGCTAATTTTTGTATTTTTTAGTAGAGATGGGGTTTCTTCATGTTGGCCAGGCTGGTCTCAAATGCCTGGCCTCAAATGATCTGCCTGCCCCGGCCTCCCAAAGTGCTAGGATTACAGGCGTGAGCCACCGCACCTGGCCTTTGTATAGATTTTTAAATGCTAGACTTCTTTGATATTATTGAGCATATATTTTATCTAATTATGACACCTGTTTTGATTCTGTGCTTAATTAAGCAATTTTATGATTATAATTTGGCTATAGGAAAAGAATGTATGCTTTATATGGAAACAAGTATTCTGGTTACATTGATGGGTATATTGTAGTAAATTAATAAACTGGCACATTGAAGATTATTCATCTTCTTATGTCAGCTGTGCTGATTGTCCTTATAATTTATCTTTGCACAGTTGACTAATTGTTTCCTTACCAAATGTAATTTTAGTCATAGAAGGTGCAGTGAATACTCTCAGGACTCTGAAATATGGTTCATACCCATGGAAAAAAGCCTAACAAAAATACTGATAGCATGGTTCCAAAGCGGGCATGAGGAGGAATATGCATTTGGAGGTGTTAGAGAAGATAATATGATAATAATCAGTTACTATAGTTTTGTTAGGAGAACCTCCCTCATTTTTTAACTGTACCTAGATAACGAACTTTGTCAGTTTATTTATTTTTTTTAATTTCTTAATTTTTTGAGATAGGGTCTCTCTCTATCACTCAGGCTGGAGTGCAGTGGCATGATCATGGCTCACTATCCTCAACTTTTCAGTCTCAAGTAATTCTCCCACCTCAGTCTTCTGAGTAGCCAGGACTACAGACATGTACCACCATGCCTGGCTAATTTTTTGGATTTTTTTTTGTAGAGACGGGGTTTCTGCCATGTATCACAGGCCGATCTCAAACTAGGCTGGTCTCAAACTCCTGGGCTAAAACAGATCACCCGCCTGAGCCTCCCAAAGTGCTGGGGTTAGAGGTCTGAGCCACCGCACCCAGCCAACTTTGTCATTTTAGAGATAGCAGCATATGCTTTATCTTGGTCCTGAGGCATGGTTGCTGGAGGTCAAGTCTATGCAGTTAGCTACGATGGGCCACGGAAAGATTCTAAACTTCTTGTAGTCATCCAAGTAGGTGGATTGCATGCACTATTTGTAATTGAAAAGTATGAGTTCCTGTTTTTTTGTTGTTGTTGTTTTTGGTTTTAAGGAGCTGAGAGTTTAATAGGCAAGAAGGAAGGGAGAAGACAGAAGGAAGAAGCTCCCCCTATACAGAGGCAGAGGGAGGGGGGATACAAAGCCGAAAGAGGAGGTCCCTACCTGCTAACCATACCAGCCAGGTATATATGCAGAGGCTGGAGGAGGCGGTGTTTGATTTGCATAGGGCTCAGGGGATTGGTTTGATTAGGCATTTCATTCACATGGCCCATGGAAAAAGCTGGCCCTCCCACTCTAGCCTTTTAATATGCAAATGTAGGGTGCCATGATGGTCTACACACGTGGGGATATGTGGGGGTGGCCATGTTGCCAGGAACCTGTGGGGAAAGGGCAAGAAGGCCCGGGGCATCTCCATGTTTGGGTGGGCCCAGTTTCTAATGGCCTGCATTTGCATATCAATGGTTGCTGGCCTGGCTCTGAGAGCCAGGGCTTTGCAAGAAACTTTTCCAGAGGTGCTTTAACAAACAAAAACTTCCCAAGGACCCCTTTTCCTACAACATTCCCCCCTGTGGAGATGCCACACTAACTGCTGTTAGGGGGTTTGGGGCGATGACTCTTTCTGGCTACTTCCTGCTGAAAAGGGGCATCGAATGGGGAACAGCAGCTAAGGCTCCTTCTGGGGTCGATCTAAGGATCCTCGGAAGAATGGCGTGTGGTTCAGTTTACAGCACCATTTGAAGTTTGATTGCTTCTAGGCGAGAAGAAACAATTTGAGTTATAATATTGAGTATACAGGGTCCAAATATCAATACAAGACAGATAAGCAAGAGAGTGCTTAATAAAGGGGTTAACCAATTCCATAAAGAAGACTGGAATTTATTAAAGAGGGATTGTAGCCACTCGGGCTGAAGCTGGCATTTTCCCTGAGCCTGTCAATAATTTTGATTTGATTTCTAAGTACGCGTAGATTTTCCTCTACTTTACTAGAGTTGTTAATCCAAAAGCAGCATGTTTCATTTAAAACTACATTACTAAACCTAATAAAAAGTCCTAGCAGACTCAGTGATAGTAAAACTTTCATGCTTCCTTTTTGTCAACTATTATCCTTGCTATAAGGATAATAATTAAGCAAAATACTACAGCAATGGAAACTCTCTGTCCAATATTTCAGTTAGAAGGTGGTACCATGTGTAACGCTATTGCAAATAGTAGGGTGAGGACAGCAGTTCCCACAAATGTGGTGTGGCAGGTAATTTCCATCTAAAATTTTACTTGCCAAGATATTAGAATTCCCCTTTGGGGGTCTATGAAGTTCCCTGGTTTTATTTTCCCAAACAGAAACCTCCAGGTTATGGGCACTTACTTTAATTATCTGGCAGAATTTGCAAGATAATTGCCCAGAACTAGCATATTGATTCACATTTTTACCTTACCCATCCCTATTCTTTTATTCCAAGCTGCAGAAGATCACCACGTGATTCACAGGAATAAGCAAGGTTAGTCTAAAACATAGGCAAAAAGCTTAAAAACAATTAATGAGAGTAGGCTTTAATGACAAATTTATGATAAGCTTTGGGGCAAAATTTTTCTCTCCAGTCCTCATTTTTGGTAAAAACTATGAATAAACTTTAGTCTTATACTTGGCCTGATTATTTGCATAAAGTGCAGCAAGAATGGTTATTTTTACATAGGCCTTTTGGATTGGCTTTGATGAAACTCTGTTCCACAAGGAATTTCAGATAAGACTTAAAGCCGAGCCCAGCCATGGGTTGTATCCTTTAATACCTGTGAGTTGGGTGATCCTCTCCTCTTGAGTTCCCAAGATAAACTCTGAGCTTCTATACCTGTTAGAAAGTGACATTCTTTACTGACCACAGGTTAGGAACCCTGTGTGGGGACTGTGCAGACAAGGTATGAGGCCAGTTCTCCACAAGGGGCTTTTATTGGCTTTGCATGTCAAGCTTGATTCCTTAAAGGGAAACACACCCTTTCAGTCAAAGCCTTGGTAAAATAACCAGTTTTTCCAATTGTGTCCTGTTGACAAAGAAAAATGGATTCGTATTGCACTGATGCAAACAACTATATTGCCATAAATTAAGAGTACTCACAGATAGTTTCCAAATTCTAGGGGAACCAGGCAGAGAAAAGTAAACATGCTCCAAATTTTGTTCACAGGGGTATACCTTACTCAATCATTAAAGGCCATAAATAGTTTAAAATAACTTCCCTTGACTCTGAAAATCAAAACAAGGATTAGCAATATTCCAAGCAACAGTCAAAAAGGTTGCTTTAACTTTCTGAGTGTAGTCCACTTAGTTAACTTTTGTTTTGCTTGGTATTTGTCAACATGTCAATTCTTTGAGTCCTGTACATTCTTTATTTCAATGTTACAATCTTTAAGGCTATTAAAAACCTGCATTTAACAACACCTGTTAAAGTCCCTAATATAGCTTTATTATAAACTGTCTTTTGAGAAGGAACAAAGGAAGACAACAATTGTCTGCGAATGACAAATTTCCAGGATAGTTACAGTTAAATATATGACTAAGAAAGAAGTTTACTTATCTTCGTGGTTTACAATAACTTTACCCTTAATTATGATTGATAGCATATACTTAGACATTAGAATTTTAGAAATCTCATACAATTTTGGAACATATTAGTATTTATTCACCAAAATATAACTTACAACAATATAACTTTATAGCAATAAAGAAGATTGGACATCATTTTGGCAATCTCATGTGACTAAACATGTCAAGTGATCTTGTTTACCTCTTTTCTGAATATTTCAGGGGCCCTCTGAACCATCCAGAAAGCCAGGCAGCAGTAATGACAATTTCCAGATTGCCATAAATTATTTTGTAAAAATAACTCAAAAGGCAAAAGCCTTTCATCAGCCTTTACTATGATATGAAAATTTTGTTCAAAGCAAAATTTTTCCCTTGCATTAGTTTATTAATGTTAATTCCAGTTCGTTTCCATGAACCCTTATAGATTATCCCGTCTAATCCTAACCAATTTGACCATGAGGTGAAATCTTTACAAACCTTTTGTAACCCTTTTACTAAAGGGCAGATTAGTGTCTTAAGACCTCCTTGCTGTGCTTCTATTTTAATGCTTAATTCATGAAAAGACCGTATAGATGCTATGGGAGAAGATGGTGTAGTGCTTCTACCATGCATTTCATTGCAAGGCAACCCAAAGCCAATTGGCTTATTTTGTAATCAGCCCATCCCTGATGGGCGTCTCATCTCCCAGTGGGGGATGGGGATGTTTCCTTATCTTCCAGGTGGCCAAGAGCATGCTTCTCTGTTTTGTAACTGCTATTAGCCATCCCTTACTGTGTATTTTCTACCTAGTTATTACACACCAAAGCTCTCTCATAATGCAAAGTAATTTCTGATAACCCCCAAAACTCAAAACCGTCAGATAACACAGTGCAAAACAGAATAAAGCCTTTGATTTTGAGAGGGATCTATCTCCTTTTAATTCCTGGGGTTTCATGAGGAAAACAGGCTTTTTCTGAAAACAGGGTTTGCGGTGCCTCCTCTGTTTTTCCCCAGGAGTCCCATACTACCAGAAGTTATTTTAGGGCTTTTTATGCATGCATTAAGAGGGGTAAGACAAAAAACGGAGAAAATAATTCAGTCAACTGAGAAGAAAAGAGCCCTTTTCCAGAAAAGCAAGATTCAAGAAGAGAAAAGCATAAAGGCCTTTAAATATACCTATAACTTGAATATTTACTTTTAATTAAGCTGAGCACTCTTTAAGAAAATCCTTTTAAATCCCTTGTTACTTGACTTTAGCCACACCAAGCAGTTAAGATTTTCGGCTTTTGAACTTTACAGAAAGTACCCTTATAGGTGAAACCAACGAGCCTTAATTAGGTTATGATTTAATTACGAGTGTACAAGGTATTTTTAAAGGAGTGATAGACAGCTTTTGAAACTGTCATTGCAAAACTGTCACTGAGACAGTCAAAGAGATCCCACCCAAACAACTCCATTTTGTTTCCAGGTTTCCAGCCCTCAAGCTGTCCTTGCCCATCTCTGGGTGTAGGCTAAACCAACTTTGGGAGGAGCCTGGTTTACAGTCTATAGTCTAAAACAAAGACGATAACAGCGGCTTCCCAAGATATATTTCCCTCTTACCTGGGGACCAGTCCAAGAAACTAACCACAGGATTAGAAACCATGGCCCAGGAGCTGGAGGCCACAAGATTTTGACCCTCCCTAAACTGCTCTCAAGATCAGTACTTAAGATATTTTGTAAACCCTGCCCTTGATAGATCAGCTGGCACCACCCAGATTGACAAACTGGCTTATCTGATTTAGCACAAAAAGACAGCCACCATTGTAAAATGGCGGAGACTAAAACAAAGTATTGCCATGCAGTTACAGATGACATTCCCAAAGACATGAAACAAGATGGAGACCTGTAGCCGACTTTGCCACTGACCGCTTTGCTGGACTGGCTTGAACAGCAGGCTTATGGGGTCCTGGGCCTGCATCCTAACCTAAGATTCCCTTTCTTTGACAGAACCATACAGAAAGACATGCAAAGCACACAAGATTGTCTACAGCTTAAGGCCAGCCTTACAAATCCTTTTTCATTAGTTATACATTTACAGAGAACATCAACAGTGATCCTTATTATCCCTTTTACCGGTTTGCACAAGGAGAGAGAAGCCAAAAGCCCAACTGCTAAGAAATGTTTACCCTTTTGCCGGCACATCAGGCTTCTGGGTCCACTTTCCCCTAGCTCAACTCTATGCCAAGCATTTTAAGATTTGGCAAATTAACTTTTCCTAGGTTGGAACAACATTATAAAAGAGACAGAAGCCATTTTAAACCACAAAAGAAGGAAAAACACCTTAGAAAGGAGTTTCAATTAGGGTTGTTAAGAAGTAATACCTCTCTTCCTATTGGGAATGGTGTTTCCCCTATTTCTTTGCCTTCCCTATTTTTCTCTTTTCCCTTCTGGCCCACTATAGGAGACATATTGCTTATCTCCAAAATTTTCTTCTGCTTGCAGAGCTGCCTGTTTTAGCAGCAGTGAGGGTTTGACTTAGCAGCAACATAACATCCCTCCATATGAGGTCAAATACGTGAGTTAAATTTTGGAAAGCTTCTATATACCTATCAGGGTCGTCAGAAAATCAGCCTCAGTTTGCCTTTACTTGCCTAAGGTCATTAAAGGGGCCCAAAATAAGAGGGACCATCAGATGATTTCCTTGAAAGTTACTTTTTTAATTTTGGGGAACTAGTTTCCCTGGACCTGCCCGATATGGTTGCTAAAAGAGCTGGCTTGATCTTGCAATGTTGCAAAGGTCTAGTAAAAAGACCATACCCTTGTGCAAAAGAAAATAAGCCACTTTTTCTTCAAAGTTTCAAGGTCGAAGGAGTCCCAGTGCTTCAACATATACTCCATGGGAGTGCACATTGAAGACGATCTGTTACCCATCTAGAAAAAGAAGTGAGAATAAAAGCGTCCTTTTAGTCTCCTTCCTTTCAGTATGTGATCCAGGGTGGAGATGAAAACAATAGAGGGCATCCCCCCAACTATTTTCTCTCTGTTGCTCCAGGATTCCCGGCACCTGCTTAAATGTGCCACCCATGACTGCAGGTGTGACCCTCCAAGCTGTGGCACCAGAGGAACTGAGTTCCTTGGTCACGCTGTCCCCAAGCAATCAGTACTCTGCCTTTTATTTCCCTTTGACCTTCTAGACTTGCGTGGCCTGTGTGCCTTCCAAAACACGGATTTCAAGAAAAACCATGTAATTGGGCAAGGCCCCTTTAAGGGAGGGGGAGTGCTAGATTGAACTGTGTATTCTGCTATTATAGCCCATGCTAAAGCATTTACTCATGGAAGAATGGTTCTGGTTAACTTCCGGACTCAAAAATCCCCTTACTAATTCAGTACTGTCTTAATAGGAGACAAAATCAATGCCTTAAAGGAACGTAGGAGCCTAATGGCCGTTTTCCTGCCAGTGGGGACAATATCGAGACTAAAATTCGGCTAGGGAAGACATCTTACTCCTAACTGTTAAAAGCAAAAACTTCCCGTTCCCAAAAGAGGCCTAGAGCCTGATTTCTACTAGGCGGCTTAGAAATACCATGTGCTTGCCAGGGAAAACAGAGAGAGAAACATTTATTGAGTTACTGCCTGCCGTGATTCACGATCTTTTCTGACAGACCTGTTTTCCCTGAACTGTAAAGATTCCTGCACATTGAACACCCAGAGAGAGGGTAAGAGACCACCAATAGAAAGTTTGGTGACAGGGTAGCTGGAAGAAAGTCTTGAGATTAAAGGACAGATTTGAAGTTGAGATCCGCTCCATACTCACCAGTCTGATGATTGAATTTTCCTTTTCCCGCCCATGCACCAAAATGATATGGCTCTGATGAGTGGAGGAACACCAGGGTTCTTGTTCCTCAGGCTGGTTTAGATAAAACAACATGGACACATGTGGAGTGGTTTTAAGGAGTGGAGAGTTTAATAGGCAAGAAGGAAGAGAGAAGACAGATGGAAGAAGCTCCCCCTTACAGAGACAGAGGGAGGGGGGCACCAAAGCTGAAAGAGGAGGTCCCCCAAGTTCCTGTTTTTATTAGCCTGGAACTTGATAGTAATGACATTAACTGAAAGTAGGACATAAACTATATATTTTAGTTTAATATGTAAAAGGATCTTCTGCATCACTAAAGAAGAAAAGTGTCTTGCTGGGAATGAGATTAGGAAACAAATTTGGGAAATACCATTGTTCCTTTTTTGTGGAGAAAGGTACCCTGTCCAAAAAGAAAAATGTCTTGCTTTGCTAGATAAATGCACCGTTTTGCCTAAAAACCAGTGTAACATTTTATTCTAAGTCAGAAGTAATTACTGAGCTGTGGTTTTGTGTTCTGTATGTATAATCTCATTTATTGACAGTTCTAACCTAGTAATGAAAGTGCAACAGGAGAATTATAACCAGAAACATCTAACTGTTATATTATACATACATGTACTGTTTAACTGTAATTGTGAAAATGCATTTTGAAAGTTGGAAAAAAAGAAAGGTTGCCTCTATGGTTTGGCAGCTTAATACCGAAAAGTAGACAGTGTCTTGCGGGTCATAGATCATGGGACTCAACATAAAGTCATACAGCTAAGACTTGTTACAGCAACATAATAAGCATATATAGCCTTTCTAAGGTTAGCATAAGGGAAAAAGAGAAGGTAGAGTCTGGAGGAACCAGCGTGCAGGTCTCCTTATGCTCTCTCCCTCTCATGAGTGGTCATACAGAGCGCATTCTTGTAGCAATAAAAATTTGGCAACACGTGTGCCATGTTTCTGCTCGAGGAGCCCATTAGAGACTTGGCACCCAAAGTTTCTATTGTAGGTTGGTCCTGTAGGCACTTTCTGCTTTGCATGTACCAAAATTCCACATTCCCAGAAGGAAAGCAGGTATTCAACATGACCCACTTTTATTTGCACAAACAATCTAGTAAAAGGCCAACCTTGGCAGCAGGTCTTCCTAAGGATACTAGTCTCAGTCTGTGCACATAAGCTGAATGTGTAAAATGGTTAAATACTGGACCCTTCTGTAACTGATCACATGCAAACTGCTTAAGGGCAGAAGTGGGCCAGTTTAATAAGAATGAGTTTAAATACATGATTCCTGTTGTATTTGGGGCATGCTAAAAAATACTGGGAGTCCTTTAGGTTAAGTTAAAGACAATAACCTAAGCTTACAGGATTTTAAACAAAATCTTTGATATATTGGCTGTTTTTGTTTGCTTCCTTTTGCTCTCATACTATGCATAGAGTTACCTGAAAGAATTGTGTTAATTTAAAAATTTGGATGTCATTCCTTCCCCACAGTTTACTTGGAAATTGGTGTTCAAATATTTGGAAGGAGCCATTCTTTTTTTTTTTTTTTTTGAGACGGAGTCTCACTCTGTCGCCCAGGCTGGAGTGCAGTGGCGCGATCTAGGCTCACTGCAGGCTCCGCCTCCTGGGTTCATGCCATTCTCCTGCCTCAGCCTCCCGAGTACCTGGTATTACAGGCACGTGCCACAATGCTCAGCTAATTTTTTTGTATTTTTAGTAGAGATGGGGTTTCACCGTGTTAGCCAGGATGGTCTCGATCTCCTGACCTTGTGATCCACCTGCCTCGGCCTCCCAAAGTGCTGGGATTACAGGGGTGAGCCACCG
Organism: Homo sapiens; assembly: GCF_000001405.40. NCBI lineage: Eukaryota > Metazoa > Chordata > Mammalia > Primates > Hominidae > Homo > Homo sapiens. The sequence continues at coordinate 74,252,284 of NC_000023.11, read as the reverse complement.
TGCCCGGCCTGGCACCATTCTTTAAGAAAGAAGTACAAGGGAATATTAGATTTTTATTGTGTGGTTTCACATCAGTGTAATTAGAATATAGGAAATTTGTTTAAAATAATAGGCCTTTTCATTTGACGAGATTTAAAAACACAGATTGGCTGTGGTATCTGGGCATAATTTGATATAGATAATAGTATTTTCCTCCATATCGAAAATTGAGGTAAGTTTTATAACCTCTTTGATGCATTTTCCTAGTAGAGTTAAAAATGTTGAAGTATAGCCACCAAAACATTCATGTTGGTTATCCTTTTTTTTTTCCTTAATGAAAATGTACTACTTTGGTGGAAAAAAGTTAATAATTTCGTTAGTTGGTAGGTGAATAATGAGTGATAGAGACTGTTCTGACACCAATTGTCTGACACCAACTGGGTATCCTGCAATTCATTTCAATTCTGACACTAACTACCCAGAGTTAACACAAACTACCAGGCACACAAAGTGTTCATCCACCAGGAAGCTCCTTGAACTTTGAGTTTGCAGAGTTTTATTGGCCACATGATTAACTTCCTTCTCCAGCTCCTCTTTAATCTCTGAACATCTGGGGGTGTGGCTAAAAGTTCCAACCCTCTAACCATATGCTTGGTCTGTCTGGCATGGCCAGCTCGTCCTTTCAAACTATGTGAGGGCCTACCTTGAGTCACCCCCAAGTATAAACTCAGATATAGTCCAAAGGGGCTTCTTATGAATAACAAAGACACTTCCATTAATCAGGAAATTCCAAGCCTCTCTAAGCTCTGTACCAGGAACAGGAGACAAAGACTAGATTTATTCTTCATTATATGACAGATACATTTTTATATTTTGCCTCTGGTTTTAGTAAAGTTTTTGTTGTGAAGAACACAAATGCCAGATCAAATGAGGGGGCTGTAATTAGCAAGGCTGCAAGGGATTGTGAGCAGTAAGGGAGATAGGGATTTTACTGGAAATCCACCAAAGGAACTGGTATGTAGCTATGCCTCTCAGTAAGGGGAACTAGAAAGCTATTAGGAAATCAAGGCATCTGGAGAAACTATGTGTGTGTGCCCACCAACATGTTCATGTTTGCGCTGCATTTTTGCTTTGTCATCCTCTTGCCTCAGGTTGTTTTGCTCTCTTGTTTGACTTTCTATGCCCTTCTCTACCCTAGGGCTTCTACTTAGAGTTTCTGCTTCCACAGGACTCCTTACAGCTTAAGTTCTAGTTTATATGTGGCTATGCATATTGAAAACTTGGGTTCTTTTTTTGGAGACAGGGTTGTACAGGCTGTTGCACAGGCTGTATTGCGGTGGTGTGATCATAGCTCACTGCAACCTTGAACTCCTGGGTTCAAGTGATCCTCCTGCCTCAGCCTCCTACCACCCCCTGCTAATTTTTGTTATTGTTGTTGTTGTTAGAGAATGGGGTCTGGCTATGTTGCCCAGGTTGGTCTTGACCTAAGGGCCTCAAGTGATCCTCCCACCTCAGCCTCCTAAAGCACTGTGAATTTCAGGCATGAGCTTGAGTTCTTATTAACTGTCAGCCTGACTGGCTCTTTCCTAGCTAGGCTAGTCAGCTCGGCTGAGGAGTCAAGGGAGGACAGGCTTATTACTATGGAAAGCACTTCCAAAACATTAAAATGTTTCTCTTTAAAGAGTGTTTATCAATGCTCAAACCTGAACCAGAAAAAGAAAAAAGAAAAAAAATGGAAAAGAGTGCTTAAAATATTAAGGATATTAAGCATGTCAATCCTTTTCTTATTCCTAATACCAAAAGAAGAATTCCTAAGATAAAAGATTGATAAGTGTCATGACATGAAATTTAATTGAGTTTAACATATTTAAGTAAATATTTGACTTTTGATTTTGTAAGATCAGCCGGGAGAAAGGACAAGAGAGCAAGACCCAAGTTCAGGCAAGCTTTTATTAAACCCGCCGGCTGCTTTATCACAGACAAAGGAGGCAGCAGCAGCCAGCTTACAGAATGAGGGGTTTATATTGGGGAGGGAGTTTGAGGGAGTTCTTTGGTATGGCCGCATCCCGGGGTTGTTTGCTGGTTTATTCTGCCACATTATCACCTTGTGACGTTTATGGTACCGGAGATTGTAGGTAAAGTTTGTTTATGCTTCCCACGACCTCCCTCTGTGCGGTCCGGATGGTTTGTAATTGGGGTTTGCTTTATAGCAGCGAGGCCTGATAGGTAAAGTCTGCTGGCTTCACTGTGGCGCCTAGATAAGGGCTTAGAAATGTAAAAAGGCTTGGGGCAGCATGGAGAGGAGTTGCAGAGTGGGGAGGGGCAGGCAGCACCAAGAAGCTTCTTGAGGCAGTTTGTCCCTAACAGATTTATTTTCGGAAAGGAATTCTGAACTCTGAGACCAAATCAGTATATTTGTGTATATTTTTTCATATACTTCCAAAGTCTTTTAATTCTTAATTAACCTGATATTTAAGTGAAAAGGGTTTACTCTTTATCCTAGTTAATTACATATTCCATTTGTTAATGAAACTATCCTTTGCTCACTGCGTTGTAAACACATCTTTATCTTTCTTTCTTCAAACATAGAAGCCATAAAATAAGATTCATAAATGCAGCTACATAAAAAATATTTTTAAATATTTAAATATTAATATTAATTTTTTTAAAAATAAAATATTTTGTGTCAAAATGCTCTAAATGAAGTCAAAAGAGAAACAAGAAACTGGAAAAAATATTTGCAACACACATTAAGTGCTAATCTCCATTAATATATAAAAAGCTTCTAAAAAAATAAGGAAAATTAAAAGACCCTAGTTAAAAATGAGCAATGGTCATGAACAGATAGTTCCCAGGAAAACCAATGGCACTTTAATATATAAAAGCATGCTTAAGTCATTTATAGGAGAAATGTGAAAAACTACAGAAAGTTAATATTTGAGAACTTTGTTGGCAGGACTGTGGGAAAACTGGCACTTATAGAATGCTGGAATGCAAAATAATATAATACTTATGAAGGATACTTTGGAGATATTTATCAAAGTAATAGTTGCCCTGGGGAATCTCCCTGGGCTCTGGTGGGTGGTGGCTGTGGGGCTGCAGTTAGTGCGTCCAGGCCCTGTGGCTTGTTGGGCATGAGGCAGCATTCGTACACCTTCCAGGGTGGCTTTTCTTGCTCAGTTTCTGGAAAGGAGGAGGAAATGCTGCAGCTTCCACAGTACTTTTGCTTAAGACAAAGCCAGGGATCTGGAATTTCAAAAGAGCTGGGGATAGAAGGTTTGAGCTGGCCCCACCCAGCCCTCCATTTGACCTCCAAAGCAGGCTGTTTCCTGCTGCTGGCTGAGTAGAGGCGGCCTTCCTGGAGGGAAGGGAGAAAAAAAAATTAAAGTCGCCTTTATTTGATCTAGTGAATCCTCTTCTAAGAATTATCCTACATAGCTGAAAAAGTGAAACAAGTTGTATATGTAACATTGAAGAATATTTTATAATAGCAAAAGGTTGGAAACGATCCAGGGGCTCATCAATAAGGGACTGGATAAACTGGTAGATTCTCACAATGGAATACTAGAATGCTTTAGAAATGAATGAGGTGGCAGTCTATGCAGTAATAGAAAATTTGAAGGCTATATTAAGTGAACAAAGGCATATAAAGATAATACATATAATGAGTTTTCTTCTGTGGAAGAAAATGGGTGAAACATATGTTTACTTATATTTTTTAAACATATAGCACTGAGATATGAAAGCAGTTACCTCTAGGTGCTAGGAGAATGGGGCAGGTGTATCCAGAGTGAGAACAAAAATTTTCTATATACAATGTTTGGAAGATCCAGGTGATTTGTTTTTCCTTTTGTGTGTGGTAAAATATATATAGCATAAAATTTACCATTTTAATCATTTATAAGTTGCAGTCCAGTGGCATTTCTTTTTTTTCCTTTTTCTTTTTTTTGAGACAGTCTCACTGTGTTGCCCAGGCTGGAGTGCAGTGGCAAGATCATGGCTCACTGTAATCTCGACCTCCTGGGCTCAAGCAATTCTTCCACTCCTTCCACCTCAGCCTCCTGAGTAGCCCGTGCCACCACGCCTGGCTAATTTTATTTTTTTGAGACAGGGTTTCCTTTTGTCACCCAGGTTGGAGTGAAGTGGCACCATCTTGGCTGGCTGCAACCTCCACCTCCTGGCCTCAAGTGATCCTCCCACCACAGCCTCCTGAGTAGCTGGGACTATAGGCGCAGGACACCATTCTCCACTAATTTTTTAATTTTTTGTAGATATGAGATTATAAGTTGTTTTAAAAAAAGTAATATGTGCAAATGGTAAATAGTACAAAATTCAATTTGTACTAAAGTTGTTTTAGTTAAAAGTCTTCTTTCTGCTTTTAGATTCCCAGTTCTCAATCTTCCTTCCTCCTTACAAGATACAAGCAACCTTCAACCTTCCCAGAGATGGTCTCTGTATATGAAAGACAATGGTCTTATTATGAAGTCGGCATATTTATAGCTTGATAAAAACTGAAAAATCTGTAGCCTATTTTTAATAGTGATATATAAGGAAATAACATAAATAAAAATTTGGCAACAAGAATCCAGGAGCAAATTTATGATCAATACACAATTGGGCAAGTGGTGTTCATACCAACCATGCAAAAATGGTTCAATTTTAGGAAATCTTTGAATATAGCTTTTAGTAGGTCAGAGGAAATCAGTATCTCAAAGTACTTTCATGATTTAGTTATTTTTAAGTTATTGATCATTTTGGATTTTATTTTGAGGTTGATAGCCATATAATGATTTCACATTTTATTTTAAATGGCTAGCTGTTGTCCCAATACTATTTACTGAAAAATCTACATTTTGCTCACTCTTTTTTTTTTTTTTTAAGAGACAGGGTTTTACCATGTTGCCCAGGCTAGATTTGAACTCCTGGGCTCAAGTGATCCTCTCGACCCAGCCTCCTGAGTATCTGTGACTGCAGGCAAGTACCCCTGTGCCTGCTCACTTATTTAAAGTTCTACACATCAAATACTAAATTCTCATCTATTTGACTTCTGGACTCACTGGTTGGTGTCATTGACTGTCTTTTCCTGTGATAGCATAGAATTATTTTGATTGTGGAAGTACTATAAATGTTGCTATTTATTGTGCCTCTTGCTGCCTATCTATATTTAGACTCATTTATGTGATGCCATTCTGTATACTCTAAATTTTTTGGTTCTATTTTAATAATGTTTGAGTCAATGACTTTTCATGACTCTTGACTTCCCTACTTCAACAGTTTACTAGTCTCCATCTTGAATGTTTTTATTAATCTATTTTGTGTTAATTCTACCCAGGTTTTTTGTTTTTCCTTGCTACTATTATATATATTTCTGCCAGATGTCACATGGTATAAATGCCTATATGGACTTTTGTAACAGAAAATTTACTTACTAGAATTAATGTAGGGGGCTTTTTAATAAGAGTGCATGTAACATAGTAACAGTAGCAGAGCTATATCAGAAACAGTTCTGATAATATTTCATGATCTATAGTTTGTTGCATGCCCATTGCTTCATACTGCTTGTGTTCTTGGTTGAGTCATAAGTAATTTTTATGGGGTGTGTCATGACTGTCATATTCATAGAGAGTTGTCTGCCTTGCCCCATGGTCTTTGCATGGCTTAAACAGGACCCCTTTTCATACACAAGTCATTCAATTTTATGTTTTTAATAGCATCAATTTTAGTGTTTAACATGTGTCTCTGGACTATGCATCAGAATACTTGACTGTTAGTGTGAAATGAAAATTCATGGATATCATAATTTATGTAACATAATTTAACATTTCTTTATTAATAAGACTTTAGATTGTCCCTTTCACAAAAAAATGGTGCGGTTAAAACTTAATCCTTGTGTCTTTTTGTGAGTAGTTCTATGATTTCTATATGATGGCATCCTTGAAAAAGTTGGTAAAAATAAGAATAGTTCTTATTTATTAAAGTTCTTCTCAAATTGCTCTTCCAAAACATTTTAGTTTATACTGCAATGTTAACCATTTTACACTTGCTTAAGTAATTTTCTTCAAATACACACGAGTCCAGGCTATTTAACCTTATTTTACCGCTATAGCACAAAACAGGTTTTCCAAAATTGTCCTTGCACACCTGGGATTTTACAAGGATATTATAATCTTGGTTCAGTTTGACTTACTGAATTTGTAGTAAGTATATTTTAGCACATAGAAAATTCAAAATATGTGTTAATCTGTTTATAGGGTAAATTTTTATGAGGGTGGATGTCATCCTGTTTTTTTTTTTTTTAATAAATGTTTTGTTTCAGAATGTTTTTTATTTACAGAAAAGTTACAAACATAGTACAGAGAGTTCCCAAATGCTCCACACCGAGTTTTCCCTATTGTTTTTTTTTTTTTTTTTGAGATGGAGTCTCGCTCTGTTGCCCAGGCTGGAGTGCAGTGGTGCAATTTCGGCTCACTGCAAGCTCCGCCTCCCGGGTGCACCCCATTCTCCTGCCTCAGCCTCCGGAGTAGCTGGGACTACAGGTGCCCGCCACCGTGCCCGGCTAATTTTTTGTATTTTTATTAGAGACGAGGTTTCACTGTGTTAGCCAGGATGGTCTCGATCTCCTGACCTCGTGATCCGCCCGCCTCGGCCTCCCAAAGTGCTGGGATTACAGGCCTGAGCCACCGAGCCCGACCAGTTTTCCCTATTGTTAATATCTTGAATTAGTATAGTACATTTGTCTCCTTCTCCTTTTTGCCCTTGGTAACCTCTAATCTACTTTCAGTCTCTGAATTTGCCTATTCCAAATATTTTGTATAAGTGGAATCATACAATATTTGTCCTTTTGCTTCTGGCGTATTTCACTTAGCACAATGCCTTCAAGGTTCATCCATGTTATAGCATATGTCAGAACTTTATTCTTTTTTATAGCTGAATAATATTTCATTGTGTGTATATGCCACATTTTGTTTATCATTCATTTTGTTTATGTACCATGTTTTGTTTATATACATCTATTAGTATGTATTTGTTTAGATATACAATTTGCTTGTATACCACATTTTGTTTTTCTGCTATCTAATGGATTATGCTGCTCTGGAACATTCATGTGATGCTTTTGTTAATTGCTTATACATTTTATTAAGCTAATGAGCTTGGTCATAGTAACATATAAAATCAAGAATCGTTTAACTTTTGCAATAAAAATCTTGATGTTGACTCTGAAGTAGTAAGATGCAACTTCAATGTACTGGGATTGAGGCAGCCATAGCAATATTACCACAGGTTTTCCAAAAATTAACACAAATATTTTCTATTCTAGATGTGATATCTTTGGCATCACTGTTCATTCTTTTCCTCCTTGATTAAAGTGAAACAATTACATTAAAATAGTTTTATGATTTAAAAATCATTCTTTTTTTAAGCTATTATTTTTAATGTAGGTCAGTGTGTTATGTAAATTGATGTCCACTACCTGAACATGTGATGCTTTCTCTTTTATTCCTTGGTATTTCCTCCATATTCTCTGAGGGCCTTCAGTCAATTTTTTTAAAGGAAATAATAAGTTCAAATATGTATCTATGACTTAGGGTTACAAAGAATATTTTCTTTGCCTCCAGTATACTTTGTATTAAAAAAATTATAAAAGGCCATAGGTATTCATTTTCAAATATTTGAAAAAAAAAGGCATGGCACAATTAAAGCATATGCAGAACCAACTTGGATTATTGCTATATTTCTTTCTTTCTAGTGTGTACGGATATTGATGACATTTTTAGGTGGCTCTTAACAAGAACATTTTCCTCTCTTTAGATGTGAATGCATAGAATTCTTTCATTTGGACCAGGATCGTTTTAAAACATTTCCTTTATTTTTTGATTAAATTTTTTTCCTTTTAAATATTAGGACTTAGTTTTTTATTAAATTTGAACATAATATATTTAACATACTTACGGATACATTTTTGTGGGCATATTTCTCTGACAATTTCTCTTATTACAAACCAAACTTGTTAGTGACCTGATTTTGTGTGTGTGTGTGTGTGTGTGTGTGTGTGTGTGTGCGCGCATGCGCGCGTGTTTTGCATTTCTATTCTTTGTTTTCTAGTTTCATCCCTATGCTAGGACATGGCTGTGTTCGTTTCTCTTTCACTAGATTTTTTTAATGACTGTAAGGTTATTCTACGCTTGTAATCTGCTTTTGCAGTACTTTTCCATCAAAAACAACTGTGTTACTTCTCATTTAAATATTTATTTATTTATTTTTGAGACAGGGTTTCGCTCTGTCACCCAGGCTGGAGTGCAGTGTCGTGATCTTGGCTCACTGCGGCCTCTGTCTCCTGGGTTCAAGCAATTCTCCTGCCCCAGCTTCCCGAGTAGCTGGGACTACAGGTGGACACCACCACTCCTGGCTAATTTTTGTATTTTTAGTAGGGACGGGGTTTCACCATGTTGACCAGGCTGGTCTCCAACTCCTGACCTCAAGTGATCTGCCTGCCTCAGCCTCCCAAAGTGCTGGGGGATTATAGGAATAAGCCACTATGCCCGGCCTCATTTAAATATCTCTTAATCATCTTTTACCTGTTTTTCCATTCTAAGCAGTGCATTCTTTTTTTTATAGCAGTCTTTTGATAACAATAGCTAAGAGGCCAGGCACGGTGGCTCATGCCTGTAATTCCAGCACTTTGGGAGGCTGAGGCAGGCGGATCACCTGAGGTTGAGAGTTCGAGACCAGCCTGGGCCAACATGGTGAAACCCCGTCTCTACTTAAAAAAAAAAAAAAAGAATTAGCTGGGTGTAGTGGTGCATGCATGTCATCCCAGCTACTCTGGAAGCTGAGGCATGAGAATTGCTTGAACCCAGGAGGTGGAGGTTGCAGTGAGCCAAGATCGCGCCACTGCACTCCAGACTGGGTGACAGACTAAGAGAGTCTGTCTCAAAAAAAAAACAAAAAACAAGCAAACAAAAACCTCCCAAGAGTTAACATTAACTGAGCATACATTAAATGGTAAGTGTCACACACTGTTCTATGTATGCATAGCTCAGTTTTTAACTTAGGAAGTAAATTCTAATAATATTCCTTATTTTTTTCTGATGGGGTAATTGAGGGCAGCTACTCTCAGTAACATTGAACCCGATAGCACATAGTGAAGACTCATTATCTTTATCAATGATGTGTCAGTTGGAGGTAAAAATTAGGTCCTTTTCAATATCCAGTGGTGACTGTGCTCCTAGGAAGATCAGCCAAGGATACACAGTCCGAAAAGTTTATAGCTTAGGTAGGTAGGATTAAGTGCAGTGCCTCTCTAGTACACACCTGGATGTGACTCTTGTGTCCACATGTTTTTCAAACCTGGCAGGAACAATAACCCCATTCAGAAATGACTTCTAAAAAGGCTATTTTTGCGGGCTTGCAGGCATGCACTTGTAGCCCTAGCTACTCAGGAGGGTGAGGAGGGAGGATTGCTTGATCCCAGGAATTCTGAGCTGTAGTGAGCTATGCCGATTGGATTCCTGCACTAAATTTGGCATCAATATGGTGACCTCCCGGGCACGGGGGATCACCAGGTTGCCTGAGGAGGGGTGAACCAGCCCAGGTCGGGAATGGAGCGGGTCAAAACTCCCATGATGATCAGTAGTGAGATCATGCCTGTGAATAGCCATTACACTTCAGCCTGGGCAACATAGCAAGAATCAATCTCGCTCTCTCTCTTTTTTTTTTTTTTTAAAGAGCCAACCTTAGGAAGAAATGCCTTTTTTTTTTTCTTTTTAAAGGACATTTCTTCTAAGGTTGGCTTGTTTTAGGGATAGCCAAACCTACAGGTTGTTCTAATTGATATACTCATCTCACCAACACTAATGTTACTATTGTTTTTATTACATTTCAAAGAGGTCATCAAATCAATAAAAGTTCAGAACTTGGCAAGAATGGCTAGCCAGTAAATTCTAGACTTTCTCTTTGAACCCCCATGTCTTACAATGCAAGAATGTAACCTCTTAATTGCTCTATTTGTATTACATTGTCATCTTTGGACTTTCCTGGATACCCTTGATCTCTCTGGTATTTCCTGTTATGGTGAGTCTGTCCTAACAGCCTTATTTATAGACATGTTTTTGCACATTAACCACACTCCATGGAAGAAGCCCTTTAACATGAGACTTGTTCCTAAGTACTCCACTGGCTTACCAAGTATAGGATTACCCTTTGATTACTTTATCTGGCTACCAGGACAGAGAGATTCTTGGGAGCCAACCAGCCATCAGGTCAACTATTTTGCTACAGATACTGCTTTCTGGGTTTAGTCCCCTGTACTTTCAGGTCTTCAGCCTCAGTTTGACTTCCTGGCTTCTTCAGTGAGGATTTTAGAGTTATGTCAGGTGAGGAATCAATCCATCCAGTCTGAAATGTTGCTGGGAGGAGGGCTGTCTTTCTGTAACAGGGGAAAGTTTTATTTATTTGAACTACAGAATAAGTTATAGACTATAATGCATTGTACAATTGTTTGATTTTAAAGAAAACTCATTATAGCTTTACTGTTCCAAAACTGAACATCTTATGTCTGCATTCCTATTTATTTATGATCTACTCTGGGCCTTGCAGATATTCTGTTTCCTGGGTCCTCTAGCAAGTTAATTATTGGTATTAATCATCTAACAAATTAGTTATTAATGTACATTGTACAGATAAGTGTGAATTGGAGAGAATAATTTTAACAAGATCAGAATGCCTTCCAGTTCAATTTGAATTCGAAGGCTTAATTCATGGCATTTTATAGTTCAAAGAAAGCTTTGAATTATTTTGGATATACTAACATATATTACAGGAAGAGAAGTATGGATAAATTTCCCAATAGTTGCCTAGCAGAAGTATATACTTAGTATATGACTTACCAAGAGAGTGATCACGAGTGATTTAGGGAGCACTTTGTAGGTTTCCCCTATTTACCTTTAGCCTTTTACCACATCACCAATGACCTCTTATTTTCATACTGTCTATAGAATTAAGTTAGTCTGCCCAAGAAGTCACTTTGTTTGACCCTGGTCCCAGTGCATTCCCAAATATCAGGGATTATATTCCCTTACTTTTACCTGGGCATTGGATGCCTCATGTTCCCTTATATCAAACCTTAAAGGTAGCTTTTAGGCAGAATCTGGTAGTGCTCTTGTGTCCTGAGGGTAGGACAATAGAAGAAAAACTCATTTGGCATTAGACTTTTTCATGGTGCTTATTTGGAAGACCTTCTTCATCTTCAGAATATTGATCCAAGTCCTTTGGGGCCACTGCTACTGTCAGAGTTGTTTTGAGTTTGGCAGTACCTCTCCAGAGCCTCAAGGTAAGGGACATGTGGTTTGAGAAGTGGAATACAAGTCCATAATCTATACAATACTAGAGCTTAATAGATGATTACTTTATTACCTTGATTATACCCATCAATTTTTAGGTGTGAACATTGAGATCTGGGGTTGGGTGTAGGGTGGCTTGTGTGGGCTTCCCCAGGCTAGATTGAAAACTCAAACAAACTGCATATACCCTTCTATTACTTTTGTTTTTGGAGTTTAAGAAGTTTTAGAGTCTTGGCTTCTCATTTATTATATAACAAAAGGGAAATAAAAAGTAGGAGTGGGATAGTGTATAGCTGGTAAACATCTCCTGTAATACAAGTGCTGATGTTATTGGGAATTTTATTTGAAAGTTTTTGGGAAGGGGAGATAGTTAAGGGTAGGGCCCTGAGGGTTTGGGACAGGAGGGAAGGGAAGGGATGGAGGATCTATCTGTAATCTGTTTCAAAGAAGGAAAAACTGCATAGTGCTTTGAAGAAATTGGGCATCAGTCCAAGAAGAAATGTGATGCCAGCAGCCATCTTCACATCACCCCCAAGCCTGTTCCCCTATCTTGCTGGCAAGTCATAGCCCTACTTTTACCCCCTTTTGCTGGTTTCATGTATTTTGAGGGTCAGCAATTGTCCATGCGCTGGGTGAGTTCAAACACTGTGTGAGGGACCACTTGGGTTTAGGACACGGGAACTATGTGGAAGGGATGGTTTCTTGTGATATGGGGCTGTGGTGTCTGTGTGATGGGGAGCATCAGAGAAGGTGTTTGGGGCAGCATGGAGGGAAGGGTGCATATCCTGTAAGAATCAGGGGACAGGGTTTCATAACCTATCATGTGCCCAGAAAGTCAGGAATGGCTGCAGTTCTATTACCAAGCCCTGACAAGCAGCCATTTTGGTTATTAGCAGTGACTTTTAAAAGTTTCTCCTTTGCAACTTTACTATTTCACTTTCAACCTGCTCAGTATGTTGAAAATGAAGTTTATGGACTATCTTTATATAAAAGTCGCAACTTGTAATGCCTCCATTATTATATGCAGGCTTTCTCTTTGCCCCTTCCTTGGCTTCTAGTGCCGTGTTGGGGTTGATGGGCCAGCCTGCGTCCTGTGAGTGTTTTCTGAATACTTATTATTGTGTTCAATTTTTTGATTGATGGGAGAGGGGCAGAGGGACTAAAATGGGGATTGGGCTGTGTATATTCCTAAAGTTTTCTTGTGGTTTTCACATGTTCCAGATAATCTTAGTGTTTGGTAAGTACAGGACATTTAAGCAACAAACACAACTACAGACATTAGAAGTCATCTGCTTCAGCAAGACTTTAAGCACTTCCTATATTCCATGTTTTACACTTGAGGGTACAGTTAAGAAAAGTTAACTTACTGAGAAGTTTCTTTGATCCTGAAACTATATTCACCTGATACAGGAAACCAGTCTTCTTCAAAGGTGATGAGAATGCCTTGACAAGATGATAGGGACCAGCACTGTACATTTGTTCCCAAGGGAATACTGCAACATGCAGGCACAGCCCTTGGTCACCTAATACATGTATTTGTGAAATTCCATGGGTTCCCTTAAGTTGGGAGCTAAAAGGGTTAGCTTTGGGTTAGCTGTGGTTTTCACTAGTTTCTGCTTGACAGGATCAGAAGACTGCCGAGACAGATACTGCTATGCTGAATTTTTCATGTTCATCTCAGGGACTCACTGCATACTATTTTTTAACTACATGTGCTATTCAGAGTTAGGAGATCTTGGATGGGACTCCAAAATAAATGATTTAAGAAATTCCATACCTTACATTAGGACCAGAGCTTGTAGTAAAGGATGTTGTGATATGGTTTTGACCCAGAAGGATGCTTTTGGGTATCATCCTCAAGAATGTCTGCAAAAGGTTTTCAGTGAAGACAACAAAGAATACCTGTGCTTTCACTGGGAGGAGGAATGAGCCTGATGGTAGTAGTGCCTTTTGCTTGTGGTACATGTAGCCAAAAGAGCTCTGTGATGCCAACAAACATTGAGAAAGGTAATCTTTGGTCACTGCCAGCTGGATTGGCCAGTGCACCTTGTATTCAGTACTCTATATTGAAGTATCTGTCCTTTGACTGTATGCGGTGCTTATTGTACTTAGTTTTTAGGGCCCTGAAAGCTTTCTTTGCACTTACTGGTTCAAATCCCAACATCAACTACATGTTAAAAGCAGTCAGGAAAAGAATGATTTGGCTTATTTTAAGCTTTAAGCATAACATACTGACAGAGCTTATGAATATATATACAATAAAATTTATATAATAATATAAATATATAACTAGCTTACACATCTTAAAATTTAGATCCAGCACACAAAATAACATTTTAAAGCTAAATACTTTGGATTTTATGCATGAGGGAACTACAAACTGCACACTTTCCACAAGGGAGGGAATAAATACTTTTTTCTGTGTCCTTGGAGTGTGGGTGGGATTCGTGGATACATTTCTCTGGTTCACTATTTCAATGATATGAAGGAGCCTCATGTTGCAGCACAGAAGATTTTTCATCGTTGGAAGTTAAGGTTAGTTCACCTTCATTGATTCCTCCCTACACTGGACTAAAGCATTTAATCTAGAAACACTTAGGTCTCTATATAGCTTGTCATAATCTCTATGCATAGAAAGGGGCTTTCTAGAACCTGTCAGCATATTGTGAAATATCTCCTATATCAACTGATAATAAGAAATCAGAATTGCTTAATTGTGGCATTAATAAAGTATCACCTAGATTGAACTAAGCAGGAAAATTTTAGATGAGAGTTTACCATCACAAGCAATAAACACACAACAGTCCCTGAATCCTAAAAAGGTGGAGTTCTTGATGGTATTAGTGCGTATCTTCAAATTATTTGCTCTCTGGAAAGATGCTGATAAAATTTTGTCCACTACCATAGTATCCCTGCTGGATGGGAACCATATCTTTACAATAGACTCTCCACCCATTGGCAAGGTGATAGCTGTAAGGACAGTCACCTTGCAAGTGGGCATGAAGCTGTTAATTTTTTTTTTTTTTTTTGTCAACTGAGGTTTTTCTGCTATGGTTCTGAACCATTTACCTGATAGACTGGGTTATATATTCCCAGTTAACCACTACTGGGTTAAGTGACCTAATGATATTAGTAGCCACTTAATTATTTTCAAGCATTCTGCCTAGGACATCGTTTCATAAAATTAAGGTTTAACAGACTGAATCCCAACATTAGTAGTATAACTAAATTCTCTCAGGAGCTTTTTATGAATGCCTTAGTAGTACTTTGGCTTCTTGAAGAGGAGCTAATGCCATAACCCTTTTTAAATCATCCATCTGCAGCTGGGCATGGTGGCTCACACCTGTAATCCCAACACTTTGGGATGCTGAGGTCGGCGGATCACAGGGTCAGCAGTTCAAGACCAGCCTGGCCAGCATAGTGAAACCCTGTCTTCACTAAATACAAAAAAAAAATTACCCGGGTGCGGTGGCGAGTGCCTGTACTCCCAGTTACTTGGGAGGCTGAGGCAGGAGAATCACTTGAACCCGGGAGGCAGAGGTTGCAGTGAGCCGAGATCATGCCACTGCACTCCAGCCTGGGCGACACAGCGAGACTCTGTCTTAAAAAATAATAAATTGTCCATCTGCTCCTGTTATACATGTTGATATATGCTGCTTTGCAGTTGCATTGTCAACATCCATTCCCAGATTATTGCTGTCCTGAAGTAGGATAAACATTTTAAGTAGTGCTACTCTATCTTCTAGCTTCACTGGTTACTTTTTAAATTTTATGTGGAGACAAGGTTTTCTTGCTATGTTGCCCGGGGTGGTCTCAAACTCCTGTGCGCAAGCTATCTTACCACCTGGGCTCCTCAAGTGCTAAGACTACATTACAGGGGTCAGCCACGGCACCTGCCCTGGTTTTTCAAATTGGATTTAACATCCAATTAGCAGCTAAACTCAGCAAATGGGATATTTTGATCTGTGTATAATTGAAATTCCAATTTTGGCTTCTCTGGACAAAATGGGAAACAATGGAAATCTTTCATATGTATTTGCATGGCCTTGTCTTTTGGAAATAACAGGTACAGTGCTGTCTTCTAATGTTGAGACAGTAAAATTTTAGTAAGATTTTTCAGCTGAGGAAAATACAGGATCTTAAGGACTTCTTGGAGATAGTATTCATGCTTTCTCATATACACAGTGATAGGTGAATTGTGTTTAGGGTTTTGTTTTGGGTTGGTTTTGGTGCAATGTCTAATTACATTTGCCAACTCATGTTACCTAGTAGGGATATTTCCATTCTGTGCCAATTGATATTTGGTACAGTGAATGTACTCAATAAAATTAAAGGTTTGGTACTTGTTTTTGAGATGGTGAACAACTAACGTGCAAATCTGTAGTCCCTAATGTAGCCTTTTGCTATCTGACATCTGTTTGACATATGCTTTGTCAAATTGATTCAACTCAAACTTGAATACTTATGTTTTGCCAAATTTGTGTGATCACATTGTGTTACTAATGTGTAACATCAGCCTGTAACTTCAGCCACCTACTTTTTATTTGTGGATGCTGCTTAGAAACTTGCAAATAACACTATGAATATGTGGAGTTCCTTGACTGTCCACTCTGTTGTCCCTTTAGAGAGTACATTACATGCACATTTCTTGTGTATTTTCTAGTTCAATTAGAATTCCTCCGTTCTTTCCAGCCAATTATAAAGGTTTTAAAGGAACTATTCAATGCAATGTATTTCCATAAGTTTAGTACCTATGTACTTTTTCTTGGGAGTGGGGAGTTGGCGAGGGGAGTCATGAATTTTTGGCAATGTTAAGTAGTATCTTATTGCCCATATTTTTCGCATGTCTAAATGCCAAATTTTGTGATGTATTTTGCACAAATAACTCATTACTCTGAATCTTAAGTAGTGCTTTATTTGCCCTCACAATGTTGCCCTTTATAAATTGATAAATTTATGAAAAAAGAAAATTCCTCTTAATATAACACTTCAGCAACATTGGAAATCAATTATTCAATAATAAAGACATTTGATGAAGCAACCAACATTTTTGCTTTAAGTGTAGAGGTATATATGCTTTGATCCTTTAGCCTGAATGTTTCATAACCAAATTTGATTTCTTAACCATTGTCATTTGCAAGTAATTTTAGAACTCCCTCCCCTGTAATGGTAGCATGTATTTATCTAGCACATTTGTAATCTTAAAATTTTTAATTTGGTGCTTCTTCAGGGACTTGGTAATGAATCAACTGGAAGTTTTGTACTAAATTTGTCTACACAGCAGCGCTCTTTAGCTGGTGGCATAGAGTCCAAAGTTAAGAATCTGTATCTGCTCCTAATTAATAGAAATATCATTCTTGTCCTACAGACAAAAATAGTTTTTATAAGGACTTTTGACAAAGTATATACAGTATAGGTGAATTTAGTCAAAAATATTTGCCAGATTCTCTTGGTTCTCATATGGCCATTTGTTCAATCCCAGTAGCTCCAGGATAATAGTGTTCAGTTTTCATAGGTTGTAATATATTGGGCCTTTCCAGATTTGTTGTGGAATTCTGGACAGTTGATGTCTAATCACAAGTTCTGTGGTACATAATTTGTACCATGCAGTGTTGCATTTTGCTGATATAGATGGTTGGAGGTTCATGTGAGTTTAGGAAATCAGTTCCATTAGCACTACAGTTTAATGGCTCAGTGCTATTTGCCCAGAAATATATTGAAATTGGTAGAGACCTTCAAAGTTTTAAAATGTAATTTTTTATTGTACACTGGTACTGTAATTCTTTGGTTCCCTGTTGTCTCATTACAGTTATGCCCTTTTAAAGTCCTCTAAAATTAAGGGCCCTGTAGAAGTGATGGTCAACTCTATTTTCCATATGAATTATTAGATTTGGTGCTGTCTTGTGAAGTAACTTGATACGATAGATGTGTAGTATGAATTTTGTCCACATGGTTGTGCCCTTGGCAGAACTGCACGTACCTGAAATGGTTCCCTAATTTTTTTCTAGTATTACTATCCAACACTTCCTCTCATAATCACTAGTGTATTGTATAATTGTTAAGTGTCCTTTATTCATATATTTAAATTAAAAGAGTACTCTGGTAGGATTTTGAGGGCCAATAGTGTATTTCCACTGTTTGAGGTATTAGGAGGGCTATTTACTGATACCTGTAGTGCCTTCCCATTCTGTTTATCATGCACCTCTAAATTTTGTGACTTCCTGTTGCACTAAGCAATGATAATGGAAATTCACTAGTAATTGATTATTTATAGTTTGTGATAGTGGCATTGGTAATATTGCCCTTCAGAGATTATTACTCCAGTAGCTATCTAGTTTGCTGTTCTATTAGTAAACCAACATTAATGTAGCTTTCTTGAGGGCATTGTGATTTTTAGCTATTGTGGTAGGTTCTGATATGTAGTTTTGCTTGTATGATTTCCTTGTTTATAGCTCAGTTTTTGTTACATGGTATGTGAAGTAGTAGGCTTGACATTAGCTGTATACAACACATAAACTAGATTTTTCATCCTTGAACCTTGAAACTCCAAGGAGCTGTCCAGATTTGCGTACTCTATTGGAATAAAAAGACTAGAAAGAAGCATTGTTATGGAAACCTTGCAGTACTCAGTTCACCCAAAAGACCTTTTAGAAATGTTAGTTCACCATTCCCATCAGAAATTTGATTATAGGAAGATCATAACAATATAATCTGATCTCCTTACTATAGAGGCAAAAAATATATTCAGTTAAAAGCTGTTTACATATAATGTCATTTTATTTCCACACGAAGGTGACATCTTAAAATCGGTCAGTGTAATTATATTAAAGTGGCTAATTTCCTGTACAGTAATTTCCTCCACCACTTATCTATGGGCGATAGGTTCTAATTCTCCTGGTGGATCCCTTAGACTGGATAGTACCGAACCCTATATGTTTTTATCTACACATACATACTTGTGGCAAAGTTTGAGGTGTGACAGCAAAACTAGCACGAATTTCTTTTTCCTGCACAATTTCTCAAACTCCTGAGTTCAAATGGTCCTCCCACCTTGGCCTCCCAAAGTGCACTTAGAAAATTTGTTACTGCAACCTCAGTATACAATTTTTTTTTCCTTATTCTGTTGAAAATGTTCGCCTTTTTACTAAAGGAAGCATTTTGTGGCTTCTCTTTGGCACGTCTGTATTGATGGCATCACAGCTCTTATATTGGGGTCATTGTTAAGCACTGTGTTACTGCAGCAGTCAATCTGAACTGAGAAGGGTGCTAAGTGACTAATGGATGGTAGCATATAATGTGGGGTATACACTGGAAAAAGGGGTGATTCTTTTTGCTGGACAGTTTGAGATTTCATTACATTACTCTCAACGGCAGACAATTTGGAATTTATGAATTGTTTATTCTTGGAATTTTCCATATAATGTTTTTGAACCACGTTTGACCCCAGGTAATAGAAACTTTGTAAAGGAAAACCATAGATAAGGGGAGAATACTGTAACGTTAGGCTTCTTTCCCCCCATTTCTGTTTTATTTTGTTTCCCTTATTGTCAGAAAGTATGTTCAGTATGGCCTCCTTGTGTACACAAAGTAATTTTTGGTGGAAAAGAAAGTACTACCATTAGTCCACAGCATGTCCTTCTGAAATTATGTTGGATGCTTGTTATCATGGATTTGGTTCTCATAGGGATATTAATACAGTACCCTAGTCAGTGTGTTAGTGAGCCAAAAATATGTTTGAAAATGTTCATGGATGTTTGCGTCTTTTTTTTTTTTTTTTTTGGCTTGTTACAAGTTCTGGTTTATAGGTTTTGACATCCTTTGCATTGTTGGAAGTGTGCCCAGTGTTGCTACCTAATTTGTGGAAATTCTGTAGTACCACCTTAGTCCACAGTGCGTCCTTCTGAATAGTTGCATAGCTTGCATAACTAATTTGGTGTGAAATTCTAGAGTGAAAACTAATATGGTAACCTAATCACTGTGCTATGTTGAGGATTTCCAAGGGTGCATGATGTATTTTACGCATTTTTCTAATTACAATTCCTGGCTTATAGACTGCATAGGTATTTAATATTGTCTAGTAAAGTGTGTTGATGTACAATTTCTTGTTTAATTCAGTACTATTATTAGCTACATGGTTCTGCTTTATCGTTGCCATTAAACTAAATATATACTGATTATTTTCATCAGGCACCAGCGTTAATGTGTTTCTCCTAAGTGAGTTGACCTCATGGGAATTCATCACATCTGTGGACTATATTTTAGTGTTAAAGGCTTAATGTACTACTGTTTCAAAACTTACAAGTATTGGTATTTCACATGCTTTTAAAAGTACTGTTGTACTTTTTTTTTTTTTTTAAGACAAGGTCTCTCTGTCACCCAGACTGGAACATGGTGGAGCAATCATAGCTGATGGCAGCTTTGAACTCCTGGGCTCAAGCCATCCTCCCGCCTCAGCCTCCTGAGTAGCTGGGACTACAGGTGTGCACTACCAGCCCAACTATTTTATTTTATCTTATTATTTTATCTGAGACAGCATCTCGGTATGTGACCCAGGGTGGTATCAAAGTCATGGGCTCAAGTGGTCCTCCCACCTTGGCCTCCCAAAGTGCTGGAATTACCACACCTGGCCTACATGTTGTAGTTTTGTTGCAGTAAGTTCAGTTGACTTTTGTTAAATGTACCCCAGTAAGCACATGCCCTGTGGTAAGTCCTGTTGTGTAATAAAAAACATGGTATGTATCAATGTGCTTTTCCTATAGTTGTCCTCTGTCTTCCCAGGTTTTTTTTTTTTTTTTAAACAGTCATCTAGGGTCCATAAATATGATGCAGTAATGAGTGATGGTTTAGTTTTGCTGGTGTTCTCTAGCAGCCCCTATTATATACTTCACAGTATTTTCATTCTCATCTCACTTCTGGTTTCAAAAATAATTTTTTTTCATGGCAAAATTTGTTTAGGTAGTGTGCTTTAGTGTTGTCACCTGGTGGTTCAGCACGTTATAGTGCTTTACACGTGTAACTTCATTGTTTACCTTTAATTCAACGTTGCTATTTAGAAAGGGTGCATTCCAATAGTATTAACCACTTAACCCATTGCCACTCCAATTGGCTGTCTGGAATTTTTTCTGTTGGTAAAATGTTAGTTATTAAGAGTTGCTAACCATAGGTTGAATGGTTCCTGAGGTACTTTAACTTGCCATATTATGAAAGCACAGCCCATGATTTGTCATACTGCAAAGATTGACTTAACTACTTTAACAAGAAACGTATTCCAGAATTTTATCGTGGTGTGCAGTCATTGCTTCTATCTTGCTGTCCTTTATTAAATAGTATTAATTTACACCATAGTCACCAAGAAGACTATATTTTGGTAGGCTTTGGGGTTTATCTGCCTGCAAGAAAATTTATTTTCCACTGCTTTATACTGGTAATTAGATATTATTGTACTTTCAAATCTTTCACTGAAAAATATCTAGTTAGGTCAGCATGCCCTATGTATTGTAGATGCGGTTCTGCTATGGTTTTTCACCACCGGTGGTTGAATGTAGGGTGGTACCTTTATCTAGTTTTGAGTTTCTTTAGTGACTCATTTTTGCAGTCTTACATCTGCTACTCCTCTATTAGATTATTATTTAGCCCAAAAGTATTATGGGATCATTTGACTTCATGGCGTCACTGGAAAACTTAAATGTTCTGTTGGATGAAAGTGTTTCACTTATAGTACTAATCGCCATGTGGTATTCCTTTACTTTCCCTAACATTTGCTTGTTTGTTTTTATTGTGTATCTACATGTATTGAGTAGTTAGGTGCTTGTACAAATCTTCTACCTTCACTCATGGTCAATCAACTGTAAACCTTACCTGGGGCCAACTTGCCAAAGGTTTTACAGTTAACAAATGGTATTTGAAATTTGTAGTAAGAGTAAATGCTTTGGAGTAGGAATGCCTATCTCAGCAATCCTGCTAAGCACTATACTCTGGATAAGGTAATTACCTTCTTTTGTAGAAAAGAACTCGTGATATAATTCATATAATATAAAGTTCACCATTTTAAAGTTTAGTGACTTTTAGTATATTCATAGAGTTGTGCGACCATTGCCACTATTATAGTTTACAACACTTTCATCACCACCTCATTAGCACTTATTCCCTATTTCCCTTTTGCCAACCCTGACAACTACTAATTTAGCTTTTTGTCCCTATGGATTTGTCTATTCTGGGCAGTCATATAAATCATGCAATTTCTTACCCTTGTTACTGGCTTCTTTTAACTACCATGTTTTTTTGAGATTCATCTAGATTATGGTATATATTACTGTTCTTTATTGATGAATAATATTTCACTGTATGGATATATTTCATTTTGTTTATCCATCATTTGACGGATGTTTGCATTTACAGATGTTGTCTTTTGTCAGTAATGGTGCTAAAAACATTCATGTACAACATTTTATGTGGGCATGTTTTCATTTTTCTTGAGTATACATTAAGGAGTATAATTGCTTTGTCATGGCATGTCTAGGTTTAATGTTGTGGGTAATTAACAAATTTTAATAAGGTGCCTGCACCATTTTACATTTTCATCTGCAATATGAGGAATTACATTTATTCATATTCTCACTTGTTATTTTCTGCCTTTTAAAATTATGGCCACCTAGTGGATATGAAATATCTTATTGTGCTGTTGACTTGTATTTCTGCATTGAGCAACTTTTCATGTGCTTAGTGGTAATTTGTGTATCTTTGGAGAAATGTCTGTTCTAATCCTTTGCTCATTAGAATTGGGTTATATGTGGTTTTGTTGTTATCAGAGTTCTTTATATAATCTGGATAACAGACTCTTATTGGATACATGATTTACAATTATTTTCTTCCATTCTTTGTATTGCCTTTCCACCTTTTTGATGACATTGTTTATAGCACAGAAGTTTTTAATATTGATGAAATCTAATTTATCTATTTTTTTTTGTTAGTTGTGATTTTAGTGTCATAACAAAGAAACCATTACCTGACCTAAGTTGTAGCTCTTACATTTAGGTGTGTGATTCATTTGGAATTTACTTTTGTATATAGTTTAAGGAAGAAGTCCAACTTAGTCCCTTTGCATATGGATATCCAGTTTTCTCAGCACCATTTGTTGAAAAGACTACTTCATCATTGAATTGTCTTGGTACCCTTGTTGAACATCAGTTGATTCTAAATATAAGAGTTTATTTTGGACTCTCAATTTTATTTTATTTATCTCTATATCTATCCTTATGCCTGTACTACACAGTATTGATTATTGTAGCTTTGGAGTAAATTTCAAAATCTGGAAGTATGAGTTCTCCAGCTTTGTTCTTTGCTTTGGCCTTGATTATTCTGAAGGCTTTGAATTTCCATATGAATTTTAGGATCAGCTTGTAAATTTCTAGAAAATGCCAGAATTTTGCTAAGGAAAGCATTTAATCTGTAGATCAATTTGTGGAGTATTGCCATGTTAGAAATATTAATATTCCCAATCCATTAACAATAGATACCTTTCTATTCATTTTATTTTTCATAATATTGAAAATGGAATTATTTTCCTAACTTTAATTTTGGATTGTTCATTGCTAGTGTATTAAAATACAATTAGTTTTCTGTTGATCTTGTATCCTCCAATGTTTCTGAACTTATTGGAAAAGCTTTTCTAATAGTTTCACTATTAGCATTTTTTTGTGGATTCCTCTGGGTTTTTATGTTTATGTCACCTATAAATATAGATAGTTGTACTCTCTTTCCAATTGCATTGATTTTTTTTATTTCTTTTTCTTGCCTAATCACCATGGCGAAAACCGGCACAGAAGTAGCAAGAGCAGTCATCCTTGACTTGTTTCTGACTAGGGGTAATACAATTAGATTTTGACTATTAAATGATGTTAGCTGTATGGTTTTTTTTTTCTTTTTCTTGCCTAGGTTCACAGAGCTAGCTATACAGTATTTGTAGATACCCTTTGTCAAATGTAGATAGATCCCTTTGTTCCTAGTTTGTTGAGGATTTTAAAATTATAAATGAATTTTGTCAAATGGCTTTTTTATGTCTGTTGACACAATCATGAGGTTTTATCTTTGTTCTATAAATACCATGCATATGTAAATATCATGTATTGAATTAATTGGGGAAGTGTTTCCTCCTGTAATATTTTTTGAAAAGTTATGTAAATAACTGATGTTTATTATTTAAACGTTTGCAGAATCATCAGTGAAGTCATCTGTTCATGAATGTTTCTTTATGGGAATTTTGTAGATTAACCATTCAATCTGTTTTTTTTTTTTTGAGACGGAGTTTCACTCTTGTTACCCAAGCTGGAGTGCAATGGCGCGATCTCGGCTCACTGCAACCTCCGCTTCCCGGGTCCAAGCTATTCTCCTGCTTCTGCCTCCCGAGTAGCTGGGATTACAGGCATGCGCCATCACTCCCGGCTAATTTTGTATTTTTTAGCAGAGACAGGGGTTTCCCCATGTTGGTCAGGCTGGTCTCGACCTCCTGACCTCAGGTAATCTGCCCGCCTCAGCCTCCCAAAGTGCTGGGATTACAGGCTCGAGGCACCGTGCTCGGCCTTCAATTCTGTTTTTGTAAGTATTCAGGTTTTTTTTCTTGTGTCAGATTTGGTTGTTTGTGTCTTCCTAAAAACAAACATTTTGTATAAGGTATCTAATTGGCATACTGCTTTTGATGGTATTCCTTTCTAATTCTTTTATTTTCCTATAACATTGGTGATAATGTCTTTTTTATTCTGATTTTATATGTGTTTTCTCTGTTTTTCATCTTTGGTCTAGCTACAGATTTGTTCATTTTTAAAATTATTTCGAGAACCACATTTGCTTTCCTTAATTTTCTGTTTCTCTGTTTTTTAAATTTATTTTTACTCTATTTTTTAAATTATTTTCTTTGTCCTAATCAATTTTTTTTTTTTTTTTTTTGAGACCAAGTCTCACGCTGTCACCCAGGCTGGAGTGCAGTGGCGTGATCTTGGCTCACTGCGACCGCTGCCTCCTGGGTTCAAGCAATTCTCCTGCCTCAGCCTACTGAGTAGCTGGGACTACAGGCACATGCTGCCATGCCTGACTAATGTTTTGTATTTTAGTAGAGACGGGGTTTCGCTGTGTTGCCCAGGCTGGTCTTGAACTCCTGAGCTCAGTCAGTTCACCTGCCTCAGCTTCCCAAAGTGCTAGGATTACAGGTGTCAGCCACTGTGCCTGGCCCCTAATCAATTTTAGTTTGATCTTTTCCTAATATCTCAAATTGGAAAGTTAGCTTATTTATTTGAGATCTTCATTTCTAATGTAGATGGTCACAGTTTTACTTTTCCCTATAAGCACTGTTTTTGCTGCATTCCATAAATTTTATGTTTTGTTACATTTTCACTCATCTCAAAGTATTTTCTAATCATTTTTGGGATTTCATTTTTAATCCATTGGTTGTTTAGGAGTTTGTTGTTTAATTTACACATATTTGTTTGTTTATTTTGAGACAGAGTACCACTCTGTTGCCCAGGCTGGAGTGCAGTGGTACAATCATGGCTCATTGCAGCCTTGACCTCCTGGGCTCAAGTGATCCTCCTGCCTCAGCCTCCTGAGTAGCTGGGACTACAGGCATGTGCCACCACACTTAGAATTTTTTTTTTTTTTTTTTTTTTGGTTGAGATGGGGTCTCGCCATGTTTCCCACACTGATCTTGAACTCCTGGGCTCCAGGAATTCTCCTACTTTGGCCTCCCAAAGTGTTGGGAATATTGGCATGAACCACAGCACCTGACTTGCATATTTGTGAATTCCCCAAATTGCTTTTTTTAAATTGATTTCTAATTTCATTTCATTGTTATGGGGAACATACTTTGTATGGTTTCAATGTTTTAAAATTAATTGAGACTTGTTTTATGACTTAGCATATGGTCTGTGTTGAAGAAGGCTCCATGTACACTTGAGAATAATATGTATACTGTGGTTGTTGGGTGGATTTTCTATGTATGTTTAGGTGATATGGTTTTATAGTGTTGTTTAAGTCTTCTATTTTCTTCTTTTTCTGCCCAGTTTTATTTTTGAAAGCATACTGAGGTCTCCAACTCAGTGCCTTAGCCTCCTGAGCAGTTGGGACTACAGGCATACGCCACTACACCCAGCAATTTTTTTGTATTTTTCTGTAGAGACAGAATTTCACCATGTTGCCTAAGCTGGTCTCAAATTCCTGGACTCAAGTGATCTCGATTCCCGGCCTCTGCCTCCCAAGGTGCTGGGATTGCAGGCATGAGCTACTATGCCTGGCAAATTTTATTTTTCCTTTTATTTTGTCACATAATTAAAGCTACTCCAGAATTCCCTTGATTTCTGCTTGCCTGGTATATCTTTTTTCCATTTTTTAACTGTCAGCCTTTTTTGTGCCTGTTAATCTAAAGTATGTGTTTCGTAGATAATATGTAGCTGGATCATATTTTAAAAATATTTATTCTGCCAAGCTCTGTCTTTTGATTGGAGTATTCTTTCATTTATGTTTGTAATTACTGATGAGGGGGGCACTAATGTCTGCTGTTTTGCTATTTGTTTCCCCATGTCTTATGTCTTCATTACTGACTTTTTTATTAAACAACTATTTTCTTGGGTACCATTTTAAGTCCCTCTCCCACTCATTTTTTAATGTTTTTTTGTGTTTACTTTTGTTTTTATTGTTTGCCCTGATATTAAAATTAACATTTTACCTTGAAATAGTTGGCTTCAGATTAATATCAACTTAGTTTCAATAGCATAGGAAATTTGCTTCACTATATTTCCATTTTCTCCCCGTCCTTTGTGCTATTATTACTATACCAATTAGATCTCTACACAATATAGGCATATCAACACATTTTGTAATTATTTCCTTATCCAGTTGTCTTTTAATATAGATCTGTGAAGAAAAGTATTACACAAATAGATCTATTCTGTTTTTTATAATTATTTAATTACCTTTGGTGGTGCTGTTTATTTTTCATGCATTTGAGTTACTGTCTAGTATTCATTCATTTCTCTCTGAATCACTCCCTTTAGTATTGCTTGTAGGGCAGGTCTGCTAGCATTGAATTCTTTTAATTTTTGTGACTCTTCAAATGCCATAATTTCTCTTTTGTTTGTGAAGGATAGTTTTGCTAGATACAGAATTTGCAGTTGGCATTCTTTTTACTTTAGCAGTTTGAAAATATTTCCCATTGTTGGCCGGGCACAGTGGCTCACACCTGTAATCCTAGCACTTTGGGAGGCCGAGGCAGGCGGATCATCTGAGGTCAGGAGTTCAAGACCAGCCTGGCCAATATGGTGAAACCCTGTTTCTACTAAAATATAAAAATTAGCTGGGCATGATGGCAGGTGCCTCTAATCCCAGCTACTCAGGAGGCTGAGATGGGAGAATCGCTTGAACCCGGGAGATGATGGCTGTGGTGAGCCGAGATAGCGCCGCTGCACTCCAGCCTGGGCGGCTGAGTGAGACTCCATCCCCGAAAAAAAAAAAAGAAAAGAAAAGAAAAAGAAAAAAGAAAAAAAATTATTTCCCATTGTTTTCTGGTCTCTGATTTATGATAAGAAGTCAGCTGATTATCTTATTGAAGATCAGTTAAATGTGATGTTTTTTATTTTGTTTTTTCTCTTGCTGATTTCAAAATTTCTTTCTGACATCTGGCTTTGATGATGTTACTACTATGTGTAAATTTGAATGTCTTTGAGTTTATTTTTAAGACAGGGTTTGGCTCTGTTGCCCAGGCTGGAGTGCAGTGGCACAATCGCAGCTCACTGCGTCCTCCACCTCCCAGGCTCAAGCAATCCTCCCACATCAGCCTTCCGAGTAGCTGGGACTATAGGTGTATGCCACCACGCCCAGCTAATTTTTGTTCTTTTTTTTTTTGGTATAGACAGGGTTTTGCCATGTTGCCCAGGCTGGTCTTGAACTCTTGGGCTCAAGTAATCTGCTCACCTCAGCCTGCCAGTTTATCCTTTCTGGCATTTGTTGGTCTTGCACATATTGATTAATATTTTTGATCAGATTTGGGATTTGGGAGCCATTATTCATTCACATATTTTTTCTGCCCCTTTTCTCTCCTCTCATTATGTTTGTTATATTTACTAAGAGTAATTCTTTTTCATTATTTTATAATAAGAGAACTTATGATAGCATTGGCTGAATTTCCTAAGTAATGTTCTTGTTTTGTTGTTTGCTAAATATGCTTGATTATAACTTATATTTATTCTTTTACTCAATAGTTATTTAGTGTGATGCTTCATGTTGAGGATTTCTGGCTTTCTTTTTCCTCAAAAAAATCATGTTTTTATTTCATTGTAATGAGACAATGTGGGTGCTGTCATTTCCTACATGCTTAGTTTTTAATAACAACCTTATGTTGCAGGACACATCCCTCATTCTTCTTTTTTCCAAAATTTTATCTCATTATCATGTAGTTATTTTATGTGAACTATAGAAACAGCTTGTCGAGTGTTCACAAATATCACTGGAATTTAAATTGGAATGGCCCTGAATTTGTAGATTAATTTTGGGAGAGCTGTCATTTTTACAATCTTCCCATACATTAATGTAATATTTTTCTCCTTTTATTCGGGTCTTCGGTATCTGCGTATGTATATTCTACTTATTACTTTTAATCTCCCCCATTTTCTGGAAAAAAAAGATGTCTTTGGAAGTGCAATTCTGGTGGGAAAAGTGTAGATGTCATCTGCATAGACTAGAGCCAATCAGTAGGGAATGTCATTCAAAATGTGTTTTGTGTTTGATCTTACCATTTCTTTCAAATGTTCCTAGCAGCCTGCATTATTTATAATGTTCTGTATTCCTGGTTTAGGTAAGTCCAGAGGTGAGAGCTGGTATTAGGAAAATGACATAGTAAGGCATTTGTTTTCAGTAATGGCAGCATCCGTTTGACCTCCTTTCCCATTTGGAAGGGCTTTCTCCATCCTGAAAGCTCCTGTAGACTTGGTGCTCTTTTTTTTTTTAGGATTCATACCAGTTGAAGACTTTCAAAGCCTTCAGTGTAACTGGTTATGTTCTTACTAGAAAAGTATTTAGGGCCAGGCGCAGTGGCTCATGCCTGCAATCCCAGCACCTTGGGAGGCCGAGGCAAGTGGATCACTTGAGGTCAGGAGTTCGAGATCAGCCTGGCTAACATGGTGAAACACTGTCTCTACGAAAAGTACAAAAATTAGCCAGTCGGGGTGGTGCGGGCCTGTAGTCCCAGCTACTCAGGAGGCTGAGGCAGGAGAATCGCTTGAACCTGGGAGGTGGAGGTTGCAGTGAGCCGAGATTACACCACTGCACTCCAGCCTGGGAGACAGAGAGAGACTCTGTCAAAAAAAAAAAAAAAGAAAGGAAGGAAGGTAGGTAGGTAGGTGGGTATTTGGGGCCAGCTGGCCTGTAATCCCAGCACTTGGAGGCTGAGGTGGGTGAATCACTTGAGGTCAGGAGTTTGAGACCAGCCTGGCCAACATGGTGAAACCCTGTCACTACTAAAAATACAAAAATTAGCTGGGCGTGGTAGTGCCACTTGTAATCCCAACTACTGGGGAGGCTGGAACCTCGGAGGCGGAGATTGCAGTGGGCTAAGATCGTGCCACTCCAGCCTGAGTGAGACTCCATTTCACAAAAAAAAAAAAAAAAAAAGAAAGGGAAAAAAAGAAAAGAAAAGAAAAAAGTATTTGGAACCAAAGAAGATAAGAATTCTGTTCCATTTGGTAGTTTATTTTAATTCTAAGAGCAACTCTTTGAGAGGAAGCTGGAGGAGAACATCCATGATACGGAGAGGGATCTGAATGTAGATGTTATGAGAAGCATCATAGGAAGTAGAGCTGTTTATATTGTAGGAGAACTCCAAAAAGAAGAATTTGTCTTTGCTTTGTTGTCTTCTGTCTGTTTTCAGATCTCTTATTGGGTCAGGGACAGTTGTCTTTTGCTGCTTTTGAAGGCAGTTCTAATTAATAGAGAAGCAGTTTTAAGGACTCTCCAAAGATGATTCTTGGAAGTGACACCTAGAGGCTTGTATGAACACTGGGAATTGAACTTCAGAATCTCCTTGGGTGGAATGAGTTGGATTACATGCACTCGAAGGTCACTTTTATTCCTGAGATTCTGTGAAGGTCTCGATTGGCAAATGAGTGTGCTACTTTACATGTTCCCATTTAATCATCACACCAACCCTCTGAGGCATGTTAGAGAGGTAGAGTAGGTTTTCTAAGGTAATGTCTAATTAATGGCAGAGCACACTCCCCCACACATATAGCTTAATTCTCCTACATTTGTATAGCCCTTCCTTCTTTCCTTCGTTCCTTCGTTCCTTCCTTCCTTCCTTCCTTCCTTCCTTCCTTCCTTCCTTCCTTCCTTCCTTCCTTCCTTCCTTCCTTCCTTCCTTTCTGCATCTGGCTGTGTTGGCCAGGTTGGTCTTGAACTCCTGGGCTCAAGCAGTCATTCCACCTAAGCCTCCTAAAGTCCTGGGATTGTAGGGGTGAGCCACCGAGCCCAACCTTTTTATTTTTATTTTTAGTTAATTGATTTAGTTTTGTACTTTATTGTTTCTAGAAGCTTTTTACAAACATGGTTTTATTTGACCCTTATAACAGTTTGGTTAGGAATAAGAACAGATTCACCAATGTGTCTAATTTATAGGTGGA
Organism: Homo sapiens; assembly: GCF_000001405.40. Taxonomy (NCBI): domain Eukaryota; kingdom Metazoa; phylum Chordata; class Mammalia; order Primates; family Hominidae; genus Homo; species Homo sapiens. The sequence goes on along the minus strand of NC_000023.11, from coordinate 74,222,310 downwards.
AAACAGGCTCAGAAGCTCTTTAGAATATCATGAGAAGAAGGGATGTGGGGAATTATTCAATACAACTTCTGTATTTTGCACTTCAAGAAACTGAGTACCAGAGTTAAAAATCTGGACATTTGGTGGATGTTCTTAGATTTGTGTTAATGCAAGAGGGTTGGATTAGATGATCTCACAGGGTATGGGAATGGATGGTGTGTTCCCTGTATCTACTGTGTAGTGTAAAGTTAATTGATACTAGCTCAACATATTAGATTAAGTGGCATTTTAGCAAACATGAATGAAAGGCACCAAAGGTTTAAGGGGGAATTTAAAACATTAGGTAGCAGCTTGTAGAGGATATATTTAGGGTCATGATGTCCTTCTTGTTGGCCTTAAAAACACTTCCTGCGCCAGGTTCAAGGGTCAATTGGGAACAGGATCAACAGAGGATGAGGGTTTTTTTTTGTTTGTTTTTGTATCATTTTAAGACAAGGTCTCACTCTGTTGCTCAGGCTGGAGTGCGGTGGTACAATCCCAGCTCACTGCAGCCTCCGCCTCCCTGAGCTCAGATGATCCTTCCACCTCTGCCTCCTGGGTAGCTGGGACTGCAGGCACATGTCACCATGCCTGGCTAATTTTTGTATTTTTCGTAGAGATGGGGTTTTGCCATGTTGTCCAGGCTGGTCTTAAACTCCTGGGCTCAAGTGATCTGCCCACCTCAGCCACCGAAAGTGCTGGGATTATAGGTGTCAACCGCCACACCCAACCAAATGAGTTATAAGTTTGTGATCTGTTTTTAGCCTTTGTCCACAACTGTGGGAGTCACCATTCACTCTGTGACATAGGCTCTCAGAATGATGGCTCTCTTGACTGTGGCACTGATCATAGATTTAGAAGCTCCAGTATGGGAGGACCTTAAAAGTCTCCTATCCCAAATAGATTATTTTAAACTAACCCCAGTTCAAGTCCCTGGATAACATACCCAACAAATGGTCTTTTAACTTCTGAGTAAGTTTACTTGGTAACTGGGGACTCCTCCTTGAGTTAGCTTGTCCCTTCTTTTGAGACCTCTTTACAACATTGAGCCCCAAAATGTTTTTCTATAGCTTCAATTCATTCAGCATATTTGTATTGTACCACTACTCAAGAACATTGCTTTATTCTCACTCCTGCATATTCAGCATCTCTCCTCTCTGCTGTCATTTGAGCTGCCAGGCACTGTGCTGGGTAGTGGGGATATGGAGATGAATTAGACACCATCCCCGTCCTCAAGGAGTTCTCAGTCTAGTGAGAGAGATCAACATCTATGTACACATATAATTACAACAATATGGTATGCTCTACAATGGAGGTATGTATAAGATACTCTGGAGTTCAAAGAGAAATCATTTTACAGAGTCTGGAGATGACAGAGCTCAGAGTACCTGGTATATGAGTTGAGTCTTTAAAGAAGTAAAGTCACCTTTTGACTAGGTGAAAAACAGGGAAAGGCTTTCCAAGCAAAAGCATGGACATTGGAAGTAGTATGATGAGTTTGGGGAACTACAAATAGTTCTCTAAATTAGGTTGGAAATGTAGGCCAGGAATAGAACTTTATATGGTATGCCATGGGATTTGGATTTCATTATAAGTGTTTTCAGAAAGGGATGCTTTTAGATGATCACTGGCAGTAGTGTGGGGTGTGTTCAGGAATGTTTTCAAATCTGGACAGGGAGATGAGTTAGAAGGATACTGTGGTGGCTAAGATGAGAAATGATGTAGGGCTGAAAGGAGTGGGAGTGGCGAAGAGGGGATAACCTCTTAGGAAGTTATAAAAATTTAGTCATGCATTGCTTAGCAATGGGGATATGTTCTGAGAAGTGTATTGTTAGGCGATTTTGTCATGTGAACTTCATAGAGTATATTAACACAAACCTCTCTAAATGGTATAGCCTATTACACACCTAGGCTACAAACCTGTACAGCATATGACTGTACTGAATACTGTAGGCAATTATAACAGAATGGTAAGTATTTGTGTACCTAAACATATATAAACATAGAAAAGCTACAGTAAAAATATGATATGATTTTGTGGTGGGACAACTGTGGGACAACTGTCATATATGAGGTTCATCATTGTCCTAAACATTGTTAGGCAGCACATGACTGTATAGACATAATAGAACTTATAGGAAAAGTTATAGAAAAACTTATAGAAAAAGACCTTGATGAAAAATACTGTCATATTCTTTGGATGAATGTTGCAATTAACTCCTTTTAGATCATAACTTGACTGTACAGATTGTGCAAGATTGTTTTCTGGGAACAGCTGTATATGAAATGTTGATTCTCAGGGAGACACCTAGACACCTGAATTGCAGCAGACATTTTATGGTGTTGCTAAGTTGCTGGTCCTTCTCATCAGTAGCAGGCCTACTCTCACTGTCACATATCTCCCACGGTTTTTTTTTTTTTTTTTTTTTTTTTTTTTGTAATTAACCAAAAGTGAAGGCTTTTATATCAAAGACTCAATTGAGGAAGCAGTGGCCTTAGTCATTATTGGCATAATTGCTTTAGTTTGCTTATGGATCTTAAAACGTTTATGACTATATCTGCAAGTAAAAAAAAAATTCAATAATTAAAAACCTAAACATATCGAGTGTTTATTTTCTCTTTTTGCAAAGGTATATTCTAAACTCAATGTTCTTCGGGAAATTTTCCAATTAAGGCTCTGAGTATTGATATTTGGGATTTAGAGAATGGCTTTCTATGACCAGAATGGTTAGTGATGAGATTTTATGTAAGTAGGACTGGGTTTTTCAGGGGGCCTTGTGTAACTTGCCATCAAGAGTTGGGAAAGGAGGCCCTGAGCAGTGCAGCAGAGCTATGTAAAGTGAGAGTTTGGGTCTTGGGACCAGGTAGCCTGGGCTCAAATCTGCTCTCACACTTAGCAATGTGGTCTTGAGCATGATTCTTCACTTCCCCAGGACTCTGTTTTCTCTTATGTAAAATAGGAATAATATTTATTTTCAATGATGGGGGTAAAAAGTACTTAAAGGGACTAATTATGTAAATTGCTTAGAACAGGCCTGGAATATACAGCTAAATGCTGTGTCAACTGTTGTTGCTGATAATGGTGTTGACTATGACAAGTATTAAAAGAAGAGATTTGACTAGAGGTACTTATATTTTGAATGATCAGTGACGATGTTAGGGTTGAGAAAGAAAAACAGTAACTGACTTGAAGGTTTTCAATGGTATGTAAGTGTGAGGTCATTTCACCTTTTATTTCTCTGCCAGGTAGAGTGGGAAACCAAATTAATCACTCCATGATCTAGTGACTAATCTATTGCCTTTGCTTTTAGTTCCAAATAGAAAGCTGTTGAAAAGTTGTTGTATTACACCTGCATAAAGGTTATCCTGAAAACAGAAAAATGCATTAGACTTTGTCAAAACTGGATTTGAAACCTAATTCAACTGCTTGCTGGCTGTGTGACTTAAACTTGTTGAACTTCAGTTTCTTCCTCTAATATAACTATTAATTTTCAGAGTTTCCATGAAGATATTTGTAAAGTGTTTGTCATAGGCACTCTATACATTAATTACAGCTATTATTGTTAGATCTTGGGACACCCAGCACGTGACAAAAACAACAGCAGACCCTGGTGCCTGGGAGGACTTCATGGATCCAGCAGCAACCTGGAGTGGTGCTCCTCTGAAGAAATCCTACTCGGATGGATATAATACAACCTGCTAAGTGTCCTAGCACTTAGCAGGTTGTATTATCATTGTCCGTGTCTATGGCTCTCGTCTACCAGACTTTAAATTCCTTAAGGGCAAGGACAGTGCCTTACTCATCTTTGTATTCACAGTGCCTAATCCGGTGCACATTGTAGGCCTCATTAAATGTTTGTTGAATGAAAAAATGAATCATCAACAGACATTAATTGGGCGCCTGCTCTGTGATCTCCATGGGCTCAGCTTGTCCCCGCCAGTTGCCAACAACGTCCAAGCTCTCTTCAGAATGCTTACTCCTGAAGCTTATTCCTGTCTTCTAATTCTTTTGTTGAGGACTTTTCTGTGTAGTGCAATGATAGCAAATACACTTCATCTCAAGTACCATCTCCAATTGATTGATAATGCCTGCCCTGATTATGTTTTATAACAAGATTCTGAAACCAGGTCTTATCTCAGTGTGAAAGACATTTATAACTATTTAGTGATGTCTGCTGAGGGTCGGAGAAGGGGGAGTAGCAGCACAAGTGCCTCATATGTCATATTTGCTACTCTGTTTTCTATGAAATACTTCATTTCTATGCCTGCATTTTGGTCTTAGCTACTTGCTGATGTTGCATGGCTGTTGCTGCTACTGTAATTGCTGCTAATTGCTCCCTGGGTTGGACCAGAGTGCTCATTGTCTGAACAGAAACCTCATCCTCACAGTCTGAGGTTTGCTCCTGTGGCTGATATTTAAAGTTTTCCCCTTTCAACTTTACTCCAGCTATCCCCTTACCTGCACTGACAGGTAATCCTCCACCGTCCTGTTCACCTCTCACCAGGTTCATATTTTCTTTATCTTATTTATTGTACTTAATCATTATTTTGTGAGAAGCTTTTCTGATTGTAGATGTGACAACCAGAATACAAGTTAAAACCACTTATCCAGCGCCTTACAGTGAATCATTTAACATGAGAAAAAAATTGAGTGTGTTTGCAGACCATGGGGCAGAAGGAATTGAGAAGGGAGTCATTGTAGATGTGAGAAAGAGAGAGATGATAATAGATGGAAGATGATCTTGAAAGATGATGCAGGTGAAGCTGGAAGGGTGAAATTTATGGCTCTAGAACACATGCAGGTGGAGGGTTAGCCTTAGGTAAGTGGAACTACCTCTTTGCTGGAGCACAGAGATAGGGATAGGAGTAAGGAAGAGGACTTGGCAAGGGTGGTGAAGATTTGTAATTGTAGAGGTGGATGATGGGGAGGAAGCTGACCAGGAACAGGAATATGAAGACAAAAGCTGCTGGAACAGAAATACTAGAGGGCTAAATATGAACCAGAGTCCCTAAGGAATATTCAGGCCAAAACGCTGGAGTGAGACCATTAACAGGAGAGCTTATGGTATATCAAAGTAAGAAATGAGTTTGAAACTGGGTTAGAAGCTCAGGAAAATATGAAGTGGTTTTGGGGCATTGTCACTAGCAGTATTTGGTTGCCTTGATTGATTGAGGGGTGGACAGCTAGCAAGAGACGAGTTACACAGAAATGGATTTAAGAATCCAAACTAAGGCCGGGCGCGGTGGCCCACACCTGTAATCACAGCACTTTGGAAGGCCAAGGTGGGCAGGTCACCTGAGGTCAGGAGTTCGAGACCAGCCTGACCAACATGGTGAAACCCTGTCTCTACTAAAAATGCAAAAATTAGCCAGGTGTGGTGGCACATGCCTGTAATCCCAGCTACTCAGGAGGCTGAGGCAGGAGAATCACTTGAACCCAGGAGGCGGAGGTTGCAGTGAGCCGAGATCCCACCCACTGTACTCCAGCCTGGGTAACAGAGTGAGACTTCATTTAAAAAAAAAAATCCAACCTGGACATGGAAGGAAGTAAGGTCAGGAGTGGCCTCAGTCTGGGCCAAAAAGAGGCTTTAATGTGAACAAGGTGAGTGCTGAGTAATTGGAAAACTGGAGTGATAGGACCTGTAATCAGAGTAGACTTTGGAGTGTTAGATTTCAAAACTGGAGTGGTTAAGATACCTGTGAAGCTAGGATGTCAGATGATCATTTACATGACTATTATAGTAACCCAGGATTATAGTAGAAGCTAGGCTTAGAATGAACACTGGGCCAGGTACAAAAGGCTTCAGTGACTGTGAGGAATGACTTGGAGGTTGGCACATGTTAACTGCAAATACTAGAGAAGAAAGGCTGTAGTGGGATAGTAGATGAGCCTTAGAAGAGTGGGGGGATCCAGGTGATTCCTTCTTTTATTGAGTATTTGCTCTATGCCTGACACCTTGCTATATGCCATCTGTTCCCTCTTTTGGGTCTGTCACACTTCAGGAGTGGGAGAATGCGCAAGAATTCCTGGTGAGAACAGCTAGGGGAGCTGTTGGCCTTTAGCACTGCTGGAATCCTGTGGCCGTCTCCTAACTCTTTCAAAGAGCTGCAGGCTGGTCAGCTTGAAGTGGCATAAAAAGATTTATTTAGGATCTAAATTTTTCCTTGATCTTGACCTAAGTTAGTTACATGTTACAAGCATTTGTTGGCCATGTTCCATAATGTACTTTGGCTTCTGAGCCTCTGAGTTGAAGAGTGAGCTAGTGCTGCTCTTAAAAAACAACAACAAAAACAAAAAACCAGTCATAGTACACACATGTTGATTAACCGGAGCAAGACACAATCCTATTAATTCAGCTTTTTAGGATAAAGGGTAGACAAAAGAAAGCTCACATCAATAGGTGAGTAACAACTACTTTGTAAAAGCCACTCTAGGGTCAGAATACATCCAGTTTAGTGGTCCATATTGTAGAATTTCCCTGTGCTGTTAGGGAAGAGGGCTGGCAATTGAGGCACAGAGATGGCCTTAAGGACAAGGAAGGTAAAGCTTAGGAGAAGAGAGTCTATAAAACCTCTGACATGGCATGCAGACATTTTTCTTTTGAGTACATTTTACTGGGGAGAGGATCCATGTCTTTTATATTCTCCAAATGACTCAATATTCCAAAAGAAGTTTAAGAACTACTGTGTTAAAGTGATCAGGCCCTCAGACAACCCATCCCCTCTTGTAGGGGCTGCTTTGTATTTATTCCTCAGGAGGAGCTGGTAGAAGACTTAATGTGAGGGAGAAGAAAAGGAAAGAAGTAGCGGGGGATGACTACAACCTCTCTTCATCTCAGCTTCACAAAGCATCATTCAACAAATGGATCACTATTAAGATCCTCTCCAGATCACAGGTTGCTATTTTCAAATGCATGCTTAGATTTCTCTTTTCTCTTGTCGCATTTCAGAAGTTACTGTACTCACCGATATGTGTATATGAATAGTTACTTCCCATACAGCTCCCCATGTTTACGGGAAAAAAAATTCTTAAAACATGGTAGAGTACTTGCTCTGTTTGGCCTTCAATAATGTTGTGGATCCCCACTGCTGGAATATAGGCCACCAGAGATGGGTTTGGATTTCAGCAATAAATGACCCAGCTTCATAGAAGGAGAGTAGTCAGCTGATTTGAAAGTAAACCCAATCCTTGTGCTCATATTTGTTTACTTTTTCCTTAAGCCTTATAAGTAAGACATATCACTGATGAGATCAAACAAAAGCCATAACTTTCTCCTTCCACTGGCACTTTTCTTTCCCACGTATATGCCTTTGGGAGCCACCCTCTTCTTTCATTTGCACTTTCGTCCCATCACTTAAGACCCAGAGAGGCATGAATGCTAAGGTTGAGGTTGAATTTGTCATAGTTATGGCTGGAGTTGAAAAATACTCAAATTGATTACTCTGATGCCCACGCCTTACCTGATCTCATATCAGCCATTGGAGATGTAGTCAAGGCCAGCAACTCTGCGAACTCCAGCCCCAGGATTTATGCCTGATGTCTCAACTGATCATGAAATACTGGTAGGAGGGCTTTCCCCATCCCAGGTCCCCCTTCTGATTTGGTCATCAGATATGTCCTTGTTTTAGGACATACAGATATGAACAGAAACAATATCAGGAGTCCTGGTTAGTTTTTGTCTCTCGAGGATGGGCAGGATAGGTTATAAGGGAAGTGGAAATTCTTGTGTGTTTCAAATACATTCCTTCTTTGTGGCGGGGAGATGGAGTCTTGCTCTGTCGCCCAAGCTGGAGTGTAGTGGCGCCATCTTGTCATCTTGGCTCACTGCAACCTCTGCCTCCTGAGTTCAAGCAATTCTACTGCCTCAGTCTCTCAAGTAGCTGGGACTATAAGCACATGGCACCACACCCAGCTAATTTTTGTATTTTTAGTAGAGATGGGGTTTCACCATGTTGGCCAGGCTGGTCTTGAACTCCTGACCTCAAGTGATCTGCCTGCCTTCGGCCTCCCAAAGTGCTGGGATTACAGGCGTTAGCCACTGTGCCTGAGTCAAATACATTCCTAATGAATCCCCAGGAGACCTTTGCTCACATCTTCTGTCACCTTATCCTGGCTCTTGCCTCATTTTTCTTTTCTAGAGTCATCCTAGGGAATTTCTTGCCCTCACTGACCTTCCTCCATTTCTTTCCCCACCTTGATGAGTTTCAGTAGGTCTTTTTTGCTTTCTCTCGTCCTAAGCCATTTGTCTCTAACAAGTCCCCATCTGAAAGTTTTATTGTGAATGAGTGAATGAAACCTTAGAGAGTGTTGCGAGTTACATTCATGTTGCCCTTGGATATAAAAAGAGAGGCAGATGCATTTGCTTTTGGGGTCTTAGTCGTGAATCCTTTGCCTAGGCCAATGTCCAGAAAAGTTTTTCCTGGTTATACTGTAGAAATGTCATGGTTTCGGGTCTTAGATTTAAGTCATTGTTCTATTTTGAGTTGATTTTTGTATAAGGTAAGAGAGATGGATTCAGTTTCATTCTTCTACATGTGGGCTATCTACTTTTCCCAGCACCATTTATTAAGTAGGATGTTGTTTCCCCAGTTTATATTTTTGTGTGCTTAGTTAACGATCAGTTGGTTGTAAATAGTTGGCTGTATTTCTGGGTTCTCTATTCTGTTCCATTGGTCTATGTGTCTACTTTTATACCAGTACCACGGGTACACTAAAATCTCAGACTTCACCACTATACAATTCATCCATGTAACCAAAAACCACTTTTACCCCAAAAGTTACTGAAATAAGTATTTTTAAAGATTTTAAAAAATAGAGAGGAAAGAGGAGGCTATGAAATTCCATAATGGAGTTACAGATGCTTGACATAATTTAGTGGATATTGGATTTAGAAGCTTACATGAATGAGGCAAACCTGAGATCTGTGATATTTGTAAATGAAGATAGGAGTGAACTTACTGCCCTTAGGAGTGGAGGGAGGGAAGGAAGGGAGAAAATGAGAGATGCCATAAAATCTATTACTTCAATGGATTTGAAGTAATCCTTTGAAGCAGGCAGTGAGACTTACTTCATAAATCCATACCTTTTTAATGTGGATTGGAGAGAAGTTGTTGCGCTGTAATACCTCTGTTGCTACTGTGAGAGTCATTGCCAGCCACTATTCTCATGTCAAGCTGCCCTTGAGGAGGTTTCTCTTGACCCAATTTAGAAACAACCCAAAACAAGGTTTGTAACTTAGAGGAATTCTTTGATTCTGTGACAAGGGGTCTGTGACCCTCTTAAAGGGATCAAGTACACAGGAGATAGTACAAGTAGTACTAAATAGCCAGCTTAAAAAATTGGATAGGTGAGATGAGACAGGAACAGTGGACAGAATGGCTCTAGGCATCCCCAAACACCACATCTGGGATAAGGAAATAGTACAATGGAAAGTCTATCCTTGGACCTACTATTTGTCATTCCCCATGGCATGATGGAATATCTAAAATAAAAAGAGTTGCTTTGGAGAAGGATTGCAAAATATTATTTCATAGAAGAGATTTAGAAGAGGGGAAACTCCCAATTACATAAGGTGGGCATTATAGCTTCTCAAAACATTGGTTCCCTATATGGGTCATGAAGATTGATCCCAGTATCAGCCTATGGCTTACTAGGCCAGTTTAACTGAAAGATTTAATGAGCTTGGAAGGATGCTGCCACCTGCACTCTCACTTTGGCGGGTGTTTATCACCAGTGAGTGCGGTCCCTAAAGGAGCAAAAGGACAATAAGCACCCAGTGGACAACAGTGTGGCATTTTGAGTGAAGATAGCAACTGAAAAGGTCATCGGCTTGGCTAGATTGGGCTGGGCTTGTTTTTTAAAAATAAAAAAAAAGTTTTCCTTCATGATAAAAGTAACAGGTGATCATTGTTAAAAAATAAAGTATGAATTAAAAAGTAAATAATATGTATAATTTTATAAGCCAGAAAACTAATTTGTAATATTCAGGTGTATGTCCTTTCATTCTTTTTAAAAATTATGTATATAACACAGTTTTATAACAAAATTGACATCATATTGTATATATCATTTTATTATCTAATTTTTTCATTTGAAAATTCACAAGCATATTTCCATGTTATTGTTCTTTGAAAAATACAATATTAAGTGCTCCATAATATCTTATGGATTTAACAAAGTTTATTTAGATGATGTCATGTTATTGGACATTTTGATTATTACCAAGTTTGCGTATAAAATTTAAATGTAATGAACATCATTGTACATTAACCTTTATGCACATCTGGAATTATTTCTTTAGAATAAGGTTCCAGAATTAAAATTATTTAGTTTGGATGATGAGAGCATTTATTAGAGCATCTGACAGGTGATGCTGAATTTTCCTCAATACAGTTGTGCAAATTGCATTCCCACCAGTAGTGTATAAATGTGAATATCCCTCCATATATTCATCAAAACATGGCCTTTCTAATTTTGTAAATCTCTGCTAATTTAATAGGTAAAAATATACCTTTGTTGCTTTAAAATTTTTATTTCTAATTTACACACAGTAAAATTCACTCTTTTTAGTATATGGTTCTATGGGTTTTGACAAATGCACAGTCATGTATCTTCTACACTAGTACCATACAGAGAAGTTCTGTCACTTTAATAATTTCTCTTGGTGGCTCTTTTTGTATTCAACCCCTTACCCCATACTCAATCTCTGGAAACCATCAATTTATTCTTCATCCCTATGGTTTTGCCTTTTCCAGAAGGTCATATAAGTGGAATCAAGCAATATGTAGCCCTTTTGGTCTGGCTTCTTTCACTTAGTAAAACGCAGTCAAGATTCTCCCATGTTTTGTGGATAATTATTTCATTCCTTTTTATCACTGAGTAGTACTTCATTGTGTGGATGTACCACAGTTTTATTATCCATTCACTAACTGATGAACTTGTAAGATGTTTCTAGTTTTGGTGAATATGAACAAATTTGCTATAAACTTTCAGGTATAAGTTTTGTGTGATAAATGCTCATTTTTATAGGGTAAATGCTTTGGAGTGGGAATGAGTGCCAGACTGTTTTCTAAAGTTTCCCTAGCATTTTGCATTCCAATTACAAATATGTGAGAGTTCCAGTAGCTTTGTATCTTTACCAGTATTTAGTAATTTTGTATTATACATATATATGTATGTAAATATATATATATATTCATTTAAATTTTAATCATTGTTAGAATTTGTAATTCCCCAATGATATATGGTATTATCTTTTATTTGTTTATAATTGACACATAATTATTTATGGGATACATTGTGATGTTTCAGTACATGTGTACATTGTATAATGATCAAATCAGGATATCACCTCAAACCTTATGATGATCTTACAGTTAAAGATGATATATTCTTGCAAAGTGTCTGTTCAGATCTTTTGCTCCCCTTTTTATTGGATTATTCCTTTTCTTACTGTTTTTATATGTTTTTTAATATATTGATACAAATCCTTTGTCAGATACATTATTTGGAAATAGATTTTCCTAGTCTGTGACTTGTCTTTTCATTCTTTGAACACTGACTTTTTTAGAGCAAAAATTTTAATTTTGATACAATTCACTTTATCAATTTTTTTACTTTTGATGTGCAATGTAAGAACACTTGTCTAACCCAATGTCATGAAGATTATATATTATTTTCATCCAGGAATTTTATAGTTTTAAGTTTTACATTTATATCTATGATACTTTTTGAATAAAGGTTTGTATAAAGTTTAGCTATGGGTCAAGGTTCAGTTTTTAAAATATGGCTATCTAATTGTTCTAGTACCATTTGTTGAAAAGATTGTTTCTTTTTTATTGCATTGCTTTTGCACTTCTGTCAAAAAATCAATTGATTATATTTGTTTGGGTCTAATTCTGGGCTGCCTATTCTGTTCCATTGTTATCCATTCACAAATACCACACTTTCCTAATCATAGGAAGTCTTAAAATTAGATAGTGTGTACAACTTCGTCCGTCTCAAAAATCGTGTTGATTACTACTTTGCTTTTCCAGAAATTTTAGAATTGTTGCTTTCTATAAAAAATTCTGCTAGTATATCTGTTGAGTTAGAACTATAGATGAATTTGAAGAAAATTTACATCCTCACAATATTTTGTCTTTAGGCCACAAACATGATATAGCTGTATATTTATTTTGGTCTTGCTTTTTTTTCCACTTTCAGCATACAGATCCTGGACATATTTTATATTTATACCAAATATTTTATATATTTTCTACTGTTGTCAATGGTAGTGGTTTTTAAATTTTCAAACATTCATTACTAGTATATAGAAATAAAATCACTTTTTAAAAATGTAATGGCGTTTATTGTTTTTCAATTTAATAAACCACATTTAGACAACACAATGATTAAAAATGTTGACAATTGGGACGATGTAAATGTAAAGGTAAAGGTAACAATTTTTACCTTGATAATATAAAGGTAAAAATGTAGTAGACAGTATATGGGGACAGAAGAGGAAGTGTGTAGGAAGGGCAGAGTGGGAATATTAATAGCATCATCTTTTATAGAGAGAACACACTGATGTGATTGAACACCAAATAGGGGTATATGCATCTGAAAGTCACTTTTGGTATGTTGACCTTGTATCCTGCAACTTTGCTAAACTCATTTATTATATGAACTTTTATGTATATTTCTTGGCATTTTCTACATACAGTGGTGTCTGTATAGTTTACTATTTACATGTGAATATGGATAGTTTAATTTCTTCCTTTCCAATTTGCTTGCCTTTTATGTCTTCTTGAAATACTGCGTTGGCTAAGACTTGCAGTAAGAAGTTAAAAGGGAATGTTTGGAGCACACGTATTTGCCAAGTCTCTGATCTTAGTGTGGCTGGGGGGAAGCATTTAGTATTTCATTAAGTATGATGTTAGCTATAGGTTTTTTGTAGATATTCTTTATCAGTTTAAGAAAATTTCCTACGATTACTAGATTGTTCAGAATTGTTTTAAGATCATGAGTTGATATTTCAATTTTGTTAAATACTTTTTCTGTATCCATTAAGATAATCATGTGTTTTTCTTAGTCAGTCATTGTAGCCCATTGTATTGCTTGATTTTCTTTATTAAGGTATATTCATTCCCATAGAAAATTCATGGCTTTTTTTGTTGTTGTTTGTTTGTTTTTTGGGGGAGGGGTGGTGGGGGGAAGTAGTACCACTTTATTCAGTGTTGTAGGAAATTTCAGGTTACTTCTTAAAAACAAAACCTAGGCAGCCTGGCCAACATGGTGAAACCCCATCTTCACAAAAAATTATGACAATTTGCCAGGTGTGGTGGTGCATGCCTGTAATCCCAGCTACTTGGGAGGCTGAGGCAGGAGGATCCCTTGAACTCGGTGGCAGAGGTACCAGTGAGCCGAGATCGTACCACTGCACTCTCGTCTGAGCGATAGAGTGAGACTCTGCCTCAAAAACAACAATAACAAAAAGAAAAACCTGTGAGGTTGTAGGTTCTTTCCCCTTTTTCCTTTCCTTTTTTTTTCCCCCTTTTTCCTTTTTCCTTTCCTTTTTCTCTCACTCTGTCACCCAACCTGGATGGGAGTGGAGTATAGTGGTGTGATCATGGCCCACTGCAGCCTTAACTTCCTTGGCTCAAGTGATCCTCCTGCCTCAGCCTCCTGAGTAGTTGGGACAACAGGCATGCACTACCATGCCTGGCTAATTTTTTACTTTTTGTAGAGACAGGGTTTTGCCATGTTGCCCAAGCTGGTCTCAAACTCCTGGGCTCAAGAGATCCACCCACCTAGGCCTCCCAAAGTGCTGCGTCTACAGGCGCAAGCCACTGCACTGAGCCCAGGTTACTTCTTAAAACGTGGCCAGGTGCGGCAGCTCACACCCATAATCCCAGCACTTTGGGAGGCTGAGGCAGAAGGATTGCTTGAGTTTGGGAGTTCAAGACCAGCCTGGCTAACATAGCAAGACTCCAGCTATTGGGATGGCTGAGGTGAGTAGATTGTTTGAGCCTGGGAGGTTGAGGCTGTAGTGAGCCATGATTGCACCACTGCACTCCAGCCTGGGTGCAGAGGGAGACCCTGTCTCCAAAAAGAAAAAATGAAAAAAAAACACATACAAATAAAAACAAACAAAAGAAATAAAAAATTCCCAGAGTAACAAAGCAGGAAATAATAATTCTATAATCCAAAAAACACTGGGTGATCCTTCAGTTGGAGAGAGGAGGAGTCAGTTAAGTAGCTCACACAGTAGATATGGACAAACCAGAGTTGAGGTTGGTTGATGTGGCTTCTAGGAGTTAAGTTCTCCACCTAAGGCAATTAAGGGATAATTAATTGTTCTTGAGGGATAATTAGTCATCTTGAAAAAAGGAAAAAGTTTGATTGGGAGAAGGCACCTAGGGAGGGAGGATGGTGCATCACTTAATATTAAATTGCCTCCCTACACTATGTGGCTGAGTGTCATGGACCTTCCTCCCTCTCTGCGCCTTTGAACTCCCACTGTTAGCAAAGCTGGAAAGCACACACTTGTATCTCATTCTTACAGGCATGTGTACTACCCCTCAGGGTCCATAGCTGTTCAGTATGGCAAAGGGCAGACTTGCTTTCTCTTCCACTTTGCTGCCTTGATGAGGTTAACATACTGGAATGAAAGAGGAGGGCAGGACATCTGCCAAAGTGCAAGGAATAAGAGTTATTGAAACAATTGGGAAAAGGATTGACACTTCAGGAAGCTGACCTCGAAGTTGACCTCGAACTGTTCACTGGTATTTAATCTGATGCTTCCCTCAAGTCCTGAATACTCTTTCTGGAAGCAGAGAGGTGAGGCCAAGAGTTGTTCTGGCTCCTCCAGGCCACCCCTCCCCCCCCCCAGGGCCCATCAGGTAAGTGCCTGCAGAAGCTAGAGGCAAGTCCCAGCTCTCTTGTATAGCTGATGTATGCCCTGAGACATACTCCATTTGTAGGATTCTCCTGTGCTCCAATTCACCAAATTCTGCTGATGGCTCAGAGCAGGGTAAAGCTTCTCCTAGATAATCCCTCCCCCAAAATTGAGTCCTCGGGGACAGTTATTTATTGAATAACCTCCAGGTTATCTACTTTGGGAAATGCAGAAATGCTATAAACTGAATTTTTTTCCAGCAGTGGCAGAAGCCAGACACCTTGAAGTCAATTGTCCTTCATTCTCCAGAGTTCCCAAGTGGCATTTCAGAGCACAGGAATTCACTCTTCCACCCAGATATTCCTCTCACACTGAGTCACGCACCCCAGTTTCTAGCAGCAGATATCTTGAAGCCAACCACCCTAATGAAAAATGCGGGTTTCCACACCAGTTTTCCACACCAGCTCTCCAACCATTAAGAGTACACATGCCCCCATGGCACACTTGGGTTATCACAATAAAAATACGTTTATATAAAGTAAAAAACATAATGTGGAGCAAATATATACATATACATGTACATTGTTAGAGTTCAAGTGAATATACAGTTTTTAAGTGTGTAAATAAATTTCATAGCACTACAAAAATACAAGTCATCTGAGAGACGTTTACAGTGGTCCCCAAAACTATAGGAGAGAATAAAATAAAATAGCTATAGGTAATTAAAAGCTAATTAGATAAATCAAGTCACAGTTTCATCCTTCAGATTAAGGTGCTCCAATATAATCCATACCACAGCAAACAAAATCCTGAAGAATTCTGCTGCCAATCATCTTGCCTCTTAACCTCAATATAACAAGAACATACATAAAAGAGATTACCGATTTAGTAAATGCTATCATCTCATACCCCATTCACACCACTGGCCTGTGATATTCTTCCCCTGGGAGAGATGTCAAGATTTAATGAGATTCTATCATAACCTGTAGAAAAAATGAGCAACATGGAAACATTCCAATTCCAGTCTTAGGTGAGTTCCAATGAAATTACCTGAAGAACTGAACTAGTGCTTTTAGTTAAGGGGAAAAGTGCCCTAGCTTTTAAAAAATATGTCTATAAATCTAGTTTTAAAAACATAGCAATTGGCTGCATGTGGTGGCTCATGCCTATAATCTCAGCATTTTGAGAGGCCGAGGTGAGAGGACTGCTTAAACCCAGGAGTTCAAGACCAGCCTGAACAAAATAGGGAGACCCCCATCTCTACAAAAATAATTTTAAAAAGCTGGGCATGGTGGCATATACCTGTGGTTCCAGGTACCTGGAGGGCTGACGTAGGAGGATTGCCTGAGCCCAGCAGGCCAAAGCTACAGTGAGCTGTGATTGTGCCACTGCACTCCAGCCTGGGCGAGGAGAGCAAGACTCTGTCTCAAAAATAAATACATAAAATACAGCGTCCAAAAGTGTGTCATCTTCTTTCTCTTCACAATTTTATAATAAGGGGGTAAAATGCCTGTGAGTCTATTCATTATGGAAAATAAAAAAGAAACAACCATTTAAGGCTGAGGCATTTTGGTTTTCTGCTGGCTTTTAGATTATTAACTGCATTAAGCCCCTCACTACAACTTCACCAGTATCCTAGAAACAATTTGGGTTTCCTTTTAGGCAGGGACAGGAAGTATTCAAAGGACAGACATATGGACAGAGTTAGGCCCTTCAGGGTTGAAGTCTGTGGTTTCTTGTGTCTCAAGACTCAATGTCTTGAGAAGTTGGTGGACCCTGTCCTCCATCCAAGAAGTGCTGCCAAGGAAACCAGGGGACCTAGCAAAGAGTCAGGAGAAAATGGCCAAAGGAATTCTGACATTCCATACCTGAATGAACTGTTTTCGTGAGTGCTTTGATCACCCTATCCCCTATCAAGGCGCTGAACAGGTGGCCCGCAGGAAATCTGCTGTCGCAAGAGGAGGGCTTTGACTTACTTCCCCTAATTGTTGAGTAAAAAGTGATTCTCTTAATTTCTGTATTCTGTTTTTCATATCACCAGTAGAAGGGTCCTGTGGATCTAAATAGAGCACATTTTAAGGCTACAGAGTAGTAGAAATTGATGTTTAGACAAGGCAGCTTGTTCAAAATCTGAAAGGCACACCCAGAAGCTTTCTCTAAACATTTTGGCTCCCATTAAAAAAAAAAAAAAAACAAAAAACAAAAACAAAAACAAAAAACAAGACCCAAGTCTGAGAAGTTGAGTACATTTACATGGTATCAAAAATTTAGCATCTGCAGCCAAAAGCCACACCTGTGCTACTCAAAAGCTGAGAAAGTACATGTATGTAACACAGCAACTATTGCATGGTCCTTTTCTTATTTAAAGCTTTCTCAGGTAAGTTTTAATAGCTGGAGGATACATATTGAAAAAAATCTCAATATGAAAGAAAGAAAACTTCAGTGTTGAAATACATTAATACCTCCTGTGACATCTGAATCTCTGGCTCAGGATCAGAACTTAGGATCACGTCTCTGGTGGCCATAAAATATTTACAATCTAGTTAAAGGCACAGTGGCATTTAAAAATAAAGTCTTGGGGACCCATGGTAAAAGATTCACTGTAATTATTAACCTGGCTTCAATTGGTAGAATTGACTCTTGCCAGATAACATGCGAGGGAGATGGTGATTCGGAACCTGCTAGCTGGTTATGAGGCATAGCGAGTCCTTTACCTCAAGAACAGGTGGAAACAAACTCACGGAAACATGCCCGTGTTTAATTCTGGTGATTTACATCTTTCCCGCATTTTTTGCTAACCTGAGCCAGAATGTGGAGCGTGGGGGTTTCTTCCATGACTGATTGGCAGGTTGTCAGTATAGTCTTCCAGCTCAGGATCCTGGAAATCCCTCTTATTATTATTATTATTGTTTTCTTCTGTTTGAGGAGCAGCTGGATAAGCTCATTCTGGGTTAGCTGTGCATAGGCAAAAGCAGAATCTGAGGGGTTTTCTTGATCGTGGTCTTGTTGATCAAGTTCTCACTGATGATGGTGGCAGTTCCCAAGCTAGAGATAGCAATCTTGGTGGCCATTGTGTTCATTGGCTTCACAGGATGAAGTCAAGGTTTGACAGCTCTGGTTTTTGGAGCCATCACAGAGAGAATTGGTGATTCTGTTCAGACTTGGATTCTGGGTCAGTTTTTGGTTCTGTGATCTGCACATCTTCAAAGGGGTTCAGGGAGTTACCCCTTCTGGAGACAATAGCTGCAATATCTTTCTCCAATCTTCTCGTAAGGTCTTTAACAGGCCCTGAAGCATGCTACCCGGCTTGACCTCCATAAGCATGCCTTCCTTCTTCTCCAGGATGGTAAGAGGGTTTTCACCTTCACTGTTCTTAGCCATGTCCTTCTTCCCCGTCACCCGAGAAAGCAAAGAAGACTCTCGTTATTCTGCTTCTTGCTCTCTTTGGTTTCTTTTGCAGCTTCCAAGTTTGCTGGAGCCATGTTTTCTCTAATGTCCCCACAGAACAGTGGTTGGTAGGATGGCGGAGACATGGACTTCAGAGAGTTCTTGGTAGAAGACTCAAAGAGCCACCTGTCATGAGACATCCCACTTCCTTCCCCAGGTTACTTCCAAGACTGAGCAGCCAGGTTTTTGGTAGATGAGAACAAATGTTTCTTCCTGAAGCCCTGGGGCTTCAGGTAGGAAGAAGGACTGCTATACTTGTTCTCACCCTTGGCTTCTGGCTGCTCCAGTTAAACATGGTTCCCATTGATACAGACATTAGAGTGGGAAAGGACTTCGTTCATAGACCGAAGACCCTCAAAGGAAAGTCCTTCCATTTTGGGAAGGGTGACATTGATTTCGTTTAGCTGCTTAAGATATGTACTTGCTGTTGTCTTGTGAGACATGACATCTGAAGCTGAAGAGGAGTCCCTCTCATTGTTGTCATTGTCCCACCGGGACTGAAAGTCTCCCAGTTGAGGCAGCATTTTAGCTTTGATGTCTACAGGGCAATCATGGATCAGGAAATTTCTGCAAATTAGACTTGGAAAACAAGGTCTTGATCCTTCTTGTCTTTGGACGAAGACTAATCATCACTTTTGACTGAAGGTGTAGTGCTGGAGACTATGTTGGAGGCAGCACCTGATGCACTATCCATATTCTTCCCCTTGATCTTGTCTTAAAGTTTTCCAAATGGATTCCGAGGCTTGTCTTTGATGAAAAGGTCAAACATACTGGCAGTCATGTTGTTTCTCATAAGCTGGATGTCAACCTCAATTTCTCCTCTTTATCCTTCTCTCCTGGTTTGGATTTCAAGGTATACCACCGCATCTTCCTGCTCCCCTAGTCTGGGTGCAGGTCCTGCAGGTACACCTCGGCGAAGCCCAAGTACAGTAGCAGCAGCACCTCAAAGGTGGCCTCCTCCTCTGACACTGAGGTGGCATACTTCTCCTTACCCACCTGAATCACCGAGTACATGTTGCTTGTACCGTCAGGCTCTTGGTTCTTGGCCCCTGGCCCTATGCCTGCAACACTGTCACCTGCACGTGGATTGGGAACCACATAGCCCCCGGACCTGCTAAGGCCATTAAGGACAGGATGGTGATGCCTCGGCTGACTGACGTGAGAAGATTGTCATGACCCATGGCCTCTACTGCTGTCCTACCAACAGAAACTTCATAATGTTGTGCAGGCGTTACCACTACCTAGTTCCAGAACATTGCCATCACCCCCAAAATAAATCTTGCATTCATTAAGCAGTCACCCCTATTTTCCCCCATCCCTGTCAACCACTGATTTATGTTCTGTCTCTATGGATTCCCCTGTTCCGGATAATTCACGTAAATGGAATAACACAATAGATGCCTTTTATCATGGGTTTCTTTCACTTAGGATGTTTTGTAGGGTAATCCATATAGCATGTATCAGGACTTCATTTTTTTTTTTTTTTTTTTTGAGATGGAGTTTCATTCTTCTTGCCCAGGCTGGAGTGCAGTGGTGCAGTCTCAGCTCACTTCAACCTCTGCCTTCTAGGTTCAAGCGATTCTCCTGTCTTGGCTTCCCAAGTAGCCAGGATTACAGGCGCCTGGCACCATGCCCAGCTACTTTTTTTGTATTTTTAGTAGAGACAGGGTTTCACCATGTTGGCCAGGCTGGTCTCAAACTCCTGACCTCAGGTGATCCGCCTGCCTCAGCCTCCCAACGTGCTGGGATTACAGGCGTGAGCCACCATGGTCAGCCTTCATTCATTTTCATGGAGAAAAATATTTCATTGTATGAGTATACCACATTTTGTTTATCCATTTATCCATTGATTGGTTGTTTCTACTTTTTTTTAGCTATTATGAATAATATTGCTGTGAACATTTGTGTACAAGGTTTTAGTGGACACAAGTTTTTATTTTTCTTGGGTATATATCTAGGAGTGGAATTGCTGGGTCATATTGTAATTCTGTTCAACTTTTTGAAGAACTTCCCAACTGTTCTCCATGGTGGCTGTGCCATTGTATATTCCTACCAGCAGTGTATGAAGTTACAAATTTCTCCACATCCTGAGAACCCCTTTATTATTTTCTGTTTTTCTTTTTGATTATAGCCATCCTAGTAGGTGTAAAGTGGTATCTCATTGTGATTTTATTTTGCATTTCCCTAAATGATTAATGATATTGAGCATCTTTTCATGTGCTTCTTGGCCACTAGTATATCTTCTTTGAAGAAATGTCTATTCAAGTCTTTGGCAGTTTCTAAATGAGTTATTGTCTTTTTGTTGTTAGGTTGTAAGAGTTATAATCTGGATAACAGATCCTTATTAGATATGTAATTTGCACATATTTTCTCCCATTTTGTGGGTTGTCTTTTGTCTTTTTTATTTTTTATTGCTTGTGTTTTGGTATCATTATTGATAATTCATTGTTAAATTAAAGGTCATGAAGAGTTACTCTTACTTTTTCTTCTATAATTTTTAGTTTTAGCTCTTGTATTCATGTCTGTAATCAATTGAAGTTAATTTTTAATATAGTATGTGTTAGGAGTCCAGCTTCATTGTTTTGCATGTATCTATGCAATTGACCCAAAGTGATTTGTTGAAAAATATTATTTTCTGATGGTATGGTCCTGACACCCTTGTAGAAATTCAATTGAAGATATATGTATGAGTTTACTTCTGCAGTCTCAATTCTATTCTATTGGTCTAAATGTTTATCTTTATGCCAGTACCAGCCTGTTTTGGTTATTTTAGTTTTGTAATAAAATAGACAAACATTTGGCCGATTAATCAAGACAAAAAGAAAAGTATATAGAAATAATATTATGAAAGAAAAGGGGGAGCATATTGAAAAACACCATAAAGATTAAAAAGATTAAGGGACAGTGTTAACAATTTATGCCAATAGGGTTTGAAAGTTTAGAGAAAATAGACAAATTCCTAGCAAAATATAAATTATCAAAACCTACTCAAGAAAAAATAGAAATCTTATATAGTCACAAGGTATTAAATATTCAATTCTTCCTAGAGACCCAAATATATGCTTTCTACCCGTAACTCACTGTAAATAAAAAGAAAGGGATAATATATTGTGCAAACTCTAGTCAAAAAAAAGTTGGAATGACAATATTAATATAAACAAAAGTGGACTTCAAAAGAAGCAATATTATCAGAGAGAAAGAGGGCACTGCTTGGTGAATTGCCCCCTGATAAAGACATAACAATACCGGAAGTAAAAATTGACATAACTGCAAGGGGAAATTGACAAATCCACAATTATATTTGGGATTTAAATGCTTTACTCTTAATAATTAATAAAAGTTAGCTAAAAAATTAATTTTAGCTAAATAAATTAGCTAAAAAGTTAACAAGGATAGATCTGAACAACACTAGGATAAACTTGTCCTAATGGACATTTATAGACCACTATAACCAAAAGTGGTAGAATTCACAATTTTTGCAAGTACACATGGAATATTCACCAAAATAAACCATATCCTGATTTATAAAATAAACTAACAAACTGGCTTCTCTCACTTAGCAATATGAATTTAAATTTCCCCCATATCTCTTCATGGCTTTATACCTCATTTCCTTTTATTGCTGAATAATGTTTCATTTTATGGATGGGCCATAAAATGTTTATCTATGCACCTATAGAGGGACATCTTGGTTGCTTCCAAGTTTTGGCCAATATTAATAAAGCTGTTATAAACATTCATTTGCAGGTTTTTGTGTTATCATGAATTTCCACTCATTTGGTTAAATACCTAGGAATATAATTGCTAGATAGTATAGCAATTCTGTTTAGTTTTGTAGGAAACTGCAAACTGTCTTCCAAAGTGGCTGTATCATTTTGCATTTCCACTAACAGTGACTGGGAGTTCCTTATGCTAAACATCCTCTACAGTATTTGGTGTGGTCAGTGTTATAGATTTTGGCTATTCTTTCAGGTGCATAGTGGCATCTTATTGTTGTTTTAATTTGCAATTCCCTGATGATGTATGAGGGGACTTCAAAAATTTATGGAAAAATTGAACTAAAAGGTAAAAGTAAAAAATATAAACTTCTTAACATAAGCTCCATCGAGTTCAAGATACTTTGTAAGCAATGATACCAGCCATTTGGTTCATCCCTAAGGAACTGAGGGTTCTGAGAATTTAATCAGGTCAATGAAGTCTTTTTTACGTTATGAACTGAAGAAAAATGTGTGCAATTTAAAGGTTTGTTAAGACTTTGAAACAAAAAGAAGTCAGAAGGAGCCAAATCAGGACTGTAAGGTGGATGAATGCCTAATGATTTCCCATCAAAGCTCTCACAAAATTGCCCTTGTTTGATGAGAGGAATAAGCAGAAGCATTGTGATGGGGAAGGACTCTCTAATGAAGCTTTCCCAGGTGTTTTTCTGCTAAAGCTTTGGCTTTCTCAAAACACTTTCATAATAAGCAGATGTTGTTGTTCTTTGGCCCTCCAGAAAACCAACTAGAAAAATTCCTTTAACATTCCAAAAGACTATTGCCATGAGCTTTGTTCTTGACCAGTCCAGTTTTGCTTTGACTAGACCGCTTCCACTTCTTGGTAGCCATTGCTTTGATTGTGCTTTATCTTTAGGATCATACTGGTAAAGCCATGTTTTGTCTCCTGTTAAAATTCTTCAAGAAATTGCTACAGGATCTTGATCCTACTTGTTAAAATTTCCATTGAAAGCTCAGCTCTTGTCTGCAGCTGATCTGGGCACAACAGTTTTGGTACCCATTGAGTGGAAAGTTTGCTCAACTTTAATTTTTCAGTCAGAATAGTGTAAGCTAAGCCAATTTAGATATCTATGGTGTTGACTATTGTTTGTGCTGTTAATTCTTGTTCTTCTTCAATTAAGGCATGGACATAATTTTTTTCAATTTTTTTTTCAAACGATGTGGAAGGCTTGCTGCTATGTGCTTCATCTTCAGCATCATCTCATCCCTTCTTAAAATGAGTTATCTGTTTGCAAACTGCTGATTTCTTTTGGAGAATCATCCCCATAAACTTCTCATAAAGCATCAATGATTTTACCATTCTTCCACCCAAGCTTCACACTAAATTTGATGTTTGGTTTTGCTTCAATTTTAGTAGAATTTATGTTGCTCTGACAGGTGCTCTTTTCAAACTTACGTCTTACCTTTTTAGTGCCTCAAACTACATCCTGTTCAGGCATGTTATAACAAGTTAGTATGAGCTTATTTTGGTATAAAAAATTTGGACTCCATAATTTTTTCATAATATGCATTTTTCATTACCTTTTGGAAGACAACTCATATCACCTTGAGCTTCTTTTCATATGCCTATTTTCCATATGTATATCTTCTTTGGTGAGGTGTCCTTTTCAGATGTTTGTACATTTAAAAATCAGTTATTACCCACTCCCACCACTTCTATTCAACATAGTACTGGAAGTACTATCAAGAGAGAGCAATTAGACAAGAAAAAGAAATTAAAGATATCTAAATTGGAAAGGAAGAAGTAAAATGATCTCTCTTTGCACATCATATGATCCTATGTGTAGAAAACTCCAAAGACTCCACCAAAAAAACCTATTAGATCTAATAAATGAATTCAGTAAAGTTGCAGGATATAAAATTAATATACAAAAATCCATGGCCATTTTATTCACAAATAACAACCTAGCTGAGAAATCAAGAAAACAATCCCATTTATGATAACATAAAACACTTAAGAATACATTTGACCAAGAAGATGAAAGTGCATCAGTATAGCCTGCACACTGAAAACCACAAAACATTGATGAAATACATTGAAGAGGACACAAATAAATAAAACGATATTCCATGCTCATAGATTGGAAGAATTAATGTTGTTAAAGTGTCCATACTACCCAAAGCAATATATAGATTCAATGCAATCCCTATCAAAATCTCATCAGCATTCTTCACAGAAATAGAAAAAAATCATACAATTTCTGTGGATCCACAAAAGATCCCAAATAACCAAAGCAATTCTGAGAAAAAAAAATCCTGGAGGCATCATACTTCCCAATTTAAATTTATATTACAAAACGAGAGTAATCAAAACAATACAGTATTGGCATAAGAGATACACAGGACAGTGAAATAGCCAGAAATAAATCCAAACATGTATGGTTAATGAATTTTTGACAAGAGCACCAAAAAGACAAAATGAGAAAAGGGTAGTCTCTTCAATAAATAGGTGCTGGAATTTCCACATGCAAAAGAATGAAATTAGACTCTTACATTACACCATACACAAAAATCAATCCAAAATGGATAAAAGATCTGAATGTAAGACCTGAAGCCATAAATCTAGAAGAAAACATAAGGGAAAAGCTCCTTGACACTGGCTTTGGCAATGTTTCCTTGGATATCACACCAAAACCTCAGGCTACAAAAGCAACAATAAATAAATGAAATTATATCAATCTAAAAAACTTCTACACAGAACGAAAACAATCAACAAAATGAAAAGGCAATGTACAGATAAGGAGAAAATATTTGCAAACCATATATCAGGCAAGGTTTTAATATTCAGGATTTAGGAAGAACTCATACAACTCAATAGCAAGACAACATATAACCTGATTAAAAAAAAGTGGGGAAAGGACTTGAATAGACATTTCTTCAAAGATGACAGAAAATGACCAACAGGTATATGAAATGGTGCTCAATATCACCAGTCATCAGGAAAATGCAAATCAAAACTACTTTGAGATACCACCTCATACATGTTAGGATAGCTATTATCAAAAAGACAAGAGCTAACAAGTGTTGGTGAGGGTGTGGAGAAGAGGGAGCACTTGTACACTGTTAGTGGGAATGTATTATATATTGGTGCAGCCATTATGGAAGACAGTATGGAGGTTCCTAAGTAAATTAAAAATAGAACTACCATATGACCCAGCAATCCCTCTTCTGGGTATATCCCCAAAGGGAATGAGATTATCTCTGCACTCCCAAGTTTATTGCAGCACAATTCACAATAGTCAAGATACAGACACAACCTAGGTGTTCATCAATGGGCAAATGGATAAAGAAACTGTGATATAGAGAGATCAATAGATAGATAATTAGAATATTATTTAGCCTTTAAAAAGAAGGCAGTCCTGTCATTTGCCAAAACATGGATAGACCTAGAAGACATTATGCTAAATGAAATAAGCCAGACACAGAAAGAAAAATATTGCGTGATCTCACTTATATGTGGAATCAAGAAAAAAAAGGTTAAATATATAGAGATAGAGAATAAAACAGTAATTACTAAGGTCAGGATAAGGTGGAGGAAATGAGATGTAGGTCAAAGGATGCAAAGTAGTAAATATGCAGGATGAACAAGTGAAAAGATCAAAGATCAAATGTACAACATGAGGACTATAGTTAATACATATTGTATATTGTGTTCAGGACTTTTTGCTAAATGAGTAGATTATACCTGCTCTTGCCAATGGGGGAATAATCAGTAACTATGTGAGATGATGGGTATGTTCATTGTTCCACTATAGTTTTACTATATATATATATATGTTTCATTTAACATTGTGTTGTATACCTTAATATAGACAATAAAATTTATTTAAAACATAAAAAAAATCAGGTTTATTTTCTTATTGTTGAGTTTAAAGAGTTCTTTGTATATTTTGGATAAAAGTTCTCTATCAGAATGTCCTTTGCTAATATTTTATCTCAGTCTGTGGCTTATCTTCTCATTCTTTTTACATTGTCACAGGGTAGAAATTTTTAATTTTAATGAAGTTCAGTTAATCTATTCTTTCTTCCATTGGTTGTACTTTTGGTATTGCTTCTAAAAAGTCATTGCTAAACCCTAGGTCAACCAGATTTTCTCCTATGCTATTTTACAGGAGTTTTATAGTTTTTCATTTTACACTTAGGTCTGTGGTCCATTTTAAGAACATTTTTATGAAGGGTGTAAGGTCTGTGTCTAGCTCCCATTCAAGGCTTATTATATCTCACCTGGAGTGTCAGCCTGCCTGCATTTCTTGTCCCCTCCAATTCCAACTTGAATTGACTAAATTCCTGGTGAGTGTAGCCAAGAGTCATGCCTCCAGGCTTCAGGCCAGCACTTGTGGATGGAACCTCCAGGCCAGTACACCCAGGACCCAGCTCCAGGATAACCTTGGCAGTCTCAGGCACCAGGCCAGCACCCACAGCCCTAGGACCCAGCCATGACCTTAAGTACCCAGCTTCTAGGCCTGCCCCACTGCCAGGCCAGGCCCCATAGCCCCAGACTCCAGGCAGATACCCATGGACCTAGTTTCCAGGCCCTCCTCTGCACCAGACCAACACCACTATACCCTAGCTCCAGGCTAGCCTTTACTAACCTAGGAACCAGTCCACCACAGTGCCAGGCTAGCCACCACATCTCCAGACTCCAAGCCAGCATCTGCAGACCCAGGCTCCAGGCCTGCTCTAGCACCAGGCTGGCCCCTGAAGCCCCAGGCTTCAGGCTCACTGTAGTGCTAGGGTGGCACCAACAGGCACCAGCACCAAGCCTGCTCCTGCAGCCTCAGGGTCCAGGCTGGCCCCTGGAGACTCAAGCTTCAGGCCCAACCCAGACTCCAGATTGGCCCAGTACCAGACTGAGATTGGCCCAGTACCACATGGGCCCAGGCTTCAGGCGCCCCCCGCCCCATACCATTGCCTGGTCTGCCTCTTCAGCCCCAGACTCCAGGCCAACACTTGTGGACCTAGCCTCCAGTCTCACTCCAGCACCAGGTTGGCATGCATAGACCCAAGCTTGAGGCCACCCCTGACAGTCCAGCAGAATCAGGATCCAGGCCTGCCCCAGGAATCTCAGTAACCATAACGGTATGAATCTAGAAATCAATAACAAGAAAAATTGGAGAATTCACAAATATGTAGAAATTAAACAACATGCTCCTGAACAAAGAGTCAAGAAGAAATGAAAAGGAATTGAAAAATATCTTGGGACAACAGAAAGCGGAAACAACATGCCAAATGTATGGGATGCAGCAAAAGCAGTTCTAAGAGGGGACTTTATAGCAATAAATGCCTACATCAAAAAAGAAAAAAGACTTAAAAATCCAAACTAACATTATACCTCAAGGAACTCTAAAAGACCAGCCTAAACTGAAAGCTGGCAGAAAGGGAATAAAGGTCAGAACAGGAATAAAAATGAATAGAGACTAGAAAAACAACAGAAAGGATAAACAGAACTAAGAGTTAGTATTTTGAAAAGATAAGCAAAATTGACAAACTTTTAGCTTGACTAAGAAAAAGAGAGAAGACTGAAATGAATAAAATCATAAATGAAAGAGAAGACCTTACAACTGATACTACAGAAATATAAAGTCATAAGAAACTATGAGCAATTATATTCCCCCAAAAATTGATAACCTAGAAAAATGGATACATTCCTAAAAACATACAGCCTACCGAGACTGAATCATGAAGAAACAGAAAATCTGTATAGACCAATAACAAGTATATTAAATGATTAATCCAAAACTCCCAACATAGAAAAGCCCAGGACCTGATGACCTCACTGCTGAATTATACCAAACATTTAAGGAAGAACTAATACCAATCCTTCTCAAAATATTCCACAAAATTGAGGAGGAGGGAATACATTCAAACTCATTTTGAGGCCAGCGTTACTTGGATACCAAAGCCAGACAAAACACTACAAGGAAAGAAAACAGCAGACCAGTATTCCCGATGAACATAGATGCAAAATCCTCAACAAAATGCTAGCAAACTCAATTCAACAACGCATTAATGGGTCATTCACCGTGACCAAATGGTATTTATCCCAGGGAGGAAAGAATGGTTCAACATATGCAGATTAATAAATATGGTACATCACATTAATAGGATAAAAGACAAAAGCCAATTGATCGTCTTAATAGGTGCAGAAGCACTTGACAAAACATACTTTTATAATAAAAAGCCTCAACAAATTATGTATAGAAGGAATGTATGTCAACAAAATAAAAGCCATTTATATATAACAGCCCACAGCTGACGACATACTCAATGGGAAAAAGCTAAAATCTTTTTCTCTGTGATCAGGAACTAGACAAAGATGCCCACTCACTTCTATTCAATAGAATACTGGAATTCCTAGCAAGAGCAGTTAGTGAAGATGAAATAAAAGGCTTTTATTTCAGAAAGGAACAAGTGAAGTTATTTCTGTTTGCTGATAACATGATCTTATTAGAAAACTATAAAGGCTCCACAAAAGAACAATTGGACCTAATAAACATCTTCTGAAAATTTACAGTATACAAAATTAAGATACAAAATCTGAAGTGTTTCTATACACTAACAATAAATTTCTGAAAAAGAAATCAACAAACCAATCTCATTTACAATAGCTATAAAACTAAAACTCTGAGGAATAAATTTAACCATGAAGGTGAGAGATCTGTACAGTAAAAAGTATAAAACACTGATGAAAGAAACTAAAGAAAATGCGAATAACTAGAAATGTATCTTGTGTCTATAAGCTGTAAGATTAATATTGTTAAAATGCCCATATTAATCAAAGCAATCTACAGATTTTATGCCATCCATATCAAAACTTCAATGACATTTTTCACAGAAATAGAACAACCCGACAATTTGTATGGAACTATAGAAGATGCTGAATAGCCAAAGTAATCTTGAGCAAAAAGAATAAAACTGGAGGCGTCACATTTCCTGATTTTAAAATCTACTATAAAATTATAGTAGTCAAAACAACTTTATACTAGCATAAAAACAGACAAATAGACTAATGGAACAGAACAGAAAGCCCAGAAATAAATCCACACATTTACAGTCAATTGATGTTTGACAAAGGTGCCAAGAACACACAATGGGGAAAGGACAGTCTCTTTGATAAATGGTGTTGGGACAACTGGATATACATACACAGAAGAATAAAGAAGAATAAAATTAGATCCTTATTTCACACTATATACAAAATATCAATTCAAAATGGATAAAAGACTTAAATGTAAAACCTGAAACTGTAAAACTACGAGAAAACATAGGGCAAAAGTTCCATGTCACTGGTGTGGGCAATGATTTCTTGGCTATAACCCCAAAAGCACAGGTAACGAAACCAAAAATGGACAAATGCTATTACAACAAATTAAAAAGCTTATGCACAGCAAAGGAAACAATCAAAGTGAAGAGACAACCCATAAAATGGGAGAAAATATTTGTAATCCACACATCTGATAAAAAGTTAATATACAAAATATATAAGGAACTCAAATAACTCAATAGCAAGAAAACAAGTAACCCAATTAAACAATGGACAAAAAGACCTAAGTTGTTATTTTCAAAAGAAGACATACCAATGGCCATTAGATATATGAAAAAAATTGCTCAACGTTACTAATCATCAGGGAAATGAAAATTAAAAACCACCATATCACATCACACCCGTAGAGTGAGCTAGTATCAAAAAGGGGAAAGACGGTCAGTGTTGGGCAGAATGAAAAGAAAAGGGAACCATTGTACACTGCTGGTGGGAAAGTAAATCAATACTACTATTATCAAAAACAATACAGAGGTTCTTCAAAAAAATTACCATATGATCCAGCAATTCGACTTCTAGGTAAATATCCAAAGAAAATGTAATCAGTATTTCAAGAGATATCTGCACTCCCATATTATTTACATTATTCACCACAGCTGAAATATGGATGCAACCTAAATGTCCATTGACAAATGAATGGATAAAGAAACTGTGGTATATACACACATGGAATACTCTTTAGCCTTCTAAAAGGATATCCTGTCATTTGGGGAAACATGGGTGAACCCAGAGGATAATGTGTTATGTGAAATAAGCCGAGCACCGAAAGACAAAAACTCCGTGATCTCACTTATATGTGGAATCTAAAAATGATAGATTCACAGAAGCAGAGTGTAGACAGGAGCCCTGTTGGGGAAGTGGGAGATAGAGGAGATATTGGTTAAAGGATAGAAAATTTTAGTTAGACAAGAGGAATAAGTTCAAGAATATTGTCTAACATGGTGACTATACTTACAACAATGCATTAATGATATATTTTGTACTTGAAATTTGCTTAGAGTAGATTTTAAGTGTTTTCACCACAAAAATAAATATCCAAGGTAATGCATATGTGAATTAGCTTGATTTAGCCACTTCACAATGTATACATACTTTAAGAAATCATGTTGTACACCATAAATATATATAATTTTTATTTGTAATTCAATAATAATAAACACAAATTAAGCAGAAGAATGGAATCATGAAGATTAGGTCAGAAGTTAATATTATGTAAAAGAGAAAAACAACAGAGAAAATGAGGTAATCAAAAACTTGGTTCTTTTAAAAGATTAACAAAATTGATGAAACGAGCTACACAAATCAAGAAAAAAGGAGAATACTCAATTTACTAAAATAAAAATGAAAGAGTTGCCATTACTACCAATATTACAAAAACAAGAGAAATGTAAGGAAATACTGTCTACAATTATATGACAACAAAATAGATAACATGTGAAATGGATAAGTTCATAGAAGAACACAAACTACTGAAACTAACTCAAGAAAAAAATGTAAAATCTGAATGGACCTATAGAGAGTAAGGAGATGTAAATAAGCAATCGTTCAATTTCATACAAAGAAAAGGCCAGAAACAGTAGACTTCACTGGTTAATTCTATCCAACACTTAATAACATATACCAAATTTCTAAAACTAGAAGAGGAGGGCACACTTCCCTACACATCCTGTGAGTACATTACTATCAAGATACCAAAACCAGACAATATTACGAGGAAAGAAAACTACATACTGATATTGCTTATGAGTATAGACACAAAAATCCTCAGCAAAGTATTAACAAACCGAATTCAACAACATATAAAAAGAATTGTACGGCATGACCTAGTAAGATTTATCCTAGGAATGCAAGGTTGTTTTACATTTGAAAATCAGCTAATGTAATACACCATGTCAAAAGAATGAAAACAAAAACCAAATGATCATCTCAATAGAAGTAAAAACTGTTTGACAAAATCTAGCACTCTTTCATGATAAAAACACTCAACAAACTAGGAACAGAAGGAAACTTCCTCAAAGCTGACAAAGGGCATCTATGGAAAAGCCACAGCTAACATAATAGTTAATGATAAAAGCTTTCTCCCTAAGATCCAGAACAAGACACGGATGTTTGCCTTCACCACTTTTATTCCACATTGTACTGAAGATTCCAATCAGGGCAATCAGGCAAGAAAAAGAAATAAAAATCAACCCGATTTGGAAGGAAGTAAGACAATCTGTATTTGTAGATGACATAAATGTATGCATGAATATCCTAAGGAATCTACTACAAACTATTGGAAATAATTAACAATTTCAACACAGTGGCAGGAGAACAGATCAATATACAAAATCAATTGTATTTCTCTATAGCAGCAATGAACAAAACAAAAATGAAATGAAAAGAATGATTTAATTTGCAATATCATGAAAAAGAACAAAATCCTTAGGAATAAATGTAACAAAACAAGTGCAAAACATATACTCTGAAAACAACAAACAAACATTGTTAAAACATTAAAGAAGTCTTAAATAAATAGAATGACATTCCATAAAGACTTTATATTGTTAAAATGGCAATACCCCTTAAACTCATTTGCAGATTCAATCCTTATCAAACCCAGCAGACGTTTTGTTTGTTTGTTTGTTTTGTTTTGTTTGTATCTTTTTTTTTAAATTATACTTTAAGTTCTGGGATACATGTGCAGAACGTGCAGGTTTGTTACATAGGTATACATGTGCCATGGTGGTTTGCTGCACCCATCAACCCGTCATCTACATTAGGTATTTCTCCTAGTGCTATCCCTTCCCTTGCCCCCCACCTTCTGACAGGCCCCAGTGTGTAATGTTCCCTCCCTGTGTCCATGTGTTCTCATTGAGAGTTATAACTACATCCTAAAGAAGCACAGGGGACACCCAAATATTATTAGGGAAAAAAACCCATATATATATATATGGTCTTTGCTATATATATACATAGATATTTATATTTGCTTAGTGGTATATATATATAACCTTTCTTACATTCTTAAACCAGAATTTGAACATCCCATAATAGAGCCAAACTTATTATTGAGTGCTGTATGCCAGGTACTGTGTTAAGCACTTTCACATACCTTGAGAGCTTTATTCTCATAATTCTCATAATGCAATGACCTGAGCATCAGCTGTGTGGAGTGACCTACACTTTGACCATGATTCTGGGGGATGATGAATGAAAATGCAAAGTATAAATATATACTTTTTAGGAAAATGCCTCTATTTCAACACAAAGGAATCTCTCCACTTCTATCCCTTTGAACCCCCAATGGAATCCTGTGTCTTTTCTCTGAGCTACAATCTTGAAAGAAGAAAGTTACTGTGCTGTGTTATAACATAAGAATGTAAATATTTTAAGCTGTCAGAGTTGTTTCCTCAGAATTTATCCAACATTATAAGCCAAAGGGTCTACATCAGTGTCTGAACCATTTAAAATTATTCAGTGTATTGAGAAGCGAGTAAAACGCTAGGTATTTCATGTTTACATCTGAAGGAGACCACACTAGTTCATCCCCTACCCCTTTTCTAAATGATGAAACTCATGAGATCTAGCAAAGACCAAGGACTAAAATAAGAAGCATATTGTGCACACCTCAAAAGATTTTCATTTAAAAAGTTATTCTGTTTGATACAAACCTACTGTAGTTCATGAATTTACTATGTGTAATCATCAAGTCTTCACTTTTAAAAGAAAGTATTCCTTGAATCTATTTTGTAAAGTTTTTAAACATCTACTTGAGCATTTGCATTAGCAGTATTAATCAACCTGAGAAATGAAAAAAAAAAGTTGCAAATATATTTGCCTTTGGCATGAGGACAAGTAATTGGTGCAGTCCAGCTCTAAAAGTACAACTCTAAGTAATAATGTAATGCTTGGTCTGCCTCTGCTACATTGTGATTCACATATTGCTTCCCTATCCACAAATTTATATTTGATTTAGCATATAAAAGAGGGAAAAAAGCAATAAAAAGACAAATATGTGGCTTATTTACATATACTTTGCTTCTTTCCAAGTTCAGAACTGTGAAAATAGGCAAATATCTTATCCCATTGAGGCACTATAATTAAGAGATGCCTAACAAAATTACTCATAAAATATACTTTAATTGGGTTCAAAGAGAGTTAATTTAAAATATAAAAATCAAAGAGAGTGCCAGTTGATGAGTTTCCACTCCTTTCTGTAAATAGCATTAACTGTTCTAGAAACTTCGAAATGTTAATCTGATAGTGCAGGACAGTTAATTATAACTTAAAATATTTATAGACACAGGAAGCACAGATACTATATTCACATTAATTCACATATGTAATCTCTATCATTAAATAATTTCTATAAAATCTCAAGTTTCTAATTAGCATTTGTGGTGTTAAAAAAAGGCAATTGGTAGCTGGGTTCTTTTCAGTGAAGATATGATCAACTAGCAGAGTTAAGATGCTAGTCCACCTTATATGCATTTTAGGATCTAATTTATTAGTGCAGAGGTACTTGCAGCAGGATGCATGAATCCTGCCTATAAGGCTTTGTGGATGTCACTGTTCTGTGCACTTTATTAAAACGACTCCACCCCCCAAAACTAATAAAAATAATTGTTGCTTATGACTTGGGGAATATTTGGTGAAGTTGCTAATAAAGTACATTATTAAATGCAACATGATTTCACACTGTAAATGTCCTGAAAATTCAGTTTCTCCTACATATTTTCTTCCTAAAATAAAATTTTTATATAACCCTTGTCCTCACTCCCAATTTTTTCCAATAATCTGCTTCATTAGGGCCGTGTTAATAAAAGTTTGGGGCAAGAAGCCATTCATAAACAATATAAAGTGTTTCTAAAGTAGTGAATTTTTTCTTCTATATTATTTTTTCTGCTTATCATTTCTTTTTGAATGTCAGATATTTCTCTTTATATTTTTGTTCTAGGCTTCTATGCGATAGTCCATTTTTAAAATTTATGTTTTAATTGACAAAAATTATATATATTTATCATGTATAACATTGTTTTGAAATATGTAAATTGTGGAATAGCTAAATTGAGCTAATTAATATACACATTAATATATACATTTCATGTACTTATCATTAGATATTCCATATTAATGGCACTTGTTTTTAAAATGAAATAGTTTTAGGCACAATAGCCAGTTACTTCTGGTTCTGCTTTGTGGAGAAAGGTGTATGGAGTGAAATCTCTGCACTCTCCAGATAATAACTTTCTAATGCTTTAAGAGAACTAGATTGTTTTTAACTGCATGGAAATTAGAAGAGATCTTAAAAAAATTCACAAACGTAACTAGTGTATGTACAAATAACCCTAATTTTAGGGATATGCACACAAAAATGACATTCTGATATTAAAAATAACAGTTTTACTGTCCCTCCTGAGTGGTTACACACCTGGAAGGATGCCATGTGCTTTCACTGGAAGTACCACACTTGCATTTCTGTGTTGTGAGGTCAGTAGCAGAAACCCTTAGTTAGAGCTGGCAATTTAGCTCCCTTTTCTCCTGCTTGGAAGAGGCATCAAGTTACTACCCTGTAGAGATACTTCATTTTTCTATTTGGTTTTTTAAAAATCACCTGTTCTGATTGATCTTTAAGAACGAACGACATAAACAGCCATTAAATTTTTTTTCAAATTCATAAAACTATTCATACTTTTTTGAAACAGGAGTTAATGCCAGTAATCCATCAGAAGTATCTACTGTTTAGAAGGAAATGGGGCAGCACCAAATGGGTCTAATTCGACTGGTTGGGACTGTTGGGACTGCTGTAGAGTGATGCTTTGCACCACAAGTTCTGTAAAGGGCATGGCACCAAAATCATCCATTGTCAATACATCTGCACTATGGAATGACCCATGTAGTGAATTTTGCCTTGGCTGCTTAGGCAGGACAGTATTGTGATCAGCACGGATGTCATTCAGGCCCTGATGTAGAGGGTGCCATGACAGGTCTGGAGGATGGAAGGGCTTGGCACCAAAGGGGTCCAACAGACTCTCCTCGAGTTGTAAGACGTTCCCCCTATCGTTCCCATCAGTCACTGCGGCACCAATGTTCTCCTTGGAGTCTGAGATGGTTACAAATTCATTGCTGGTTTGAGAGACTCGGCGACCCACTTTTTTGTGCCTGCGAGCCCTCTCTGGAGTGCGGTAGGTAGGCTTCAAAGTCTTCTTTTTGCTAGTTGGCGTGCCATGATGCCGCTTCCCATTACTTTTGGACATATCCTGCTTTGTGCGCCTTTGGCGAGAGGACAGTTTCTGTAAGCTGCGCTGTTTGACTTTTTGCTGCTGGCTCCCCATTATTTCCTCAAAGGGCACAAGCCCAAAAAGGTCCTCGTTGCTTTCACTTTTACTTGTTGATGTGAGGAAGGGCTGAAATGGAGTGAAGTCAAATATATCTATGCTTTTGGGATGTGTCTCAGGCCCCACCGCATGGCATTCTTGTACATTCACCTTCTTGCTAAAAGGCGCCTTTGTGAATACATCAAATTCCTCCTGCTGGAGTCCCGTAGCAGGAAACCTGTGTTGAGGGAGGCTCTTTTCATTCTTTTCTTGCTGGGGCTGTTGAGCACACACTGCAAAGAAGGGGACGGCGCCAAATATATCGAACTCCTGTTTAGGAGTCTCCACTCCAACATCAGAGGACAATTGGGCTGAGGTGAGGAGTATTGTATTAATATCTTGGGTTGGTCCACTGCCAGATTTGTCTCTGTAGACAGGGCTCATATCACTGTACTTTGCTTTAGCCTGCTCATAATCAGAATCAGAGCTACGTTTCTCCTCTTCTTCCTCATCTTCAGAATCCATGAGGAGAGGCCTGTGACCCAGATTTTCTGGTTCGGTATCATTATCATTAAAATCTCCTTGTTCTCCCTGAAGAACTTCTTCATCCTTTTGCCCTTCCTCTTCACTGCTCTTAGGAGAAGGGGCAATCATACTAGATAGGAAAGCCAGGAAGCCAGATGGGTATCTGAGTATCAATATTAACACAGACACTGTGACTAAAAGTCCTTGACTTGTTTGAGTATTCTTCTTTCTTCAGTGCACAATTACTCAAGTAAATGGATGTAGGACCCTTTGGAGAAGGACTGAAAAAATCATTACCATGTATATTTGCCATGATGTTACAAATCTCTCCTCCTGGGGACCCAGTCCCGTTTCAGTTTATGGTGGCTCTGAACGTTGATTCAGGTCGAGAAACTGGACCAGGAAACTATGTCTTTTTATTGAGGCCACTGGCCCTCAGCCTCCTGATCATCCATTCAGGTTTTCTTTTTTCTTTTTCTTTTTTTTCTGAGATGGAGTCTTGCTCTGTTGCCCAGGCGGGAGTGTAGTGGTGCGATCCGGGCTCACTGCAACCTCTCTTTCTCGGGTGCAAGCGATTCGCCTGCCTCAGCCACCCTAGTAGCTGGGATTACAGGCGTCCGCCACCACACCCAGCTAATTTTTGTATTTTTAGTAGAGATGGGGTTTCACTATCTTGGCCAGGCTGGTCTTGAACTCCTGACCTCAGGTGATCCGCCCTCCTTGGCCTCCCACCATCCAGGTTTTATTTTTAAACTCTTTATTACTAAAATAATGTTACAGTCCAGAGAAATTTTAAAAAGGAGATAAAAATTTTCATTTCCCCTCACCCTTTTTTCCCTAATGTTAATAACTTACATAACCATAGTATAATTATAAAAAATTGGAAATTAACATGGTACAATATGTTAAATTAAACTACACACTTTATTTACATTTCACCAGTTATACAACTAATGTATTTTTCTGTCCCAAGGTGTAACTCAGGATCTCACATTGCCTTTAGTTGTCACTTCTCTTTGTTCTCTTTTAATCTGTGACAGGCCTTCAATCTTTCCTTGTCTTTCATGACCTTGAAAGTTTTGGAGAGTGTGTGTCAGTTATTGTATTATTTTCTATTGCTGCATAAAACTACCAAAAATTTAGAGGCTGCAAACAACACAAATTTATTACCTCACAGCTTTCATGGCTCAAAAGTCCAGGTATGCATTAGCTGAGTTCTCTGCTCCAGGTACCAGTGGGCTGAAATCAAAATGTCACCTGAGGCTGTGATCTTACCTGAGGCTTGGGATCCCCTTCCAGATTCGCTGGTTGTTGGCAGAATATAGTTCTAACAGTTTGAGGACTGCAGTCTTCGTTTTTTTTTTTTTTTTTTTTGCTATTGTCAAGGGTTTGCTCTGTTTTTAGATGCTTCCATCAGGTCCTAGTCATGTGTACCTCTCACAATATAGCAGCTTACTTCTTGGAAGCCAGCAGAGAAATCTCTAGTCTGCTATGGAAGATTCTTATGTAATGTAACATTATTATAATAGTTAGTATTTCATCACCTTTGCCATAAAATGTAACCTAATCAAGACATTGATTATCTCATCATATTTAAAGGTTACAACCACACTAAAAAAGAGGGGTTAACACTAGAGAAAGGGAAACTTGGGAGCCATCTTTGAATTCCACTTACTACTTTTATTGTTGAGTGTTCCTCAGTTTGGATTGATTGAATCTTATGATTAGATTAAGGTTATGCATTTTTGATGATAATACTACAGAGGACATGTTGTATCTTCTCAATGCATCATATCAGAAAATATATGATGTTGATTTGTCTTATTGCTGGTGATGTTAATTTGTTTTTTTAAGTTTTATTTTATTTTTAATTGACGAATAGTAATTATATATATTTGTGGGGTACAAGGTGATGTTTCAATACTTGTATACATTGTGAAATGATCAAATCAGGTAATTAGTGTATCTATAATCTTAAATATTTATCATTTCTTTGTGTGAGAACATTTAAAATCCTCTTTTAGATATTTTGAAATATACATTACAATATTAATTATAGTCACCTTGCCGTTCAATATAACACCAGAATTTTTCTCCTAATTGTGCCTTTGTACCAATTGACCAATGTCTCCTCTTTCCCCATTCACCTCTTTCTTCCCCAGCCTCTGGCAAACACCACTCTATTCTCTACTTCTATGAGTTTGACTTTTTAGATTCCTTATATAAGTGAGATCATACAGTATTTGTCTCTCTGTGCCTTGCTTATTTCACATAATGTCCTCTAGATTCATCCATGTTGTTGCAAATGACAGAATTTCCTGTTTTTAAAGAGCTGAATGGTATTCCATTGTGCATATATATCACTGTTAAAAATTAATTCTTCTGTTGGTAGACACTTAGGTTGTTTCCATATCTTGGGTATTGTGAAGAATGCTGCATTGAACATGGTAGTGCAGATATCTCTTCAGCATACTGATTTCATTACTTTTGTTGTTTTTAAGTTTTTAAATTTTTATTTTAAGTTCTGGGATACACATTCAGGATATGCAGGTTTGTTACATAGGTAAATGTGTCCCGTGGTGATTTACTGCACCTATCAACCCATCACCTAGGTATTAAGCCCAGCATGCATTAGCTATTTTTCCCTCCCTCGACCCCCACAAACAGGTCCCAGTGTGCGTTTTTCCCTACCCTGTGTCTATGTATTCTCATTGTTCAGCTCCCACTTATAAGTGAGAATATGCAGTGTTTGGTTTTCTGTTCCTGCATTAGTTTGCTGAGAATAATGGCTTCCAGCTCCATCCATGTCCCTGCAAATGACATGATGTTGTTCCTTTTTATGGCTGCATAGTATTCCATGGTGTATATGTACTACATTTTCTTTATCCAGTCTATCGTTGATGGGCGTTTGGGTTGATTCTATGTATTTGCTATTGTAAATAGTGCTGCAATGATCATATACATGTATGTATCTTTATAATATAATTATTTATATTCCTTTGGGTATATACCCAGTAATGGGATTGCTGAGTCAAATGGTATTTCTGGTTCTGGTCTTTGAGGAATCACCACACTGTCTACCACAATGGCTGAACTAATTTACATTTCCACCAACAGTGTAAAAGTGTTCCTGTTTCTCTGCAGCCTCACCAGCATCTGTTTTTTCTTGACTTTTTAATAATCGCCATTCTGACTGATGTGAGATGGTATCTTATTGTGGTTTTTTTTTTTAAAGACTCTTAATTATTGAACCAGAAATTTAAAACACATTTGTAAACTACTTAGAAAACAAGACTGCCACACATCAAAATGGATGGGATTTGAACATATTTGAACTTAAGAGATAGTTCAGAATCCTTCAATGCATTCCTTTGTATACAAACAAAAAATAAGCATCAGTCTCAAAGAGTTAGGGGAAAAAATCTAGAGAAAACAAAATAATAAGTCTAAAATGAGAAATTAGCATATTATAAAACAAAATCACAGTTGATAAACAAATCAAAACTCTAGTTTTCTGAACGGAAAACAGATATCCCTGAGAAGTCTAGTCAAGTAATGTTGAGCACCCGATTCTGTCGCTGCTCGGGGTGCCACTATATAACCCGCATGGACTTAGGGGGACTGAACAAAGCGGGGCAAATGTGGGAATAAAAGACATGAGACAAAAGAGTATATTTGGAAGGAGGGATCGGGGGGCGCCTTGCCTCTAGTGGACAAGGGCCCTGAGCTTTACACAGCCCTCTGTATTTATTAGGCAAAAGAGATAGTGAGAAAGGGGGTGGAAGAAAGGGTCAGCTGCTCAGTCCGGAGTAGGCTTGCAAGACTGCATTCCTCGATCAACAGGCTCTAGATGTCACAGTAGATAACTTTGGCGCCAGGGAGTGATTGCCTCCAGCAAACCTTCTGTCACCAGGAGCAGTCCTGAGTTTGCTCACATCCTGCATTCATGATAAACAGTTTGCTGTTTGATCATATAGCCTCCAGTGGAATGCTGAGTTGGTCATGTCCCACAGGCCTTCGGCTCCCTACATATTCCCCCTTTCTGTTTATGAATTAATTGGAAGAATGTAAGGCCAGGCTGGGCAGCTCTCATTCTCTGATTGGTGGTCCATCTGATTTTACAGACTATAAAAAGAATAGACAAAACAACATTATTCCAAGAACTACATATAAGATGTTAATGTGATGCTTTAGATAGGTCCAAGGGTTGGGGCTCTCCAGGCCCTGCTGGAATTCGGTCCAGTCTTCTAAAGAAGGCTGAAACTCTTGAGTTTGCCTATTTAAATCAAGAATTTTGTTTTGTAATTCACCAATATCAAAGGTGATGTTTGATGTGAAAGCTCCCTGCAAATGGGCTTTCACAAGGTCCCACGGATACTCACTTTGGTTGTATTCTAAGTTGATTACACAAATATGAGTGTGATTAAAATGACAACGCAATTACTGCTGCAATTGCAAGGTTTGTACTTGTTCCCCTAACCATAGAACCGTGGATTTCAACATTGGCACTTCAGTTTGTAACTCAGTGTTAATTTTATTCTGAAGTAGCCATGCTTGGTTAGCTGTACATGTCCAGTTCTCCATGTACTGAGCTGTTTGAACAGAACTATGCAAAGCTACAGAAGATATCACAATAGAAGTTATTAGTGTGACCAAGGAAACAATAGCAAAAATTATCATGCCTAAGGCTCTACGGACACAATAAGTAAGCAGAGTTAGAAGAAGTTTCATAAAATGCAAAGCAGGTGTGGCAGCTCAAGGCTCAGATAGATTAACAGGAATCCATAGCCCAGGGATGCTACCTAAAATCATCAAAGTAGAGATATTATGTGTTTGCAATGTGCTATGATTAATGCAGTGATATAACTGACAAGATTTACAGGTCAATCGGGTATTGTTTAACTGGAGCTGGTCCTTCTTAGCTGCTAAAAAGACATAAGAATTAAAAACACAAACTGTAAATTAAGTGGTGATATTCTTTACAAGTGTAATATTAGAACTGTGTCATGACTCCAGTCGGCCTTCTGTCCATCTTTGCACTCAGGCTCAGCTGACTCATGGCTCGTACCGGAGGGACCGGGCCTATAGTGGGCCACCCTCGGTTCCTCCAGTTTCCCATTCCATGGTTGCATGCACCGTGAGGGCACCCACATGGCTTGTTCATCTCCTGTAAAAACACAAGCATACCCTCTTCCCCACGTCAGTAAATCCACTGGACCTTTCCATTGTCCTTCTTCCGGGGATTTCCATAACACTTTCTAATAAACTTTCCTCTTTTCCTCTAACACTTGGCAATGTCTTTCTGCTGGAGTCTTACCATCAGTACCAGGAGTCAAAAAATTTAAAGTAAATAAG
Source organism: Homo sapiens (assembly GCF_000001405.40). Classification (NCBI taxonomy): domain Eukaryota; kingdom Metazoa; phylum Chordata; class Mammalia; order Primates; family Hominidae; genus Homo; species Homo sapiens. The sequence goes on along the minus strand of NC_000023.11, from coordinate 74,180,693 downwards.
GCTAAATGTAGTTTTGATTGAGGTGGTAGTTGGCCTCCTTTACCCCCTTTTTGTCTTTTCAACATGCGTTTTAATATTCGTTGTGCCCGTTCTATAATGCCTTGTCCTCTAGGATTATAAAGAATTCCTGTTTTATGGGTTATAGCCCAAAGCGCAAGCAATTTTGAAAAGCATGACTAGTATAAGCAGGTCCATTGTCAGTTTTTAATTATTTAGGTATCCCCATATGAGCAAATGATGACAGACAGTGTTGCTGTACATGACCAACTGTCTCACCTGTTTGACATGTAGCATGCAGCATATGAGAATAAGTGAAAAAAATTAAGCAGTTCTGGGTCTAGTGTACTTTTAACTGTAGCAATTTCTATGTGACTGGCTACATTCACAACATAAGCTGAATCATAGACAATGTTGATAGGATCTGAATCTGTGAGCTATAAAACCTGAATGACTGCAATTAGCTCTGAGCGTTGAGCTGAAACCCCAGAGATCATTATTGTTTTTGGACCTTTTTGGGACAACAAATACCGGTGAATTCCAGGAGCTAACTGACTTTTCTATATTTCCTGCATTCAGTTGCTCTTTTGCCAACAGATGAAGTTGATCTAGCTTCTCCTGTGTTAGGGGCCATTGATCCACCCATACAGGTTTGTCACTAAGCCATTCTAATGGTAAGGCAGTGGGCGGAGGAGAAATATCAATGACCCCCATCAGAAATCCTGACCTCCTAGCGCTTTTCTATCTGTTTTTCCAGTTACTGATATCGGGTTAGGATTTCACTGTAGAAACCTCCCCAAACCTTTCCCACTGTGATATCACATGTTCTTCAACATTTTAAATACTGGATTATCAAAGTTTTCATTTGTAAGTCTCATATCCCATGCTGTAAGTCTTGACCCCATTAATTGACGGTTATATTTGCAACATAAGGCTGGAAAGTCCAGAGCGAGCTTAAGGTTGTAAAAGTTCTTTGATAAATAAACAGAGTAACCTTAGCTCTGTGAGTGCTAGTAAACTCAGATTGAGTGATTGAATTATGTGGTCTCTACTAGACTGCCGCTTTTCCATATTTACCAGACCCATCAGTAAACAGTGTTAAAACATTAGGTATGGGGGAGTGCAATACCGCTTTGAATTGCCTTTTACTTAAAGGAATCCTGATGATATCAGGGTCATAACTTAGCAAATGACTGCATTAATTATTAAGATGGCAAGCTGAAATAAGTAACAAGAAGTTTAAAAAGAAAATCTGAAAGCATCTCTAGAAGCAGAGACTGAAATAATATACTTTAACCATGTGCTTAAAGCCACAGGCAGAATAGCTTAAATCTTGTAATTGAGTTTTCAGGCTGACCAAGTTTATGGACTTTAATCTGGCAAACAGTCTTGAAAACAGTGACTCACTAGCTGGGGAACTCAATTTAGGACTCTCTTAGCAAGTACAAATCAAAGACTATCTGTAATCAGTGAGTTAAGACAGTCGTTCATGCATGAGTTTTCAGTACACTTACATACAACTTTTCTTCACTTTCTGAGAAGGACATGACATTTTTACCTTCTAATTTAACAAATATCATTTAATTAGGTTTAAAGTTCTCTTTTAAAGGGTAATGTGTGGTTTTACATGCTTAGCTTTTAATTACTCTTTAACTAATTCATGGGCCCTCTGTAATCTCTCTCCCTTTAGAGGTTACTGTTTTAATTAAATTGAATTTGGAAAGCTACGTCAGGGGTAGGAGAGCGATAACAATAGTGGCCATTATTAGAAAAGAGGTTTTTCAATTTCTTACATTTTACTAAAATATTAGCAAACAATCATAGCCTGGGATGTAACACATGAAATTTTGCTATGGGCTGCCCTCAGAGCCAGAGGGCAGCGGTTGCAGGTCTTGGGCGGCAGCCGCGTTGTACTTGCTTAGGCTTTGCCTGTGTCTGCTCCACTCACTCCCTCCTTTGCCGGTGGGGTGGGGGATGCTGCCGGCCTGGGCGGACCTTGTCGGCTTGGTTGCTGCAAACTTTTCTGCCGCTGAGCCTTTTTTTCTGCCCACCGCCTGCTTGGCCAAGTGGTTTCGACTTCTAATGTCTTTTTCTTATCTTTTTATAAACATACACCTGATTGCCTTGCCGATTTTGCATTACTGAGCATGTTAAGAGCTCTCCTTCTAATGCTGCCTGCTTAAGACAGGGACTGATAGCTGTAGCGTATCCTCTGTAATGTCTGCGTGTCCAGCAACACGGTTCTGTTTAGCCTGGTCTGCACACATTTCTTGCCAATTTAAATTCCATGTCAGATATGCACTAGTGGACAAGCAAGTTTGCGCCAAGTGTTTCACATCAAAGGGTAAAAGACGCAAAGCACCAAACACAAATTCTAACAATCCTAAGGTGAATGGGCTCTTTACACCATTATTTGCCACACTTGCTTTTAATTCCTTCAACAACTTTAAACTCTAGTGGAGTGTGTTCATGAATAAGCTGCTGTGGATTATTTGGATCAGGCCTTACAGAAATAGGAAAAGCGCAAGGTCCTAAGGGCTCTCCAGCTATGGCAGCAGAGTGTAAAATTCTTTGTATTAAGGTCTCTATTTCTGCCACTGAAGGAGGTGGTACAGATGTTTCTGCAATTAGAGGAGGCGGTATAGGCCAATTTTATCCTCCCTCTTCTGTTTTTTATTTTCTATTGGAGCTGTGGGTGGGTAATACTATTTTTAGTTTTTTGATGTACCTTCATACTATTTCCTAAAATGACTGTACTAATTTACAGTATCACCATTGGTGTGCTAGTGTTCCCTTTTCTCCACATCCTCACTGACATTTATCTTTCATCTTTTTGATAATAGTCTAACAGGTGTGAGGTGATATCTTGTGGTTTTGATTTGTACTTTTCTGATGATTAGAAATGTTGAGCATTTTAAAATATATCTGATGTCCATTTTTATGTCTTCTTTTGAGAAATGTTTATTCAAGTCCTTTACCCATTTTCTAAAAGGGTTATTTGTTTTCTTGTTATTGAGTAGTTTGAGTTCCTTGTAGGTTTTGGATATTACTTTCTTATTGAATGTATAATTTGCAGATATTTTCTCCCAGTCCCTGGATTTTTCCCTCACTCAATTGTTTCCTTTGCAGTACAGAAGCTTTTTAGCTTGATGCAATCTTGTTTGTCTAATTTTGCTTTTGTTACTTGTGCTTTTGGAGTCATATCCAAGAAATCTCTGCTCACGTCAATGTCATGGAAATTTTCTCCTACGTTTTCTTCTAGTAGTTATATAGTTTCAGGTTTTATGTTTAAGTCTAATCCATTTTGAGTTGATTCTTGTATAAGGAGTGAGATAGTGGCTCATTTTCATTCTTTTTTATGTGGATGTCTAGTTTTTTCAGTGGCATTTATTGAAGCAACTGTCCTTTACCCATTGCATGTTCTTGGTACTTTTGTTCAAAACCAATTGACCATAGATGCATAGGTTTATTTCTGGGATGTCTATCTTTCTTATTCCACTGATTGATATGTCTGGTTTTTTTTTTTTTTTTTTTTTGACAGAGTCTCGCTCTGTCACCCAGGCTGGAGTGCAATGGTGCGATCTCGGCTCACTGCAACCTCCGCCTCCTGGGTTCAAGCGATTCTCCTGCCTCAGCCTCCCAAGTGGCTGGGACTACAGGCACGTGCCACCACGCCTGGCAAGTTTTTTTTTTTTTTTTTTTGTATTTTTAGTAAAGACGGGGTTTCACCATGTTAGCCAGGATGGTCTCCATCTCCTGACCTCGTGATCCACCCACCTCGGCCTCTCAAAGTGCTGGGATTGCAGGCATGAGCCACCATGTCCGGCCTGATGTGTCTGTTTTTATGCCAGTAGCATGTTGTTTTAATTACTATAGATTTATAATATATTTTGAAATCTGGTAGTGTGGTGCCTCTAGCTAGCTTTGTTGTTTTTGGTCAACAGTGTTTTGGCTATTTAGTTTTTTTTTATGGTTCTATACAAATTATAGGATTGTTTTTTCTATTTATGTTAAGACTGATATTATATATATCTATATATTTTTTGAGACAGAGTCTCACTCTGTCACCCAGGCTGGAGTGCAGTGGCATGATCTCAGTTCACTGCAACCTTCGCCTCATGGGTTTGAGCAATTCTCCTGCCTCAGTCTCCCAAGTAGCTTGGATTACAGGCTCCCGCCACCATGCCTGGCTAATTTTTACATTTTTAGTAGAGACGGGGTTTCACCATGTTGGCCAGGCTGTTCTCAGACTCCTGACCTTAAGTGATCCGCCCACCTCGGCCTCCCAAAGTGCTGGCATTACAGACATGAGCCACCATACCCGGTTAAGATATTAGAATTTTAATAGAGATTTCATTGAATCTGTACATCACCTAGAGTATTATGGATGTCTTAACAATATTAATTTTTATAATTCATGAACACAAGGTATCTTTCCATTTGTTTGCATCCTCTTTAATTTTTTCCCATCAAAGTTTTATAGTTTTCAGTATATAGATATTTCACTTCCTTGGTTAAATTTACTCCTAAGTATTTTTTGATACTATTATAAATGGGATTGTTTTCTTAATTTCTTTTTACGTTCATTGTTAGTGTATAGAAATGCTACTAATTTTTGTAACTTGATTTTGTATCCTGCGATTATACTGAATTCATTTATCAATTCTAGCAGTTTTGGCAAAATCTTCAGGATTTTCTATATATAAATTCATGTCGTCAGCAAACAGAGACAATTTCACGTTATCATTTTCTATTTGGGTGCCTTTTATTTATTCTGTCTAATTGCTCTGGTTAGGGCTTCTATTACTATGTTGAAAAGAAGTGGTGAGAGTGGGCATCTGTCTTTTTTCCTTCTCTTAGAGGAAAAGCCTTTAACTTTTCACCATTGAGTATGATGTTAGGTGTGGGCTGGTCATATATGGCTTTCCTTTATGTGTTGAGGAACAGTCTTTCTATACCTAATTTGTTGAGAGCTTTTATCATGAAAGAATGTTGAACTTTGTCAAATTCTTTTTCTGCATTTATGGAGATGATCATATGGTTTTTGTCCTTTATTCTGTTAATATGGTGAATCACATTTACTGATTTGAATATGTTGAACCAACCTTGCATCCCTGAGATAAATCTCACTTGATCACAGTGAATTATCCTTTTAATGTACTGTTGAATATGGTTTGCTAGTATTTGTTGAGGAATTTGGCATTTATGTTTATCAGTGATACTGCATTGTAGAGTTTTTCTTTTTTGTAGTGTCCGTCTGGCTTTGGTATCAAGGTGATGCTGGCCTCATAGAATGAGTGTGGAAGTATTTTCTCCTATTCAACTTTTTGGAAGAGTTTGAGAAGGATTAGTATTAGTTCTTATTTAAATGTTTGGTGGAATTCAGTCATGAAGCCATCTGGTCTTGACCTTTTTCTTGACAGGAGACTTTATTACTGATTCAATCTCCCTACTCATTATTGGTCTGTTCAGATAATCAATTTCTTCTTAGTTCAGTCTTGGTAGGTTTTATGTTTCTAGAAATTTATCCATTTTTTCTAGGTTTTCCTCTTTGTTGACGTGTAATTATTTATAGTTTTTTCTGATTATCCTTCGTATTTTTGTGTTTTGAGTTTTAATGTCCCTTCTTTCATTCATGAGTTTATTTATTTGAGTCTTCTTTCTTTTTGTTAGTCTAGCTAAAGTTTGTCAATTTCATTTAGCTCTACCAAATACTAGCTTTTAGTTTCATTGATCTTTTCTTACATTTTTAAAATTGATACATAATATTGTACAAATGTATAGTGTATATATGATATTTTGATACATGCATACAATATATAATGATCAAATCAGGGTAATTCAGATAATTATTGCCTGAAACATTTAACATTTTTTGTGTTGGAAACATTCCAAATCTTCTAGTCTAGCTGTTTTGAAATATACAATACATGCTTGAAACTATAGTCACATTATGTTAAGGGAAATAATCCAGGCACAGAAAGACAAATATCACATGATCACATTCATATGTGGGAGCTAAAAAATGTGATCTCATGGAGATAGTGAGTAAATTAATGGTTACCAGAAGCTGGGAAGAGTGGGAGTGGGGAAGGAGGGGATAAAGAGAATTTGGTTAATGCGTGCAAAAATACTGTTTCATTGATCTTTTCTATTGTTTTTCTAGACTCTAATCCATTTATTTCTGCTCTGATTTTTGTTTTGTCATTTCTTCTTCTAACATTGGGCTTAGTTTGTTCTTCTTTTTCTAGTTCCTTGAGGTGTAGCATTAGGTTATTTTGTTGAGATCCTTTTTTTTTTTTTTTTGGTTTAGTATTTATTGCTATAAAATTTCCTCTTAGAACTGCTTTTGCTGCATCTCTTAAGTTTTGGTATGTTGCGTCTCCATTTTTGTTAGTCTCAAGATATTTTAAAATTTCTTCTTTAATTTCTTCTTTGCTCTAATATTAATATTTTCTCAGGAGCATATTGTTTAATTTTCACATATTTGTTAATTTTCCATGTTCTTTTTTTTCCAAGTTCATAATATATTGTACAAATTGAATTATCACATGATGAGTTGGCATTAGCTTCTCCAGGCATGGGAACTTAACAGATGAGATTAAGAACTGTAGACAGTTTAAAATCCATTTATGTTGCTTTCATAGCTGGAGTTTTTTTGGACCTTAACTTGAAATATAAGACAATCAAAGCAATGCTTCTGTATGTGACCAGTACACAATTCATTCTACCTGTGAGAGTATAAGAGTTGAAATATTTTTTAATACCAGTGAACTGGTATTGCGCATCACTTTCTGGACCTGCCATTATTTCAATCTGCCAAAGCCGCAAATTCCACCAATTTTCCATGGTTCTTTATGTTACAGATTTCTAGTTTTATAACATTGTGTTTGGAAAACATACTTGATATAATTTCAGTCTTCTTAAATTTGTTAAGACTTGTTCTGTGACCTATTACACACACACACACACACACACACACACACACACATATACGCACACACACACACATACATGTTTTTAGAGATAGGGTCTCAGTATGTTGCCCAGGCTGGCCTTGAACTTCTGGGCTGGGCTCAAATGATCCTCCCACCTCAGCCTTCCAAAGTGCTGTTATTACAGGCATGAGCCATTGTGCCTGGCCTGTGGCCTATTATATAATCTATCCAGAAGAATGTATCATGTGCATTGAGAACAATGTGTATTCTGTTGCTGTTGGGTTAAATGTTTCATATGTCTGTTATATTCATTTGGTCTAAAGTAGGTCAAGTTCAATGTATCCTTATTGATTTTCTCCCCGGATGATCTGTTCAATGTTGAAAGTGGAATATTGAAGTTTCCTCCTATTATTGCACTGCAGTCTTTGTCTCCCTTTGAATGTCTTAATTATTGCTGTACATTTATTTTAAGTGCTATAATGTTGGGTACATATAAATTTACAATTGCTACATACTCTTGATGTATTTACTCCTTTATTACTATATAATGACATTTTTCATCTCTTTTTATAGTTTTTTTTCCCTAAAGTCTATTTTTTTTTTTTTTTTGGAGGCAGAGTCTCACTCTGTCACCCAGGCTGGAGTGCAGTGGCATGATCTCAACTAACTGCTACCTCTGCCTCCTGGGTTCAAGCGATTCTCTCCTGCCTCAGCCTCCCGACTAGCTGGGATTATAGGTGCCCACCACCACAACTGGATAATTTTTTTGTTTAGTGGAGATGAGATTTCACCATGTTGGCCAGTCTGGTCTCTAACTCCTGACTTCAGGTGATCCACCCACCTCAGCCTCCCAATATGTTAGGATTACAGGCATGAGCCACCGCACCTGGCCCTTAAAGTCTATTTTGTCTCAAATAATTGTAGCTAACCCTATTCTCTTTTTGTTAGACTATCATTTTCCATTTCTTCACATTAAGTCTGAGTTTCCTTTAAGGTGAAGTGAGTCTCTTGGAGGTAGCATATACTTGGGTCTTGTTTTTAATCCATTCTGCTGTTCTTTTTTTATTGGAAAATTTAATCGATTTACATTTAAAGTAATTATTAATAAGGACTTACTAGTGCCATTTTGTTAATTATTTTTGATTGTTTTGTAAATAAATCCTTTGTTCCTTTTTTTCTCTCTTTTTGTGATTTGATGGCTGTCTGTAGTAATATTCTTTGGATATTTTCTTTTTATGTTTTGTGTATCTATTATAGACTTTTGTGGTTACCATGAGGTTTACATAGAACGTCTTATACTGGCCAGGCATGGTGACTCACACTTGTAATCCCAGAACTTTGGGAGCCTGAGGCAGGTGGATCACCTGAGGTCAGAAGTTTGAGACCAACCAGGCCAACAGGTTGGCCCCGTCTCTATCAAAACTTTGTCTCTACCAAAAATACAAAAATTAACCAGGTGTGGTGGTGCACACCTGTAGTCCCAGCTACATGGGAGGCTGAGGCAGGATAATCACTTGAACACAGGAGACTGAGGTTGCAGTGAGCCAAGACTGCACCACTGCACTCCAGCCTGGGTGACAGAGCAAGACTCCATCTCAAAAAAAAGCAAACAAAAAAAATCATCTTATACTTATAACAGGCTATTTTAATTTGATAAAAAAAGTTATAGGTATGAGCTGAGAGTAGTGAAAAATAATAACAACAATTTTGATTACATACACAGATTCTACAATTTTACTCCCCCTCCTCTCATGTTTTATGTTTCTGATGGCAAACTTAACATCTTTTTATAATTTGTATCCCTTAACAAATTCTTGTAGCTTTAATTGTTTTAATAGCTTCACCTTTCAATATTTATACTAGATATCATTGATTTAGGCACTCCAATTACTCTGTTAGAGTGTTTTGAATTTGACAATGTATTTACTTTTACCAGTGGGTCTTATGCTTTCATATGTTTTCATATTAATAATTAGGGTCTTCTTCCTTCAGCCTTAAGAACCCCCTTTAACATTTCTTGTAAGGCAGGTCTAGTAGTGATAAACTCTCTCAGATTTTGATTGAGAAAGTCTTTATCACCTCTTGGTTTTTAAAAGACAAGATTGCTGGTAATAGTATTCTTCGTTGACAGTTTTTTTTTTCTTTAAGCTTTTTAAATATATCATCCCACTCCTTTCTGGCCTGCAATGTTTCTGCTAAGAAATTCACTGATAGTCTTATAGTTGTTTGCTTACATGTAATGATTCACTTTTCCTTTGCTGTTTTCAGCACTCTCTCTTTGTCTTTAACTTTTGATAATTTCATTATGCTGTGTTTTGGTGTGAGTGTCCTTAGATTCATCTTATTTGGTGTCCTTTGAGATTTCAGATTCTGGCTTTCTATTTCCTTTTCCAGGCTTGTGATGTTTTCTGCCATTATTTCTTTGAATATGTTTTCCATCCCTTTCTCGCCTCTCCTTCTGGCATATCAGTGATGCATAAGTTGTTCGGCTTGATGGTTTCCCATAAGTCCCTTAAGCTTTCTTCACTGTTTTTCACTCTTTTTCCTTTTTTCCCTCAGATTGGATGATTTTCAGTGACCTGTCTTTGAGTTCACTGATCCTTTCTTCTTATTGATGTAGTCTGCTGTTGAGCCCCTTCTACTGCAGTTTTCAGTTTATTCATAATATTCCTCCAGATTTATGATTTCTGTTTGGTACTCTTCTCTGCTTTCTATTTGTGGAAGTTCTTAATTTGTTCTTGTATTGCTCTGTTGACTTTGGTGAGCATCTTTATGGCCATTATTTTGAGTTCTCTGTCAAGTAAATAACATTACTTTACTCAGGTTGGTTTCTGGAGATTTATTTAGTTCCTTTGTTTGGACCATATTCCCCTGTTTTAAAATATTTCTTGACTTTCCATGTTGGTTGCTGTGCATTAGCTAATACCACTATGTCTCCCAGTCTTGTCGGACTGGCTCCATATAGGAGAAGGGCATTGCCAATCCATCCAGCCAAAGATTTTAAGGTGCTTCTTAAATCTTTGTGTTTATCCAGGCTGCTGTCTTTGTTTTTGGTGCCCACCTGGAGCTTAGGATATGCCATACCCTGTCAGTACTTTAAGTCCAGAAAGATAGGAGCCAGAGTCTCTAGATGTCGATAAAATGGTGTGAGTATTGGCTCTATGTTTCAGTTACTTGTATCTTTACGGTGAAGCTGAGCATGGATGTTAATCTCCCACTCTGTCTGCACTAAGCCAGGTAGTGGATGTGTGGCAAAATTCGTATTCATGTTCAGGCTGCACCCTCTGATCCTAAGGAGATAGCTGCTGGATGTGAACCCATCGTATGTCCATCTGTTTGCTTTTTGTTGTCTAGGGTCACTAAGGAATGCAAAGCTTCATTAACTCTCAGAGAGAGTTTGTTAAGAAGGTAGCCTCTTGGGTGTGAGTATAGAAGTTGTGGCACACAGTGCATGGCCAAACTTCTTCCAGGAAGAATGTTAGGCCTGGGATGAGCCAGAGAAAAGGCTTAGGAACTGCCAAGCTCTGGCTGCAGCTGCCAGTGGGCTATTGTTTGTTTGCCCCATTGGCTCCCCAGTGCAAGTTTATTAGAACTCAAGCTGTCAAGTAGCCACTGGGAGTGTGTGCCATACACCCCTTGTGGAGAGAAAATGGGAGCTGCATATTCCTGCCCCTTTTTCACACTACTCAAAGGGGGCATCATTTGTAAACATGTTTGCATACCTGTTAAGACCACGTCTTTGTTCTGTCATCTAAGGAGACTCATGTATGCCTAGTGCTTTCTCCTCCCAGAGCTAAGAAGTTTAGGACTGGGTTCTTTGGGAGGGCGCTGTAAAAGTTGTGACACTTGATTAGTGGCACAAACGTCTTCCAGGGAGAAACAGGGAGTTGCATTTTATTTTCTGACATGGAGTCTTGATGTGTTGCCTAGGCTGGCCTCAAACTCCTATGCTCAAGTGATCTTCTCATTTAAGCCTTAGCTGGGACTACAGGCACATGACACCACACCTGGAAGGAGCTTCATTTTAAAAATAAAATTTTAGATTCAGGGGATACATATGCAGTTTGTTAACATGGATATATTGTATGATGCTGAGGTTTAGGCTTCAATTGATCCTATCACCCAGATAGTAAATATAGAACCCAATAAATAGTTTTTCAACCCTCCTTCCCCTCTTTTGGAGTCTCCAGTGCCTATTGGTCCCACCTTTATATCTATGTGTACCCAGTGGTTAATTCCCACTTATAAGAGAGAACATAAGGCTGGGCATGGTGGCTCAAGCCTGTAATCCCAGCACTTTGGAAGGCCAAGGTGGGCAGATCACAAGGTCAAGAGATTGAGGCCATCCTGGCCAACATGGTGAAAAGCCATCTCTACTAAAAATACAAAAATTAGCTGGGTGTGGTGGCGCTTGCCTCTAACCCCAGCTACTTGGGAGGCTGAGGCAGAAGAATCACTTAAACCCATGAGGCAGAGGTTGCAGTGAGCCGAGATCATGCCACTGCACTCCAGCCTGGTGACAGAGTGAAACTCTGTCTCAAAAAAAAAAAAAAAAAAAAAGAGAGAGAGAAAGAACATACAATATTTGGTTTCCTATTTTTGTATTAATTCAGTTAGGATAATGACCTCTAACTGCATCCATGTTGCTGCAAAGGACATAATTTCATTCTTTTTTATGGCTGCATAGGATTCCATGATATATATGTACCATACTTTCTTTATCCAATCCACCACTGATGGGCACCTAGGTTGATTCCATATCTCTGCTATTGTGAACAGTGCTGCGATAAACACACAAGTGCATGTGTCTTATTGGTAAAACAATTTATTTCATTTGGATATGTATTATTTCATTTTGCATTGCTGTAAAGGAATACCTGAGCCTGGGTAACTTATAAGGAAAATAGGTTTATTTTGGCTAATAATTCTACAGACTACAAGAAGAATGGAGCCATGATCTGCTCTGGTGAGGGCCTCAGGAAGCTTAAAATCATGGCAAAAGGTGAAGGGGAAAAAGGTGCATCACATGGTGAGAGAGGAAGCAAGAGAGAGAGCCAAAGAAATGCTAGGCTTTTTTCAACCACCAGCTCTCATATGAACCAACAGAGCAAGAATTTACCCACAACCATGAGGGGGACACGTAGACATTCATGAGAGATCTGCCATCATGACCAACACACCTCCCACCAGCCCTTAACTCCAACATTGGGTGGGGGGTGGTGGTCGTATTTCAGTAAAAAATTTGGAAGGGACAAATATCCAAATGATATCATGTATATACCTAGTAATGAGATTGCTGGGTAGAATGGTAATTCTATTTTTATTTCTTTGAGAAATCTCAAAACTGCTTTCCACAGGAGCTAAACCAATTTACCATCCCACTAACAGTGTATAAGCATTCCCTTTTCTCTGCAACTTTGCCAACATCTTTTACTTTTTGACTTTTTATTAATAGCCAATCTGACCTATATGAAATAGTATCTCATTGTGGTTTTGATTTACATTTCTCTGGTATTAGTGATGTTGAGCATTTTTTAAAATACATTTGATGGCTGCATGTATGCCTTCCTTTAAGAAATGTCTGTTCATGACTTTTGCCTACTTTTTTTTTTTTTAATTTTTATTTTTTTTTATTGATCATTCTTGGGTGTTTCTCGCAGAGGGGGATTTGGCAGGGTCATAGGACAATAGTGGAGGGAAGGTCGGCAGATAAACAAGTGAACAAAGGTCTCTGGTTTTCCTAGGCAGAGGACCCTGCGGCCTTCCGCAGTGTTTGTGTCCCTGGGTACTTGAGATTAGGGAGTGGTGATGATTCTTAACAAGCATGCTGCCTTCAAGCATCTGTTTAACAAAGCACATCTTGCACCGCCCTTAATCCATTTAACCCTGAGTGGACACAGCACATGTTTCAGAGAGCACAGGGTTGGGGGTAAGGTCACCGATCAACAGGATCCCAATGCAGAAGAATTTATTTTAGTACAGAACAAAATGAAAAGTCTCCCATGTCTACTTCTTTCTACACAGACACGGCAACCATCCGATTTCTCAATCTTTTCCCCACCTTTCCCCCCTTTCTATTCCACAAAACCGCCATTGTCATCCCGGCCTGTTCTCAATGAGCTGTTGGGTACACCTCCCAGACGGGGTGGTGGCCGGGCAGAGGGGCTCCTCACTTCCCAGAAGGGGCGGCCGGGCAGAGGCGCCCCTCACCTCCCGGACGGGGCGGCTGGCCGGGCGGGGGGCTGACCCCCCCCACCTCCCTCCCGGACGGAGCGGCTGGCCGGGCAGAGGGGCGCCTCACTTCCTAGTAGGGGCGGCCGGGCAGAGGCGCCCCTCACCTCCCGGACGGGGCGGCTGGCCGGGCGGGGGGCTGACCCCCCCCACCTCCCTCCCGGACAGGGCGGCTGGCCGGGCGGGGGGCTGACCCCCCCACCTCCCTCCCAGACGGGGCGGCTGGCCGGGCGGGGGGCTGACCCCCCCACCTCCCTCCCGGACGGGGCGTCTGGCCGGGCGGGGGGCTGACCCCCCCACCTCCCTCCCAGACGGGGCGGCTGGCCGGGCAGAGGGGCTCCTCACTTCCCAGTAGGGGCGGCTGGGCAGAGGCGCCCCTCACCTCCCGGACGGGGTGGCTGGCCGGGCGGGGGGCTGACCCCCCCACCTCCCTCCCGGACAGTGCGGCTGGCCGGGCGGGGGGCTGACCCCCCCCACCTCCCTCCCGGACGGGGCGGCTGGCCGGGTGGGGTGCTGATCCCCGCACCTCCCTCCCGGACGGGGCGGCTGGCCAGGCGGGGGGCTGAGCCCCCCACCTCCCTCCCGGACGGGGTGGCTGGCCCGGCAGAGGGGCTCCTCACTTCCCAGTAGGGGCGCTGGGCAGAGGCGCCCCTCACCTCCCGGATGGGGCGGCTGGCCGGGTGGGGGGCTGACCCCCCCACCTCCCTCCCGGAGGGGGCGGCTGGCCGGGCGGGGGGCTGAGCCCCCCACCTCCCTCCCGGACGGGGTGGCTGGCCCGGCAGAGGGGCTCCTCACTTCCCAGTAGGGGCGGCTGGGCAGAGGCGCCCCTCACCTCCCGGACGGGGCGGCTGGCCGGGTGGGGGGCTGACCCCCCCCACCTCCCTCCCGGACAGGGGGCTGACCTCCCCACCTCCCTCCCGGACGGGGCGGCTGCCGGGCGGAGACGCTCCTCACTTCCCAGACGGGGTGGCTGCCGGGCAGAGGGGCTCCTCACTTCTCAGACGGGGTGGCTGCCGGGCGGAGGGGCTCCTCACTTCTCAGACAGGGCGGTTGCTGGGCGGAGGGTCTCCTCACTTCTCAGACGGGGCGGCTGGGCAGAGACGCTCCTCACCTCCCAGACGGGGTCACAGCCGGGCAGAGGCGCTCCTCACATCCCAGACGGGGCGGCGGGGCAGAGGCGCTCCCCACATCCCAGACGATGGGCGGCCGGGCAGAGACGCTCCTCACTTCCCAGATGGGATGGCTGCAGGGAAGAGGCGCTCCTCACTTCCTAGATGGGATGGCGGCCGGGCAGAGACGCTCCTCACTTTCCAGACTGGGCAGCCAGGCAGAGGGGCTCCTCACGTCCCAGACGATGAGCGGCCAGGCAGAGACGCTCCTCACTTCCCAGACGGGGTGGCGGCCGGGCAGAGGCTGCAATATCGGCACTTTGGGAGGCCAAGGCAGGCGGCTGGGAGATGGAGGTTGTAGCGAGCTGAGATCACGCCACTGCACTCCAGCCTGGGCAACATTGAGCACTGAGTGAACCAGACTCCGTCTGCAATCCCGGCACCTCGGGAGGCCGAGGCTGGCGGATCACTCACGGTTAGGAGCTGGAGACCAGCCCGGCCAACACAGCGAAACCCCGTCTCCACCAAAAAAGTACGAAAACCAGTCAGGCGTGGTGGTGCGCGCCTGCAATCGCAGGCACTCGGCAGGCTGAGGCAGGAGAATCAGGCAGGGAGGTTGCAGTGAGCCGAGATGGCAGCAGTACAGTCCAGCTTCGGCTCGGCATCAGAGGGAGACCGTGGAAAGAGGGAGAGGGAGACCGAGAGGGAGAGGGGAGAGGGGAGAAGGGAGAGGGGAGAGGGGAGAGGGGAGAGGGGAGAGGGGAGAGGCGGTAGCCTTGCTTTCTTGCCTACTTTTTAATGGGGTTGTTTTTGCTTGTTGACTTGTTTCTGTTTCTTATACGTTCTGGGTTTCAGTCCTTTGTCAATTACAAAGTTTTCAAACATTTTCTTCCCATTTAGTAGGGTGTTTGTTTACTCTGTTGAGAGTTTCTCTTGCTTTGCAGAAGCTCTCTAGTTTAATTTGGTCTTGTCAGTTTTCGTTTGTGTTACATTTGCTTTTGAGGACTTAGTAATAAATTCTTTGCCTACGTCAATATCTAGAAGAGTATTTCCTAAGTTTTATTCTAGGACTGTCTTAGTTTGAGGTCTTACATTCAAGTCTTTAATCCATGTTGAGTTAATTTTTGTATATGGTGAGAAGTAGGAATCAACTTTCATTCTTCTGCATATGACTAGTTATGTTTCCCAGCACCATTTATTAAACAGGATGTCCTTTCCCCATTGCTTGTTTTTGTCAGCTTTGTCAAACATCATTTGGTTGTAGGTGTGTGGCCTTATTTCTGCATTCTCTATTCATTCCATTGGTCCATGCATCTATTTTTGTACCAGTCCCATGATATTTTGCTTACTGTAGCCTTGTAGTATAGTTTGAAGTCAGGTAATGTGATGCCTCCAGCTTTGTTCTTTCTGCTTAGGACTGCTTTGGTTATTTGGGTTCTTTTTAAATTCGTATGAGTTTTAGAATAGTCTTTTTTTCTGATTCTGTGAAAAAAGACTTGGTAGCTTGATAGGATTTGCATTGACTCTCTAGATTGCTTTGGTCAGTATGGACATTTTAATGATATTGATTCTTCCTATTCATGAGCATGGAATATTTTTCCATTTGTATCATCTCTGATTTCATTCAGCAGTATTTGGTAGTTCTCCTTAGAGATTTTTCATCTTATCAGTTAGATATATGTTTAGATATTTTTGTGGTCGTTTTAAATGGGATTGCATTTTTATTTGGTTTTCAGCTTGAATGTCATTGTGTGTAGGAATGCTACTAATTTTTGTACATTGATTTTATATACTTAAACTTGGCTAAAGTCGTTTGTCAGGTATATGAGTCCTTTGGAGAAACCTTTAAGGTTTTCTAGGTATAAAATTATGTCATCAGTGAAGAGAGAAAATTTGACTCCCTCTTTGGATGCCTTTTATGTCTTTCTCTTGCCTGATTTCTCTGGCTAGGACTTTCAGCACTATGTTGAAAAGGAGTGGTGAGACATTCTTGTATTATTTCACCTCTTGAGGGGAATGATTCCAGCTTTTGTCCATCCAGTATGATGTAGGCTTTGGCTTTTTCATAGATGGCTCTTATTGTTTTGAGGTATGTTCCTTTGATGCCTAGCTTGTTGAGAGTTTTTTGTTTTTTGTTTTTTTAAATGAAAGAAAATTGGATTTCATTGAATGCTTTTCCTATATCTATTGAGATGATAATTTAGTTTTTGTTTTGAATTTTCTTTGTGGTGAATCATATTTACTGATCTGCATATGTTGAACCATCTTTTCATCTCAGGAATAAATCCTACTTGATTATGGCAGGTTATCTCTTTGATGTGCTGCTCAATTCAGTTTGTAAGTATTTTCTGAGGCTTTTAGCATTTTTGATTTGGTTTTCAGCTTGAATGTTATTGTTGTATAGAAACGCTATTAACATTTGTACATTTATTTTGTATCCTGAAACTTAATTGTTTGTCAAGTCTAGGAGGCTTGGAGGAATCTTTAAGGTTTTCTAGGTATAGATACATATCATCAGAGAAGAGAGATTATTTGTCTTCATCTCTTCCTATTTGGATGCCTTTTCTTTCTTTCTGCTTCCCTTTCTTCTTGATTTTTCATCAGGGATATTGTTCTATCATTTTCTTTTTGTGTATGTCTTTGTCAGATTTTCGTATCAGAATGATATTGGTTTCACAGAATGAGTTAGGAAGGAATCCCTGCTCAAATTTTTAAAACAGTTTCAGTAGGATTAGTACCAGCTCTTCTTTGTATGTGGTAGAATTCAGCTGTGAAAGCATCTGGTCCAGAGATTTTTTTTTTTTTTTTTTTTGATGGTAGGTTTTTTATTACTGATTCAATTTTGTAAGTAACTGTTAGTCTGTTCAGGAATTCTATTTCTTCCTGCTTCAATCTTGGGAGGTTTTGTCTTTCTAGGAATTTTGGCATTTCCCTTAGATTTTCTAGTTTGCGTGTATAGAAATATTCACAGTAGTCTCTGAGGCTTTTCTGTATTTCTGCAGGATTAGTTGTAATGTCACCTTTGTCATTTCTGATTATACTTACTTGCATCTTTTCTCTTATTTTATTTCACTTTTGAGACGGAGTCTCACTCTGTTGCCCAGCCTGGAGTGCAGTGGCGCGATCTCGGCTCACTGCAACCTCCACCTCCTGGGTTCAAGTGATTCTCCTGCCTCAGCCTCCGGAGTAGCTAGGATTACAGGCCCATGCTACCATGCCCAGCTAATTTTTGTATTTTTAGTAGAGACAGGGTTTTACCATGTTGGCCAGGGTGGTCTCGAACTCCTGACCTCAAGTGATCCGCCAGCCTCGACCTCCCAAAGTGTTGGGATTACAGGCGTGAGCCACCATGCCAGAACTTCTCTCTCTTTTTTGAAAATCTAACTAGGGTGGGCCAGGCACAGTGGCTCACGCCTTAATCCCAGCACTTTGGGAGGCAGAGGCTGGTGGATCACCCGAGGTCAGGAGTTCGAGACCAGCCTGGCCAACATGGCGAAACCCGTCTCTACTAAAAAATACAAAAATTAGCTGGGTGTGGTGGCAGGCGCTTGTAATCCCAGCTACTCGGGAGGCTGAGGCAGGAAGAATTGCTTGAACTCTGTAGGCGGAGGTTGCAGTGAGCCGAGATCGCACCACTGTACTCCAGACTGGGCGACAGTGCGAGACTCTGCACCAAAAACAAACAAACAAAAAACAAAAAACCCCAAAAAACAAAACAACATCAACAACAAAAACTTCTAGCTAGGTCGGAGGTGGCAGGGACCGAGCGGGTGCCTCAGTCTCCTTCCCCTCCCCTCGCCTGGCCTCGTGGTCTTCTCCCAGCAGCCAGACAGGAACTATATAATCCCGGAAGTTCCGGGGCTTTGCTGTGTGGGATAACCAGCAATGGCGAGGCTGCAGCTCCCGGAACAACAGCCACAACATTAGGAGTAGGAGCGGCAGTTGCGGCGGCAGCAGCAGCGGCCTCCCCAAACCTGGTCCCCACAGTCACCACCCCATCCCCTGGGGCAGACGGAGGGGGCGGTGGCAGCGACGGCAGCAGCAGCAGCGACGGCAGTGACGGCTGGGCAGCCACGGCAGTGGCGGCGCAGCTGGACTAAACAGGTCACCTGCAGGTATTTTATGCATGGGGTTTGTAAGGACAGAGGTAACTGTGGATTCTCGCATGACCTCTCTGACAGTCCGTATGGTGTAGTGTGCAAGTATTTTCAGCAAGGGTACTGTGTTTATGGTGACCGCTGCAAATATGAACATAGCAAGCCATTGAACCAGGAAGAAGGAACTGCTGCAGAGCTAACTACAAAGTCATCCATTGCTGCTTCCTCAAGTCTCTCATCGATAGTTGAAATGAATACAAGCGAAGCTGAGTCAAGAAATTCAAACTTTGCAACTGTAGGAGCAGGTTCAGGGGACTGGGTGAATGCTATTGAGTTTGTTCCTGGGCAGCCCTACTGTGGTCCTACGGTACCTTCCTTCACTGAAGCACCCTTGCAGGGCCCAGTGACCAAGGAAGAATCAGAGAAAAAGCAAATTGCCATGGAAACAAAGAAGCAGCTGTGCCCCTTTGCTGCAGTGGGAGAGTGCTGATATGGGGAGAACTGTGTGTATCTCCACGGAGATTCATGTGACATGTATGGGCCACAGGTCCTGCATCCGATGGATACTGCCCAGAGATCACAGCGTATAAAATCGTGCATTGAGTCCCATGAGAAGGACATAGAGCTCTCATTTGCTGTGCAGCGCGGCAAGGACATGGTGTGTGGGATCTGCATGGAGGTGGTCTATGAGAAAGCCAACCCCAGCTAGCGCTGCTTTGTGGTCTTCTTCATCTGCAACCACACCTACTGTCTCAAGTGCATTTGCACGTGGAGGAGGGCTAAGCAATTTGAGAGCAAGATCATAAAGTCCTGCCCAGAATGCCAGATCACATCTAACTTAGTCATTCCAAGTGAGTACTGGGTTGAGGAGAAAGAAGAGAAGCAGAAACTCGTTCAGAAATACAAAGAGACAATGAGCAACAAGGCGTGCACGTATTTTGATGAAGGACATGGGAGCTGCCCATTTGGAGGGAACTGCTTTTACAAGCATGCGTAAAGAGGAGGAGAGAGGAGCCACGGAGACAGAAAGTGGGAACATTAAGCAGATATGGGGCCCAACAAAGGAACCACTTCTGGGAACTAATTGAAGAAAGAGAGAACAGCAACCCCTTTGACAGCAAAGAAGAGGTTGTCATCTTGGAGCTGGGTAAGATGTTGCTTATGCTTTTGGCTTCAGGTGGGGACGGCAAACTGACAGACTGAAGATCAGTGGGAATTGTTTCATGATGAGCTGGAAGATTTTTTATAACTTGGATCTATAGCAACCTTGTGTGGCATGTGATCTGGTCTGCTAACCCCAGACAGCAGCTGTCCCCTGTGGTGGTGTGGCAGTGCCTGTCTTCTCTCTGAGGCAAGCCTGTCAACTGCAGGTGCTGTCGTAAGAATTTCTACCCAGGGCCTGTCTGTCTTCTCAACCCCTCACCTTTCCCCGAGGAGTGTGTTGTTTTCCCTGTTGAAAAAAGTTACAAAAATAATTCTTAGTTTTTTGTAACACAAATTTAGCTGTCAGACAGTGTAGATGTGTTGCATCATATGTTTTCAACCAGATTGTGTTTACGGACTTTTCACACACTCATTTTGAGGACCCCAGGTTCAAAAGTAAAAGCAGTGGCCCTACTTTGGGATCCAAGAATAGGAGGGATGGGTGAAGGGACCTAAGTGGCCAATAGCCTTTTGCTCCAGACATGGGACATAGATCCTTGAGGTTTCTGGTGAAATCTGCACATCTGTGTTTTTGTATCTGTTCCCTACCCTGTAATCCCTACCACATGCACTTGTTCTGTGGTTTTGGTCTCTTGTTTAATTGCACACAAGTAATACTACTGGGTAACCAGAACCAGGTGTGAATGTGTTGAGATTTCTACTGTTTTGCATGATAGGAAAATTGAGAAAGAATACATATATAAGGTATAGAGGCGTAATGTCAATGGAAAGTTGGAAGTTGACTCCCAAGGGCTGACATGGTGTGTGTGAGTGTGGGTGTGTGATAAGCTTCTCATCCCTGCATAGATGCAGTATTCTTAGCCTTAGTAGAAAAACTTGGTTTAGTGGTTTAAGCCTTGTGTGGCAGATAGATCTTAAAGGACAAAGCAGTATATTGGTAGTTGTCAGTATAGCAGTGCTAGCTCTGTCTACATATAGATAAATAGGGTTAGCCATAAAGGTTAAAACTACCTGTTTATCCTATATATTAACAAAAACTGGGTCTTGGATACACAGTTGTATTTAATGTTTTACGATCTAGCCTTTCCAGTACAGGCATTTTCTGAAAAACCTTTGTCCTCATTTGGGGCATTTTGTTGTCGTATTTTTGTGTTTGCTTTTGTGGGTATTTGCCTTATTCCACCCCTGAACTTTCAGGTAGACAGATGTGATTCTAAACTCTGTTCTAAGGTGTTTATTGTAGTGGAGTAATGGGTTTGCAGTAATAAGTCATACTTTTCCATTGAAGGGAATCCGTAAGACCAGCTAAGGTTAAGTTGTTGGAGTAATTCGTTGATTGGAAATTTTACTTCTATGTTTTGTCACTCTGTTTCCTGAAAATGATTCAGGGATGCTCCTGGTTTGTCCATCTACTGCTTTGATTCCTTGGATCCCACCCATTCTTTCACTTTACGAAAAACAAATAATTGTTGCAGAGGTCTCTGTATTTTGGAGCTTCCCTTTTGTAAGAAGTGCTTTTCCCAAATGAAACAATTAAAAAGAAATCTAGCTAGCAGCCTATTAATCTTTTCTATCCTTTCAAAGAACAAAATTTTTATTTTGTTGATTTATTTATTTATTTTGCTATCCATTTTATTTAGTTCTGCTCTGATTTTAGTTATTTCTTTTCTCCTGCTAGCTTTGAGTTTAGTGCTTTTCTGAGTTTCTCGTCCCTTTAGGTGTTACATTAGGTTGTTAATTTGAGATCTTTCTATCTTCTTGATGTAGACAGTAAGCACTATACTTTTGCCACATCCTTGGGGTTTTGGTGTGTTGTGTCTCTATTATCATTTGTTTCAAAGATATTTTTTGATTTCTGCCTTAATTTTGTTATTTATCCTACAGTCATTCAGGAGCAAGTTATTTAGTTTTCATGTATCTGTATGGTTTTGACAGTTCCCGTCAGTATTGATTTATATTTTTATTCCACTGTGATCTGAGAAGATGCTTGCTATGATTTTGATATTTTTAAATTTGCTGAGACTTGCCTTTTGACTGCATATGTGGTCAATCTTAGAGTATGTTACATGTGGAAATGAGAAGAATGTATATTCTCTGGTTGTTGGGTGGAATATTCTGTAAATGTATATTAGGCCCAACTGGTCAAGTGTCAAATTTAAGTCCAGAATTTGTTAGTTTTCTGTCTTGATGATCTCTGTAATGCTTTCAGTGGGGTATGGAAGTCCCCCATAGTTACTGTGTGGCTGTCTAAGTCTTTTCCTAATATTAGTAGTGATTGTTTTATAAATCTGGGTGCTCCAATGTTGGGCGCGTATATATTTAGGATAGTTATGTTGGGAACAGGCCCCCCAAAATCTGGCCATAAACTGGCCCCAAAACTGGCCATAAACAAAATCTCTGCAGCACTGTGACATGTTCATGATGGCCGTGATGCCCACGCTGGAAGGTTGTGGGTTTACCGGAATGAGGGTGAGAAACACCTGGCCCACCCAGGGTGGAAAACCGCTTAAAGGTGTTCTTAAACCACAAACAATAGCATGAGCGATCTGTGCTTTAAGGACATGCTCCTGCTGCAGGTAACTAGCCAGACCCATCCCTTTATTTTGGCTCATCCCATTGTTTCCCATAAGAAATACTTTTAGTTAATCTATAATCTATAGAAACAATGCTTATCACTGGCTTACTGTTAATAAATACATGGGTAAATCTCTGTTTGAGGCTCTCAGCTCTGAAGGCTGTGAGACCCCTGATTTCCCACTCCAACTTCTATATTTCTGTGTGTGTGTCTTTAATTCCTCTAGCGCTGCTGGGTTAGGGTCTCCCCAGCTGAGCTGGTCTCAGGAAGTTAAATCTTGAATCACACACTTTATCATTATGTAATGCTGTTCTTTGTCCTTTTTTACTGTTGTTGATTTAAAGTCTGTTTTATGTGATACAAAAATAATAACCCCTGCTGTTTTTTTAATTTCTATTTGCATGATAGATCTTTCTCTATCCCTTTAAACTGTGCCTCTAGGTGTCATTACATGTGACATATGTCTCTTGAACACAGCAGAAGTTTGAGTCTTGTTTTCTTATCTAATTTGCCACTTTATGACTTTTAAGTGGAGGATTTAGGTCATTTACACTCAAGCTTCATATTGATATGTAAGGTTTTTTTCTTGTTGTGGTATTCTTAGCTAGTTGCTTTGTGGTCTTGATTGTGTAGTTGCTTTATGGGGTCTGTGGGCTATGTTCTTATGTGTGCTTTTGTGGTAACAAGTATTATTCTTTCGTTACCATGTTTAGAATTCCCTTAAGCATCTCTTGTAGGGCCAGTCTTGTTGTGATGAATTCTCTTAGTGATTGCTCATCTGGCAAAGATTTTATTTCTCCTTTGTTTATGAAGCTTAGTTTAGCAGGATATGAAATTCTTGGCTGGAATTTCTTTTCTTCAAGAATGTTGAAAATAGGCCCCTAATCTCTTCTGGCTTATATGGTTTCTGCTGAGAAGTCCACTGTTAGTCTGTTGGGATTCCCTTTACAGGTAATATGACTCTTTAGCTGCCTTTAAGATTTTTTATTTTGTGCTGACCTTGGAAACTGATGACTATGTGCCTTAGGGATAGTCATCTTGTATAGTATCTCGCAGGAGTTCTCTGTGTTTCTTTTATCTGCATGTGGACCTCTCTAGTAAGACTGGGGAAATTTTCCTGGGTTATATTCTCAAATATGTTTTCCAAGTTGTTTACTTTCTCCTCTTCTCTCTCAGGAATGCTAATGAATTGAAGGTTAGATCACCCTGCATAATCCCATATTTCTCAAAGGCTTTTCTAAAAAAATTGTATTTTAGGTACAGGGATACATGTGCAGGATTGTTATATAGGTAAATTGCACATCATGGAGGTTGAGAGTACACATTGTTTCATTACCCAAGTAATAAGCATAGTACCTGATAGGCAGTTTTTAATCCACAGCCTTCTCCCACCCTCCACTCTCAAGTAGGTGCTGGTGTCTCTTGTTCTCTTCTTTGTATTCGTATGTACTCAATGTTTAGCTCCCACTTATAATTGAGAACATGTGCTATTTGATTTTTTGCTCCTGCATTAGTTTGCTTAGGATAATGAGCTCCAGTTCCATTCATGTTGCTGCGAAGGGCATGCTCTTGTTCTTTTTTATGGCTGTGTGGTATGCCATGGTGTATACGTACCACATTTTTTTTATCCTGTCAACATTGTTAGGCATCTAGGTTGAATTCATGTCTTTGTGGTTGTGAATAGTGCTATGAGGAACATACACATTCATGTGTCTTTATGGTAGAACAGTTTATATTCCTTTGTGTATATGCCCAATAATGGGATTGCTGGGCCAAATGATAGTTCCATTTTAAGGTATTTGATAAATCTCTAGACTGCTTTCTACAATAACTGAACTAATTTACATTCCCACCAGCAGTGTATAAGCATCCTCATTTCTCTGCAACCTCACAAGCATCTGTGTTTTTTTTTAATAGCCTTTCTGACGGGTGTCAAACGTGGAATGTTTTACCATTTCATATCCCAAGCATGGAATGTTTTACCATTTCTTTGTGTCATCTCTGATTTGCTTCAGCAGTATTTTGTAGTTCTCCTTGTAGAGATCTTTAACCTCCCTGGTTAGCTGTATTCCTAGCCATTTTATTCTTTTGTAGCTGTTGTGAATGGGATTGTTTTCTTGATTTGGCTCTCAGCTTGGAGATTGTTGGTGTATAGATTATTAATAATAATTGTTTTAAATTTCTGATCATACAATTCCGACATCACTTCCATATCTGAGTGTGGTTTTGATGCTTGCTCTGTCTCTTTAAATTATGTATTTTGACCTTTATTATACCATGTAACTTTTTTTAACAGCTAGACAGAAGGTACTGGATAAAAAGAACCCTGGTAAGTGTTTTTTCAGTGATTTGATGGTAAAGCGTGGGGGGAAGGGAAGTGGTCCATGGTTCTATAAATTAGGTCTTAGCCTGTGCTTCTAAAATGTGAACCTCACCAATGCTTCTCAATCCTTTCTCCCCTGAGATAGGATGGCTAGAGTAATACTGAGTTTGATTTTTTTTCTTTCCTTATGTGGAAGCCTCCAAGGGGCTAGATTTGGGTATTTTCTTCTCCCAGGTCAGTTAGACTCTGATAAAATGCTAAAAGTTTAGGCTCTGGTAAGATAGTTTCTCTTTAGGGCAGGCCTTATTAAGAAAAATAAAATGCTCTGGCATATTTAAAAATGGTTTCCTTTTTCCTCTCCTTTTCAGAAGCATGGGATGATTTTTTCCCAATATTCACTGTGAGAATCTGTCAGGTAAAACTCGTCTGTGTTTCCCCATTATTAGACATATCTCCAGAGTTTTTTACTCCCAGACTTGTCCACTCGAAGCCTCCAGTAATTTCTCAATTACAGTTCAGGTTTTTCTACCCTGGTACTGGTACATGTTGAGGTTCTGCTTTGAGGTTTTTGCTCCAGTAAATTATGATTCTCTGTATTCATCTGTCTGTCTCTCTGATTTGGGGGACAGTAATTTTCCCTTTGATTTCACTTTTCTGACAGTTAAAAAGAGTTGCTTGCTTTTCAGTTTGATCAGCCTGTAACTTGTTGTTAAGGTGAAGTGACAACCTCCAAGCTCCTTACATGCCAAACAGAAGCTGGAAATTACCCATTCTCTTTTATGACCACATAGTACTCCACTGTATGTATGTATAATCTATGTCTAATCACTTTCCTATGTGTGCATTTAGGTTGTTTCTAATGCTTTGCAATTGAAACTATTCCACAATGAATAACCTTGATCATTTGCATTTTTACATTGTTGGAAATTTAATTTCTGGATAGATTTCTAAAATGAAATTTTTAGTTTAAAATGTAAGGGTATATGTAGCTTCATTAGGTATTATTGTTAAATTTATCTCTAGAAAAATTTTGACAATTTGCATTCCTGCTAGCAAAGGGTAAGAGAGGCTTTTTCCCCCTGGCCTCACCAACAGAATGTCTTTTTGTATTTTAAAATTTTTCCAGCTTGATAGGTGAGGAATGAAGAAAGTTTGAATATTTTTTGTATGTTGTAGGTCAATTTTTACATATTTATGTGAATTATCTATAAACTTTCCCCTATTTTTGTCTCAAGTATTTGGTACTTTGCCCCTCAATTGTGTGTTTGTGTGTGTGTGTATGTACATATGTAAGTATATGTGTGTGTGTATATATGTATAGTCACACACATATATATACATATGTATGTATAGTCACACATATATATACACATATATGTATATATAAAATGTATATTAGCCCTTTGTCTTTGGGATATGTTACAAATATGTTTTCCCCATTATCAGTTTTCCTTTGACTTATCTTCGTTTTCATACAAACAGTTTCTCTTTTATTTACTCAATTTTATCAATATTTTCTGCTATGACCTCCAAATTTTCATTCATATTTAGAATGTCTTTGTGTACATGAAACTTAAAGAGGATATGACCTATGTTTTCTTTTAGTATGTTGTCATTTTTTTTTCAGTTAGACCTCTAAATCATTTGGCATAAAGTGTTGTTTATATTATAAGATATAGAACTATTTTTTCTTTTTCCAAGTTTCTATGCAGTTGTCCCAGTGAAACAATAAAAATCCATTTTTTTCTAGTGATTTGATTTTCTTTAGTGATTTGATATGTGACTGTTATTATCTACTAAATATTCACATCTACTTAGACCTGTTTTTGGACTTTCTATTCTGTTATACTTATCTATTTGCGCTTCCATCTACCAGTATGTCACTCTTTTAATTATAGAGGCTTCCATGTATGTTTTATTGTTGATGATGATATTCCCTAGTCATATTGTCTCAGTTTATTTTATTATTTTATTTTTTCTTCAACTCACCTAGGTATAAATTATTTTATGTTTACATATCTAATGGACCCTAAATACCTACCACATTAAAAGTTGATTTTAGGATAAGTTCCTGACAGCATCTTGTTTTCTTGCCTTTGAGTCTTTTTTTTTTTTTTCATTGAAAGTAGAATGCAGCACAAAAAAAAATGGGTTCAATTTGGTTGGGTTTCAATTAATGAAAGTTTTGTTCTATCTGCTTAATGGGTTAATAAAAGCAACTTTAGCACTGGGAAAAAAATTATTTTTTTGTCTCAGTTTTTTGTATTCTTTCTTGCTTGTTTTCATATATGAACTTAAATATCAATTTTAATGATATTGCAAATTCTTGGCATTTTTATTAGGATTCCAGTTGTGTTTTAAATTTTTCCTCACACTTTTTGCATATTTCTCGTTAAATATACTTATAGGTAATCTTATTTAAAATTATTTTACATGAGATATTCTCTACTGTATTTTTTCAATCAATAACAGTTTATTTTAATTTTATCTCAGAAAGTTTCAACAACAAAAATTTTAACATGTGGTGTTAGAAAATATTTTCATAAGATCAAATTTATTGTAAACATGTGTTTACACTTTGTGTTGAAATCCATTTAAACTTGCATTTTACTTTATTTTTGATTTTTGAAACACCAATATTTTTATTTACTTATTTAAATTATTTTGTAAATTTCAACTTCTATTTTAGATTCAGGGGTACATATGTAGGTTTGTTACACTGGTATATTGCATGATACTGAGGTTTGGGGTTATGATTGATCTTATCACCCATGTAGTAAGCATAGTACCCAATAGGTAGTTTTTCAATTCTTCCACTCCTCCCTGCTCCCCCCTTATGGAGTCCCCAGTGTTTATTGTTCCATTTGTGTCCATGTCTCCCAAATCTTTAGCTCCTACTGATAAATGTGAAGATGGAGTATTTGGTTTTCTGTTCTTGTGTCAGTTCACTTTGGATAATGACCTCCAGCTGCGTCCATGTTGCTGCAGAGGACATGATTTCATTACTTTTTATGGTACATATTTTCCATGGTATATATGTACCACATTTTGTTTACCTAATCCACCATTAATGGGCATTTAAGCTAATTCTGTGTCTTTGCTATTGTGAATACTATTGCTATAAATATACAAGTGCATATGTCTTTTGGTGGAATGATTTATTTTCCTTTGGGTGTATACCCACCAATGGGATTGCTATGTTGAATTGGTAATTCTGTTTTAAGTCCTTTGAGAAATCTCCAAATTGCTTTCCACAGTGGCTGAACTAAATTACATTCTCACCAACAGTGTATAAGAGTTCCTTTTGCTCCACAGCCTCACCACCATCTATTATTTTTTGACTTTTTAATAATAGCCATTGCAATGGATGTGAGATGATATCTCATTAATTTGTATTTTTTTTCTTAAACTTTTATTTTAGGTTCAGAGGTACATGTGCAGGTTTCTTATATAGGCAAACTCACGTTTGCCTATAAAAGAAGAAACAGGAGTTTGTTGTACAGATTATTTTGTCACCCAGGTACTAAGCCTAGTACCCAATAGTTATATTTTTCTGATCCTCTCCCTCCTTCCAACCTCCACCCTCAAGGAGGCACCTGTGTCTGTTTTTTTTCCCTTTGTGTCCATGTATGTTCATCATTTAGCTCCCACTCATACGTGAGAACATGTGGTATTCAGTTTTCTGTTCCTGCATTAGTTTACTAAGGATGATGGCATTCAGCCCCAATTATCATTAATTGCAAAGGACATGATCTCATTATTTTTATGGCAGCATACTATTCCATGGTGTATATGTACCACATTTTCTTTATCCAGTCTACCATTGATGGGCATTTAGGTTGATTCCATGTCTTTGCTATTGTAAATATTGCTGCAGTGAACATACACATACTTGTGTCTTTATGATACAATGATTTATATTTTGGGTGGTATATACCCAGAAATGAGATTGCTGGGTCGAATGGTACTCCTGTTTTTAGTTCTTTAAGGAATTTCCACACTGCTTTCCACAATTGAACAAACTTACACTCCTGCCAACATTGTAGAAGTGTTTACTTTTTTCTACAACCTCACCAGCATCTGTTATTTTTTGACTTTTTAGTAATAGCCATTCTGACTGGTGTGAGATAGTATATCCTTGTGGTTTTGATTTTCATTTTGCTTATAATCAGTGATATTGAGCTTTTTCTTATGCTTGTTGGCTGCATGTATGTCTTTTTTTTTTTTTTTTTTTTTTGAGACAGCGTCTGGCTCTGTCGCCCAGGCTGGAGTGCAGTGGCGCGATCTCGGCTCACTGCAAGCTCCGCCTCCTGGGTTCACGCCATTCTCCTGCCTCAGCCTCTCAAGTAGCTGGGACTACAGGAGCCCGCCACCGCTCCCGGCTAATTTTTTGTATTTTTAGTAGAGACGGGGTTTCACTGTGTTAGCCAGGATGGTCTCGATCTCCTGACCTCATGATCCACCTGCCTCGGCCTCCCAAAGTGCTGGGATTACAGGCGTGAGCCACCACGCCCGGCCGCATGTAGGGCCCTTTTGAAAAGGGTCTATTCATATCCTTTGTGTACTTTGTGTGTGTGTGTGTGTGTGAGCAACAAGGCTGTTTATTTCACCTGGGTGCAGGCGGGCTGATTCAGAAAAAGGAGTCAGCCCCTTTGTGCACTTTTTAATGGGGTTGCCTCTTTTTTTCTTATAAATATGTTTAAGTTATTTATAGATGCTAGATATCAGGCATTTGTCAGATGCATAGTTTGCAAATATTTTCTCCCTTTGTGTAGTCTGTCTGCTTACTCTGTTGATAGTTTCTTTTGCTGTGAAGAAGCTCTTTAGTTTAATTAGATTCCATTTGCCAATTTTTGCTTTTGTTGCAATTGCTTTTGGTGTCTTTATCATGAAATCTTTACCAGTTACTATGTTCAGATTGGTATTGTGTAGGTTGTTTTTGAGGGTTTTTATAGTTTTGGGTTTTACATTTATTAATCCATCTTGAGTTGATTTTTGTATATGATGTAAGGAAGGGAACCAGCTTAAGTCTTCTGCATCTGGCTAGCCAGTAATCCCAGCACCATTTATTGAATGAGGAGTCCTTTCTCCATTGATTGTTTTTGTGAGCTTTGTCAAAGATCAGATGATTGTGGGTGTGCGGCCTTATTTCTGGACTGTCTATCCTGTTTCATTGGTCTATGTGTCTATGTGTCTGTTTTTGTACCAGTACCATGCTGTTTTGGTTACTGTAGACCTGTTGTATAGTTTGAAGTCAGCTAATGCGTTACTTCCACTTTTGCTCCTTTTGCTTAGGATTGCCTTGGTTATTCGTGCTCTTTTTTGGTTCCGTATGAACTTTAAAATAGTTTTCTCTAGTTTTGTGAAGAATGTCAATGGTAGATTTATAGAAATGGCATGGAATATGCAAATTGCTTTGGGTAGTGTGGTCATTTTAATGATATTGATTATTCCTATCCATGAGCATGAAATGTTTTTTTTTTTTGTTTGTGTCATCTCTGATTTCTTTGAGTAATGTTTGTAATTCTCATTGTAGAGATCTTTCACCTCCCTGGTTAACTGTATTCCTAGTTATTTTACTCTTTTTGTGGCAGTTGTGAATGGAATAGCATTCTTAATTTGGCTCTCCACTTGGCTCTTGTTGGTGTATAGGAATGCTAGTCACTTTTGTATTTTGATTTTGTATCCTGAAACTTGTTGAAGTTGTTTGTCAGGTTAAGGAGCTTTTGGGCTGAGACTATGAGGTTTTCTATATGTAGAATCATTTCATCTGCAAACAGGGATAGTTCAACTTCCTCTCTTCCTATTTGCATGCCTTTCATTTTTTTCTCTTGCCTAATTGCTGTTGCCAGGACTTATAATATTATGTTGAATAGGACTGGTGAGAGAGGGCATCCTTGTCTTGTTCAGGTTTTCAAGGGGGAATGCTTCCAGCTTTTGCCCATTTAGTATGATGTTGGCTGTGGGTTTGTCATAAATGACTTACTATTTTGAGGTATGTTCCTTCAATATGTAGTTTATTGAGAGTTTTTAACATGAAGGATGTTGAATTTTGTTAAAAGCATTTTCCACATCTACTGAGATAATCATGTGGTTTTTGTTTTTAGTTCTGTTAATGTGATGAATCACATTTGTTGATTAGTATATGTTGAAGCAACTGCATCCCAGGGATAAAGCATACTTGATCATGGTAGATTAGTTTTTTGGTGTGCTTCTGGATTTGATTTGCCAGTATTTTGTTGAGGATGTTTGCATCAATGTTCATTAAGGGTATTGGCCTGAAGTTTTCTTTTCTGTTGTGTCTTTGCCAGGTTTTGGTATCAGAATGATGCTGGTCTCAAAGAATGAGTTGGGGAAAAGTCCCTTCTCCTCAAGTTTTTGGAATAGTGTCAGTAGGAATTGTATCTGCTCATCTTTTTACATCTGGTAGAATTTGTTGTGAGTCCATCTGGTCCTGGGCTTTTTTTCTGGTTTTTAGGCTATTTATTACTGATTCAATCCTGGTTAGTGGTAACATCCCCTTTTTCATTTCTAATTCTGTCTGTTTGCATCTTCTCTCTTCTTTATTAGTCTAGCTAGCAGTGTATCTATATTACTGTTTTTTTTTTCAAATAAAAAACTCCTGGCTTTGTTAAACTTTTTAATGGTTTTTTGTGTCTTGATCTTCAGTTCAGCTCTGATTTTGGTTATTTCTTGTCTTCCACTAGCGTTGGGTTCAGTTTGTTCTTGCTTCTCTAGCTTTTCTTCTTGGGATGTTAGGTTGTCAATTTAAGATTTTCTAACTTTTTGATGTGAGTGTTAGTGCTGTAGATTTTCCTCTTAACACTGCCTTAGGTGTGACCCAGAGATTCCACTATGTTGTATTTTTGTTCTCATTAGTTTCAAAGAACTTTATTTCTGCCTTAATTTTATTATTTACCCAAAAGTCATTCAGAAGCAGGTTGTTTAATTTCTATATAATTGTATGGTTTTGAGCAATTTTCTTAGTCTTGTTTTCTACTTTTATTGTGCTGTGGTCCAAGAGAGGGGTCAAAATGATTTTAGTTATTTTACATTTGCTGATTGTTTTATGTTTGATTGTGTGGTCAATTTTAGAGTTTGTGCCATGTGGCATGAGAAGAATGTATATCCTGTTGTTTTGGGGTGGACAGTTCTGTAGATGTCTGTCAGGTCCATTTGGTCTAGTGTTGAGTTCAGGTCCTGCATATCTTTGTGAATTTTCTGCCTTGATGTATACTGTCTAGTACTGTCACTGGAGTGTTGATGTATCCAACTATTATTGTGTGGGAGTCTACATTTATTTGAAGGTCTCTAAGAGCTTGCTTTATGAATCTGGGTGCTCCTTTGTTGGGTGCATACATATTTGGGATAGTTAGGTCTTTGTCTTTTTTGATCCTTGTTGGTTTAAAGTCTGTATGAGATCAGGATTGCAACCTCTGCTTTTTTTTTCTGTTTTCCATTTGCTTGGTAGATTTCTCTTTTTTCCTTTATTTTGAGCCTGTTGGTGTCATTGCATGTGAGTTGTGTCTCTTGAAGATAACATAGTTTCGGGTCTTGCTTCTTTATCCAACTTGCTACTCTGTGCCATTCATTTGGGGTGTTTAGCTCATTTACATTCAAGGTTAGCATTAGGTATGTGTGGATTTGATCCTGTCATCATGTTGTTAGCTTCTTATTTTGCAGACTTATTTGTGTGATTGCTTTATCATGTCACTGGTCTGTGTACTTAAGTGTTTTTTTGTAGTGACTGGTAATGGTCTTTCCTTTCCATATTTAGTACTTCTTTTAGTAGTTCTTGTAAGGTAAGTTTGGTGGTAACAAATTTCTTCAGCATTTGCTTGTCTGAAAAGGATCTTACTTCTCCTTCATCTGTGAAGCTTAACTTAGCTGGATATGCAGTTCTTGGTTGGAATTTCTTATTTTTAAGAATGTTGAATATAGGCCCACAATCTCTTCTGGCTTTTAGGATTTCAGCTGAGAGGTCCACTGTTTGTCTGATGGACTTCCCTTTGTAGATGACCTGTCCTTTCTTTCTAGGTGCCTTTAACCTGTTTTTTTTCATTTCAACCTTGTAGAATCTGATGATTATGTGTCTTGTGGATGATCTGGTAAAGTATTTTGCGAGGGTTCTCTGCATTTCTTGAATTTGGATGTTGGCATATCTAGCTAGGTTGGGGAAGTTTTCACGGATCATATGCTAAAATAACGTTTTCCAGGTTGATTCCATTCTCCGTATCTCTTTCAGGGACACAAATGAGTTGTAGATTTGGTCTTTTTACATAATCCCGTATTTCTCAAAGATTTTCTTCATTCCTTTTTCTTTTTTTTTTTATTCTTGTCTGACTGTCTTATTTCAGAAAGCCAGTCTTTAAGCGCTGAGATATTTTCCTCTGCTTAGCCTATTCTACTGTTAATACTTGCGATTGCATTATGAAATTCCTGTAGTATGTTTTTCAGCAATATCAGGTTGGGTTATGTTCTTTTCTATACTGGCTATTTTGTCTGTCAGCTCCTGTATTATTTTATTGTGAGTCTTAGCTTCTTTGGATTGTGTTTCAATGTTCTTCTAAATCTTGATGATCTCCATTCCTATCTATATTCTGAATTCTGTTTTTGTCATTTCAGCCATCTCAACCTGGTTAAGAACCCTTTGTTGCAGAACTAATGTAGTCATTTGGAGGAAATAAGGCACTTTGGCTTTTTGAATCTTCAGAGTTCTTGTGCTGGTTCTTTCTCAACTTTGTAGACTGATGTTTCTACAGTCTTTAAGGTTGCTGGCTTGTGGATTTTTTTTTTCTTTTATCCTATTTGATCACCTTGGGGATTTGATTGTAGTACACCGTACATTCGGTTGACTGGCTTCATTACTTGAAGATTTTAGGGTGCCAAGGAAAACTTGGGACTCCTGGACTGTACGCTCTATCTCTGGGGGACTGATATCAGGCTCCAGCTTTGATCTCTGGCTCCTTGAGGTAAGGAACCTTCTGTGCTGGAGGGGCTGAGGTGTTCCCAGTTGCTGGTCACAATACTCCAATGGCTGGTACCAGCCAAAGCATTTTGCAGGGTGGTGGCAGTGGGATCGTCCTTGTTTGCATATGCTGGCAGCAGTGGCAGTAGCAACTCAACAGATTTCTTGCTCGTTGGTAATGGCAAGGTGGTAGCAGGCACAGGGGTGCTGGCCTCCATGTGGGCTTTTGCAGCCACAGTAGTGGCAGTATGGCTCATGGGCAGGGGCCCCTGCTGGGGACTGTGCAAGTATTTGTGACGGTGGTGGTGTTAACATGGGGGTGAGGTGCTGGTGGTTGCAGGACTGTGTGCACCTTCTGTGTGCATTCACGCTGGCACTGGTGGCTGCTCAGGGCTGGAGGTGGGTTAGCTGTTTTCTGTGCCTAGTTTTGTGTTGGCAGCCTCAGTGCAGAGTCAGGGCACTGGTGGGGGTGGGGCTGATGGGCTTCATGCCCACCAATGCTCCCATGACAGTGGCGGTGCAGGGGTGGGGAGTGGGTGAAATGTACTCACACCAGCAGCAGTGGCATGGCAAGGTGCATACACACACATGAACTGGTGGGGAAGGAAAGGAAAGACTAGGTCACCTCATGCAAACATGTGCTGGCAAAGTGATTGGATGGTGGGGATGGGCAAATACCTGGAGGCAAAATGGTATGTGGGAGAGTCTGCAGTTGAGGGATGGTACAGGTCAGCTGGTGTGTCCACTGGGGCTGCTCTGCTGGAGCACTCTGCTGTCAGGTGTGGTCTGCCAGTGCTGGAGCTATAGATGTGGCACCCCAGGAGGTACCTGGGGGCTGCACTGTAAGCAGGTGCGGCTAAGCTGGGGCCCTAGGAGAGGCCAGCAGACCAAGGAGTGCTCTGGTCGGACTAGCCCCATTTCATGGGCAAGACTGCCTTTCAGAGTTCAGGCCCAACAGTTCCTCTAGGGCTAATATCTATGGGAGCAAGTCAAGCCTAGGTGGATGGGTGTCCCTGGCCACAGTCCACTACAGATACTCTCACATCAAACCCTCTAGGCTCCATACTGGCTGGAGTTCTGCCTCTACCACTTCCCTAAGCAGCTTTCCCTGCCAGCCCAAGTTTCTGTGGTGGTCATGGGGTGTCCTCCTGCTGGGACTCCAGAGGCCTGTGCTGAGAGCAGGTTGTTCCTTGCCTGTTCAACTCATCCCCTCTGCAGGAGTTGTTAGGGGCCATGAATTAGTCCTGGTGCACAGTAGCTTGGTACAGGGTTCCCAGCTTCCTCCCCCTTTTGTCTTCCTCTTTGTCTTCCCTTCATCCACTCTCGATGCTTTCCCTCTGAAGATCTGCTAGGAGTGCACCAGTCTTCTCAAAGTCCTGGCCTGTCAGTGGGAGATGTTCCTCCTGGCTGCATTTAGACAGCCATCTTGGAGCAGGAATCTTTGTGCCTCCAATGGGCTAGTTTCCTCACCTTTTAATCCTCAGAATAGTGATTTTTTTCTTTGCTTTCCTTTCTAAAGTACTTCTGCTTTGGTGGGGCACTGTTTTTCCCTTTAATCTTCTTCCCTTCTTTCCTTTATGTAAGTCAAATGAATCTCCCATTTATCCTAAACAACCTCAGAGAGAGCCTAGTTTGTTCCTTTTGTTGTTGTTGTTCAACTTATTATTTTAGTAAAATCAGAATAAACACAGCACATGCACTGCTAGCATCTAAAACTAATAGAGTAAGCAGTTACTAAACTTACAGTGACTAGAGGTTCAATGATTACATTCAGCAATTCCATTCTTTATTTACTGAAAATATTGCTGGCTGATAAAACTGAATGTAAACGTTACTGATTATGGCAATACACAAAAATAACCATGTTTGAGGATTGCAAATATGCCAGACAATCACTGAAAACCAAACCAAACGAAACGCAAAACTAAACAAAACTCAGAGAACCTTTTGTGGATGTGGACACTTCATATCAGTGTTTAGAAGTGTTTCATTAATGTCTTATGACAAGTATATCAAAACCTTGGCATGTTTTAATTTCAAGTTGACAATTTTGTCTTAAATTTTCTCAGAAAATTACAGCTATATTGCCAATGCTGGATCTGCTTAATTTGACTCAAGTTTAATAAGACTTAACATTAAAAGCTCACACTACCCCGAAATACATTATTTCTCATATGGTGACATGCAACATTCAAGTACCAGTGTTTTTTGTCCTGTCTTTTGGTCAAGTTTCTTTAAACTTTCAAAGAATGATTTTTAAGCTTACAAAAATAAATATTTGTCAAAAATGTTTAACAAATATTACACAACTAGCAGCAAAAAGTATCTAAAATCTGTTGTGTGCAAATAGTTTTCTTCTCAACTATTATTCCATGCTCCCAAATTAAATTTTAGAATCTACTTCTTGACAAGCTGCATTCAACAATCTCCAAGAGACAAAACAACATTGGAAGTTTGGGGATATGCACACAAGACATACATATATAAAAGTCTCTGAATGTGCAGTAAAATAAGAATTTTGTAAAACATTATGGGTAAAATGTACAGGAGACGAAACCTATACTAAATAAAATAGCACCATAACAAATGGCCTCAATACTGTCAAGTGCACCTACTGATAAGTTTTAGAACAAGGCACAATACACCTGAAAATCGATTGCACTTTAAGAAATTTTTGCCAACTTATTATACCACTGTAAAGATTTGTTTCTAGCCACAAAATCTACAGAATTCCGAGTGGGAGAGGTATTTTTAGTAGTGGACAATCATACTTGGCCAAATTTAGCATAAGAGACTATAAATACAATGGAAACCTATGTAACTAAAATACGCTAAAACTGCACTATATACAACACACACCATGTGCAGCTTAGTACATATTTACAACCTGTGTAATCTCAACGATTTCTGTTATTCTTAGATTTACAAAGTCTGCATGTATAAGCCACTTTAACATTTCGATGCAGCTTTAACAGAGCAATATAAATCTGCATTAAGTTAAAGCCTGCTGCATAATCCTTCCTGTTCATACTCCTTTTTTTTTTTTTAATTTTACTTTAAGTTCTTGGATACTTGTGCTGAATGTGCAGGTTTGTTACATAGGTATACATGTGCCATGGTGGTTTGCTGCACCTATCAACTTGTCATCTAGGTTTTAAGCACTGCATGCATTAGATATTTGTCCCAGTGCTCTCCGTCCCGTTTATTCCCACCCCCTGACAGGCCCTGGTGTGTGATGTTCCCCTCCTTGTGCCCATGTGTTCTCATTGTTCACCTCTGACTTATGAGTGAGAAAATGCAGTGTTTAGTTTTCTGTTCCTGTGTTAGTTTGCTGAGGATGATGGTTTCCAACTTCATCCATGTCCCTGCAAAGGACATGAACTCATTGTTTTTATGGCTGCATAGTATTCCATGGTGTATATGTGCCATGTTTTCTTTATCCAGTCTATCATTGATGGACATTTGGTTGGCTCCAAGTCTTTGCTATTGTAAATAGTGCTGCAGTAAACATACATGTGCATGTGTCTTTATAGTCGAATGACTTATAATCTTTTGGGAATATACTCAGTAATGGGATTGCTGGGTCAAATGGTATTTTTGGTTCTAGATCCTTGAGGAATCACCACACAGTCTTCCACAATGGTTAAACTAATTTACACTCCCACCAACAGTGTAAAAGTGTTCCTATTTCTCTGCATCCTTGCCAGCATCTGTTGTCTCCAAACTTTTTAATGATTACCATTCTAACTGGCATGAGATGGTATCTCATTGTGATTTTGATTTGCATTTCTCTAATGACCAGTGATGATTAGCTTTTTTTCATGTTTGTTGGCTGCATAAATGTCTTCTTTTGAGAAGTGTCTGTTCATATCCTTTGCCCACTTTTTGATGGGGTTGTTTTTTTCTTGTAAATTTGTTTAAATTCCTTGTAGATTCTGGATATTAGACCTTAGTCAGCTGGATAGATTGCAAAGATTTTTCTCCCATTCTTCAGGTTACCTGTTCACTCTGATGCTAGTTTCTTTTGCTGAGCAGAAGCTCTTTTGTTTAATTGGATTCCATTTGTCAGTTTTGGCTTTTATTGCCATTGCTTTTGGTATTTTAGTCATGAAGTCTTTGCCCATGCCTATGTCCTGAATGTTATTGCCTAGGTTTTCTTCTATTGTTTTTATGGTTTTAGGTCTTACGTTTAAGTCTTTTTTTTTTTTTAGGTGGAGTTTCACTCTTGTTGTCCAGGCTGGAGTGCAATGGCGCCATCTCGGCTCCCCACAACCTCCGCCTCCTGGGCTCAAGGGATTCTCCTACCTCAGCCTCCCAAGTAGCAGGGATTACAGGCATCCACCACCACGCCAGGCTAATTTTGTATTTTTAATAGAGACGGGGTTTCTGCATGTTGGTCAGGCTGGCCTTGAACTCCTGACCTCAGGTGATCCACCCGCATCAGCCTCCCAAAGTGCTGGGATTACAGGTATGAGCCTCCGCGCCCAGCCACGTTTAAGTCTTTAATCCATCTTGAGTTAATTTTTGTATAAGGTGTAAGGAAGGGGTCCAGATTCTCTTTTCTGCATATGGCTAGCCAGTTTTCCAAGCACCATTTATTAAATAGGGAATCATTTCCCCATTGCTTGTTTTTGTCAGATTTGTCAAAGATCAGATGGTTGTAGATGGTGGTGTTATTTCTGAGGCCTCTGTTCTGTTCCATTGGTCTATATGTCTGTTTTGGTACCAGTACCATGCTGTTTTGGTTACTATAGCCTTGTAGTATAGTTTGAAGTCAGATAGAGTGCTGCCTCTAGCTTTGTTCTTTTTGGTCAGGATTGTGTTGGCTATATGAGCTTTTATTTGGTTCCATATGAAATTTAAAGCAGTTTTTTCTAGTTCTGTGAAGGAAGTCACTGGTAGCTTGATAGGAATAGCATTGAATTTATAAATTACTTTGGGCACTATGGCCACTTTCACGATATTGATTCTTCCTATCCATGAGCATGAAATGTTTTTCCATTTGTTCATTTCCTGTCTTACTTCCTTGAGGAGTGGTTTGTAGTTCTCCTCAAAGAGGTCCTTCACGTCCCTTGTAAGTTGTATTCATAGGTATTTTATTTCTTTGTAGCAATTTTGAATGGGAGTTCACTGATGATTTGGCTCTCTGCTTGTCTATTATTGGTGTATAGGAATGCTTATGATTTTTCCACATTGATTTTGTATCCTGAGACTTTGCTTAAGTTGCTTATCTGCTTAAGGAGTTTTTGGACTGAGATGATGGGGTTTTCTAAATATATAATCATGTCATCTGCAAACAGAGACAATGTGACTTCCTCTCTTCCTATTTGAATACCCTTTATTTTTGTCTTGCCTGATTTCCCTGTCCAGAACTTCCAATACTATGTTGAATAGAAGTGGTGAGAGAGGGCATCCTTGTCTTGTGCCAGTTTCCAAAGGGAATGCTTTCAGCTTTTGTCCATTCAGTATGATATTGGCTATGGGTTTGTCATAAATAGCTCTTATTATTTTGAGATATGTTCCATGAATACCTAGTTGAGAGTTTTTAGCATGAAGGGATGTTGAATTTTACCGAAGGCCTTTTCTGCATCGATTGAGAAATCATGTGGGTTTTGTCATTGATTCTGTTTATGTGATGGATTACATTTATTGATTTGTGTATGTTGAACCAGCCTTGCATCCCAGAGATGAAGCCAACTTGATCGTGGTGGATAAGTGTTTTGATGTGCTGCTGGATTCAGTCTGCCAGTATTTTATTGAGGATTTTCGTATCGATGTTCATCAGGGATATTGGCCTGAAATTTTTGTTGTTGTTGTGTCTCTGCCAGGATTTGATTTCAGGATGATGCTGGTCTCATAAAATGAGTTAGGGAGGAGTCTCTCTTTTTCTATTGTTTGGAATAGTTCCAGAAAGAATGATACCAGCTTCTCTTTGTACCTCAGTACCTCTGGTAGAATTTGGCTGTGAATCCTAGTCCTCGGCTTTTTTTGGTTGGTAGGCTATTAATTACTGCCTCAATTTCAGAACTTGTTATTGGTCTATTCATGGATATGACTTCTACCTGGTTTAGTCTTGGGAGGGTGTATGTGTACAGGAATTTATCCATTTCTTCTAGCTTTTCTTGTTTATTTGTATAGAGATGTTTATAGTATTCTCTGATTGTAGTTTGTATTTCTGTGGGATCAGTGGTGATATCCCCTTTATAAATTTTTATTGTGTCTATTTTACTCTTCCCTCTTTTCTTCTTCATTAGTCTGGCTAGCGGTCTATTTTGTTAATCTTTTCAAGAAACCAGTTCCTGGGTTCATTGATTTTTTGAAGGGTTTTTTGTGTCTCTATCACCTTCAGTTCTGCTCTGATCTTAGTTATTTCTTGTCTTCTGCTAGCTTTTGAATTTGTTTGCTCTTGCTTCTCTAGTTCTTTTAATTGTGATGTTAGGGCTCTGTGAGAGTGGGACCCACTGAGAGTCACCATTTGGTTTCCTGGCTTTAGCCGCCTTTCCAGTGGAGTGAATGGTTTTGTCTTGCTGGGGTTCCAGGTGCCACTGGGGTAAGAAAAAAAAACTTCTGCAGCTAGCTTGGTGTCTGCCTGAACAGCCACCCAGTTTTGTGCTAGAAACCCAGGGCCCTGGTGGTGTAGGCACATAAGGGAATCTCCTGATCTGCAGATTGCAAGAACTGTGGAAAATGTGTAGTATCTGTGCCGGATAGCACAGTTCCTCATGGCTTTCCTTGGCTGGGAAAGGGAGGCTCCCTGTTCCTTGCACTTCCCAGGTAAGGCAATGCCTCACCCTGCTTCTGCTTGCCCTGCATGGGCTGCACCCACTGCCTAACCAGTCCCAGTGCGATGAACAGGGTACCTCAGTTGGAAATGCAGAAACCACCTGCCTTCTGTATTGGTCTGGCTGGGAGCCACAGACCAGAGCTGTTTCTATTCGACCATCTTGCCAGATCCTACCTCTCCCCCTTTTTTTTTCATACTTCTTTTTCACCAGAAAACATCAACCCTAGCATGTATTGAAGACCAGAATCCGACCAGGCCTGTGGTGAGAACTGGTCATTGCCATTGTCAGCCATTCTAACATTTCAAATTTGTTTGTGGCAGGTATTGAAAAAGCTAATTAAATGAAATCGCCCCCAAACTTTTTTTTTTTTTTTTTCGAGATGGAGTCTCACTCTGTCACCCAGGCTGCAGTGCAGTGGCATGATCTAGGCTCACTGCAACCTCTGCCTCCTGGGTTCAAGCAATTCTCTTGCCTCAGCCTCCTGAGTAGCTGGGACTATAGGCACATGCCACCATGCCTGGCTAATTTTTGTATTTTTAGTAGAGAAGTGGTTTCACTATGTTAGCTACGATGGTCTTGATCTCCTGACCTCGTGATCCACCTGCTTTGACCTCCCAAAGTGCTGGATTACAGTTGTGAGACACCGTGCCCAGCCCATTTGTCTAGCTTAGAATAAATTGCCTATACGTTAAATGTGAAATTGCTATATTTACTTGAATTAACTTCAAAGAGTGCTTTCAAAAATGTTAATGGGTATATTGATACATCCCACCTCATCATGATTGGACTGGTTTATTTAAAGAGTATAAGGTTCTAAATGCCTATCCAGGATAGAGTGAGCAAGTTCAAGCTTAACTTAGTAGAGGTTGGCCACATAAGAAACTATGTTTTAATGCTTTAAGATGTTCTCCCAGCCCCCAAGTCTGCAAGAATCAAACAGTCCTAATGCAGGCTACTGCCTAAGGGTATTTTTCCTTCTTATATTTATGGGTGAATTGATGATTCCTGTTAAAGTTGTGTCACACCTGTATGCCAAGGTTTGATTTTAGCCAAAGTTTAGTAAATTTATTTTGTCAAAACAATTGGTATCTTGAGCATTGCTGAGCCAACAGGACATCAAAGTAACAAGTTGTCTAAAGTTAATGTTACAGTACATTAACAAACCAATGATCCTCAGTCACAAAATTATAAATGCAGCTTAGGGTGGGACTAAAGTAGGAGGGGAGAGTTAAACCCAAACTACAGCAATTAAGTCCTGAAACCAACTTCTGAATAGGGCTGCT
The DNA here is from genome assembly GCF_000001405.40 of Homo sapiens. Lineage (NCBI taxonomy): Eukaryota > Metazoa > Chordata > Mammalia > Primates > Hominidae > Homo > Homo sapiens. The sequence continues at coordinate 74,139,223 of NC_000023.11, read as the reverse complement.
GATTATTCCTTTCATTTCTTCTTGTGACTTTTATAAGAGTTAAAGAAAGAGGAAAGAAACATTAAATGTGGCTGGCAGTTAGAGACAGGTTTACTTTAGATAAAACCTGAGAGGGGCTTCTGGCTGATTTCAGTCAGGAGTGCTTTTTCTTATAGACTAAGAGTATATATTGGTTTTAGGGTGAGGGGCTTATTACAGTCTTGGAATGTTTCTGTGTGAGAGAAGTTCTATGGCAGGGTTGGAATGTCTCTGGGAGGAGGGGAAGTTATCTTGGAGCAGACATCTTTCTGGCCAGAGAGTGGTTATCTTGAGGCTGGCATCTTCCTGACCAGAGGGGACTTACCTTGGGGCTAGCATGTCTGTGGTTGGGGAGGAGTTTGGGATGTTTCTGGTTGGAGATGTTATTGTGGTTTATGGTTGCACTGACCTTAGCCATTAGGCTGATGACCTTTGGATTTAGGCAATTTTTTATTAAGGTGAACTTTAGAATGAGGGGCTTATCCATGATGGCAATGCTCCTGCTCTGTCGACTTTGAGCTCCCTTGAATTTTCAGGAGTTATCACAGCTGGTAATGTACTGCAATTTCTTGAAGTTACATGATCTAGTCTGGCTAAGTTACATGTGGTTCCCATATTAGCTTGTTTGCAAGGGTGACTTTGCTGCAAAGCAGATTCTGTTGCCCCACCAGTGAGCCCTTTTGGAGTGATACAGCTCCAATGACTGGAGGAACATCAGGGTCCTTAGTCTCGTGCCAATTTAGATAAAATGACACAGACACACATGGAGTGGTTTTAAGGAGCAGAGAGTTTAATAGGCAAGAAAGAAGGAAGGAAGAAGAAAACAGCTCCCCCTATACAGAGACAGAGGGTGTATTCAAACAAAGAGAAAAACCCCAAGTGCAGCAGAAAGTGGCTGCTTATATGAGGAGGCTGGAGGAGGTGGTATCTGATTTGCATAGGGCTCAGGGGATTGGTTTGACCAGGCATATCATTCATGTAGCCCACAAATAAACTGGCCCTCCCACCCTAGCCTTTTAATATGCAAATGCAGGGCACCATGATGTTCTAACACATGGGGATATGTGGGGGCGGCCATGTTGCCAGGCACATGTGGAGGCAAGGGCAAGAAGAAGACGGTAGGAATCGCCATGTTTGGGTGGACCCAGTTTCTAATGGCCAGCATTTGCATATCAAAGATTGCTGGCCCAGCTTTAAGAGCTGGGGCTTTCCTGCTAGACAAGAAACATTTCTGCAGCTACTTTAAAAGAAACAAAAATTTCCCAAGGACCCCTTTTGCTCTCTATCTGCCTAAGATAATTTCTTAATAACTCCTATAACATTTCCCCCCTGTGGAGACGTCACCCCAACTGCTGTTAGGTGGTTTTGGGCAATGACTCTTTCTGGCTACTTCCTGCTTGAAAAGGGGCATCAAATGGGGAACAGAAGTCAGGGCTCCTCCTGGGGTTGGTCTAAGGGTCCTCAGAAGAATGGCGTATCCATGCGTAGTTCAGTCAGCAGCACCAGTTGGAGTTTGATTGCTTCTAGGCTAGAGGACACAATTTGAGCTATAGTATTGAGTATACAGGGTCCAAATATTAATACAAGACATATAAGCAAGAGAGGGCTTAATAAAGGGGTTAGTCAATTCCATAAAGAAGACTGGAATTCATTAAAGAGGGATTGTAGCCACCTGGGGCTGAAGCCTGCATTTTCCCTGAGCCTGTCAATAATTTTGATTTGATCTTCAAGTACCTGTAGATTTTCCTGTACTTTACTAGAGGTGTTAATCCAGAAGCAGCATGTTTCATTTAAAAGTGCACAGGTACCTCCTACTTCAGCTGTAAGGACATCTAAGGCCCATCTATTCTGTGCTACTACTGAGGCTAAAGAGTCTATGGGTGGTGTGCTTCTGTGGCTCCTACTGTTGCCTTCCATCCTTGTTGCATCATAATGGCAAGGAGAGGAATACCAGCAAACCAGAAGAGGCCTTTGGTTATAGAATTCCCCACTCATGGTCTAAGATGTTATCGTCATGTGTTTGCCCTCTCCAACCATCTCTTTCAGTTAAATCTCCATATGAGGGCATGGAAACGATAGATCTCTTTGTTCGGTATGTCCAAGATAGTGCACTTTCTAAAAAGGAGCCTAGGTTAGGGATGTCTCCAGATGATGCGGCCATATCAGAGGAATTTAAAAATAATAAGTTGGAGATCATTGCTACTATAGTGTAGTTTCTTAGTGTTATTGAACTGAGCAAACCGCTCAGGACAGATCCAGCAATTAGTCTTATTACAAATGGGCCATGGCTGATATTGTAGGAGCTAAAGGGTATGATGTATTACTAAACCCAATAAAAAGTCCTAGCAGACTCAGCTGGAGAATTTCCCTTTGGAGATCTATGAAGTTCTTTGGTTTTATTTTCCCAAACAAAGAAACCTCTGGGTTATGGGCACCCTATTCACTTTCATTGCCTGGCAGAATTTGCAGGATAATTGCCCAGAACTAGAATATTGATCCAGATATTTATGTTACCCATCCCTTTTTGTTTCTTCCAAGCTGCAGGAGATTGCCACTTGATTCACAGGAATAAGCAGGGTTAGTCTAAAATGTAGGCAAAATCTTAAAAAAAATGAATGAGACTAGGATTTAATGACAAATGTATGGTAAGCTTTGGAGAACAATTTCTCTCTCCAGTCCTCATTTTTGGTAAAAACAAATTATGATAAGACCGTGTGTGTTGTTCATAGAATAAACTTTAGTTTCATACTTGGCCTGATTATTTGCATAAAGTGCAGCAAAGCAAGAATGGTTATTTCTACATAGGCCTTTTGGATTGGCCTTGATAGAACTCTGTTCCACAAGGAATCTCTGATAAGACCTTTAAAGCCAAGCTCAGCCATGGGTTTGTATCCTCAAATACCTGTGAGTTGGGTGATCCTCTCCTCTTGAGGTCCTAAGATAAACTTGGAGCTCCTGGACCTGTTAGAAAGTGACATTCTTTACTGACCACAGGTTAAGAACACTGTGTGGGGACTGTGTAGACAGTGCACAAGGCCACTTCTCCCCAAGGAGCTTTTATTGGCTCTGCATGTCAAGCTTGATTCCTTAAAAGGAAACATACCCTTTCAGTCAAAGCCTTGGTAAAATAACCAGATTTTCCAATTGTGTCCTGTTGAAAAAGAAAAATGGATCCTTATTGCACTGATGCAAACAACTATATTGCCATAAGCTAAGAGTACTCACAGATAGTTTCCAAATTCTAGAGGAACCAGGCAGACAAAAACAAACATGCTTGAAATTTTGTTCACATGAATATACCTTATTCAATTATTAAAGGTGGTAAATAGTTCAAAATAAGTTTCCTTGACTCTGAAAATCAAAACAAGGATTAGCAATATTCCAAGCAACAGTCAAAAAGGTTGCTTTAACTTAGAGTGCAGTCCTTTTAGTTAACTCGTTTTGCTTGATATTTGTGAACATGTCAGTTCTTTATGAGTCCCATATGTTCTTTCTTTCAATGTTACAATCTTTAAAACTATTAAAAACCTGCATTTGAGAATACCTGTTAAAATCCTTAATATAACTTGATTATAAACTGTAAAATACCATAATATCCTTTTGAGTCTAATTAATGTTTACACATTTTGCAAGATTAATATTTTCAATCTTTCTATAACTTGCTTAAACCTCTAGCCCTATCTTATCAAATTTAACATAATCCCTCATCCCAGGGCAAAATTTACATTGCCCTGCTTTCTTATAATATTTTACTGAAAAAAAAAACCCACATTTTACTGTTTTTATATGCCTTGCATGTAAAACTATTTGGTGATCTCAAATACATGTTGCACTGTTAACTTTTAACAACTTTTCTTTTTGGTGAAAAACCTGGTTGGTAAGTGATTTTAATTACGTACAAAGTGTGGATCGTAGGACCCAGACAGAAGTGCAGATAAAGTCTGACTTTTCAGCATCTAGCTCCATGTGTCCCAGGCCTTACTTATCTGTAAAGCAGGCAGTGTACAACCTTGAAACATCTAGCAAACCTAGTATCTAAGTTGTATGATTTACACCACCTTTTTGCATTTTGATGACACTTGCATTTTACCAATAATCCTTGACTATTTTTATTTCTTAAAGTCATGTGAACTAAAAAGTATTTGATTTAAGACACTTATTTTTCTTTAAGCCAATCAATTAGAGCTCTTTTTATAGACATTGCACACAACACATATACAGCAACGTGAACAGACAAAAGATTCAACACTTGTAAGATTTTTTATTTGCCAGTTTCTTAATTGGATTACTGGCTTCAGGGTGGAGCCCTTGGATGAACAGGGTCAGGTAGCATGCATTAAGACTGGTAAGACAAAAAATGGAGAAAAGTAATTCAGTTGACTGATAAGAAAAGAGCCTTTTCCTAGAAAAACAAGATCCAATAAGAGAAAAACATAAAGGCCTTTAAAATATACTTATAACTTGAATATCCACTTTTAATTAAGCTGAGCATGCTTTAAGAAAATCCTTTGAACTCCCTTGTTACTTGAGTTTAGCCAAGCCAAGCACTTAAGGTTTTCGGCTTTTGAACTTTACAAAAAGTAACGTCACAGGTGAAACCAACAAGCCTTAATTAGGTTATGACTTAATTGTGAGCATACAAGGTATTTTCAAAGGGGTGATAGGCAGCTTTTGAAACTGTCATTGCAAAATTTTGGGTCAGGCGTGGTGGCTCACACCTGTGATCCCAGCACTTTGGGAGGCTGAGGCGGGCGGATCACGAGGTCAGGAGGTCGAGACCATCCTGGCCAACATGGTGAAACCCCGTCTCTACCAAAAATACAAAAATTAGCCAGGCATGGTGGTGGGCGCCTTTAGTCCCAGCTACTCTGGAGGCTGAGGCAGGATAGAAGTGAGAATAGAAGCTTCCTCTTAGTCTCCTTCCTTTCTGTATGACCCAGAGTGGAGGAGAAGACATCGAGCATCCTCCAAGTGTCTCCCCTCCCTGGTTTCTGGATCCTGGCACCATGTTAAATATGCCCCCCATGGTTGCAGGCATGGTCCTCCAAGCCATGGAACCAGATGAGCTAAGTGATGGGGCCAACCACGCTTACCCATGCAGCCTTAGCTTATCTGCCTTGTATGATTTCCCTTTGACTTTCTAGAACCTGTGTGATTTGTCTGGCTCTCTGAAAAACAGATCTCTGAAGAGACTGTGTCACTTTTGGGCAAGGCTCCTTTAGTGGAGGCAATGTGCTAGATTACCTGCTATTACAGCCCATGCTAAAGCACTTACCCTTAAAAAAAGTGGTTCTGGTTAACTTCTGAATTTAAATTTCCCTTACTAATTAAGTACTGTTTTAATCAGAGACATAATAGGTGCCTTAAAAGAACGTAGGACCCGAATGGCCATTTTTCTACTGATGGGACAATATTGGGACTAAAATCTGGCTGCGGAAGACATCTTACTCCTAACTGCTAAAGGCAGAAAATTCCCATTTCCAGAAGAAGCATAGAGCCTGATTTTTAATGGTGTAAAAAGAAGCTGCAGTGTTACCATGAAAGAAAAAGGAAAAAAATGTGTCTCATGTAGAGGATTCCTATTTCCACTAGGTGGCGGTGTTAGCTTAGAAATACTATGTGCTTGCCAGAGACCTGGTAGCAAGTAACTTCACTGCAGAGCAATGGGGAAAACTGTTTCTAGAGGCATTTTCCTGATCTTGCCTAACAGGATTTCTTTCCTAGGCTGTAAAAATCCCTGCACATTTCAATCAGAGAAAGAGTAAGACGCCACAGATAGAGAAGGAAGAAGAGTTTTGCAACGGTATAGTTGAGGGTTCTCTGCCACACACCCAGAACAGGCTATTGGAGGCTGGGTCTGGTCCAGAGGCCTTTGAATCATGCCAGTATGTCCCCTGGCCAGAAATTCTCAGTTACCTCAGAACTTTTCCCAGCCTCAAGCGATGAAAAGAAACTAGTTCAAAACATGGCCAACATTCCCAGTACTCATGGGTATTGGGGGGTTCTCCATGTTCTCACCAGCAAGCCTCACATCTGAGTCTTTAGTACAGCAGCCAACGCTGTGTATGTACTAGGCTGATGCATGCCCGTTCCTAAAGAAATACAAATGCTTACTCATGACTTTTTGGATGAATATATCTTTTTGGCTGTAGGCAGAGTAGGCTCTACATCTGAGAATATCACACAGAAAGTAGTTTGGGTTTATCTATCTAATTTTATTTTAATATAGAGGCCAAGAGCACCTTGTGAATGATGCAACAGATTTTAAGCTCGCTCCCATACTTACCGCTCCAACAAAGGCTGTACCTCAGTTTCCTGGCCAATGGATCAAAATGATATGGCTCCGATGACTGGAGGAACACCAGCGTCCTTAGTCTTGTGTCAATTTAGATAAAATGACACAGACACATGTGGAGTCGTTTTAAGGAGCAGAGAGTTTAATAGACAAGAAAGAAGGAAGGAAGAAGAAAACAGCTTCCCCGTACAGAGACAGAAGGCAGGGGGATTCGAACAAAGAGAAAAACTCCAAGTGTGATAGAAAAGTGGCTGCTTATATGAGGAGGCTGGAGGACGTTTGTGTCTGATTTGGATAGGGCTCAGGGGATTGGTTTGACCAAGCATGTCATTCACGTAGCCTGAGAAAAAACTGGCCCTCCCACCCTAGCCTTTTAATATGCAAATGCAGGGCACCATGATATTTTACACATGTGTGGATATGTGGGGGTGGCCGTGTTGCCAGGCACATGTGGAGGCCAGGGCAAGAATAAGACTGCAGGAATTGCCATGTTTGGGTGGGCCCAGTTTCTAATGGCCGGTATTTGCATATCAAAGCTTGCTGGCCTAGCTTTCCTGCTAGACAAGAAATGTTTCTGGAGTTGCTCTAAAAGAAAAAAAAGAACTTCCCAAGGACCCCTTTTCTTATCTGCTTAAAATAATTTCTTAATAACTCTTTCTTTTTTTTTTTTTTTTTTTTTTTTTGAGACAGAGTCTTGTTCTGTCACCCAGGCTGGAGTGCAGTGGCACGATCTCGGCTCACTGCAACCTCCGCCTCCTGGGTTCACGTGATTCTCCTGCCTCAGCCTCCCAAATAGCTGGGATTACAGGTGCACAACACCACGCCTGGCTAATTTTTTGTGTATTTTTAGTAGAGATGGGGTTTCACTATGTTGGCCAGACTGGTCTCGAACTCCTGACCTCGTGATCCGCCTGCCTCAGCCTCCCAAAGTGCTGGGATTACAGGTGTGAGCCACCGCGCCCAGCTCTTAATAACTCTTATAACAAGAATTATAATTTCCTCCACATCCATCACTGTTGTAGAAGCCTCCATAGCTACCTCCACCACATCTGCTGCTGCTGCCATGACCACCTCCACCACTGCAGCTGCTGCTTGTATGACTACTACTGAAGCCAGAACTGCTGGAACCACTACTTTGTCAATAGTCTCTGGCACCAAATCCTCCACTGAATCTTTTAGATCATGCATGAATACCACCCTTGTAGTGGTGTTTATAAGCTTTATTTTCCAACCAAGCAGGCACTTCTTGTTTAGCTTCTATAAGAATATCCAACAAATCCTTTGTAATATTCATATTTCTTTAATTAAAGAATGAGGTGGCAAGACCCTGGATTCCCACACATCCTGTACAGCCAATACAAGGCACATATTCTTCAATATCACTTGGCAAATCAAAATTGAAGCATGTTTCACATTTGAAATGTCTAGTCTTCATGCTGCCACAGCTGTAGCCACTAGAATTGGGATTTTCCCCAAGCAAAACTGATGAAGGGCCTCCTTCTCGATCTCTCTGTGATTGGTCTCCATGAATACTAGTACAAGGATATACTTCATGGTATAAGAAATTCTCCAGAGAATCTTCTCCCTTTTTGGTCTCCACAAACACTAAAGTCAGTGAATCCTTCCCTGGTGCATTTAAGAGATCAAGCAGAAATGACCGTTTATCTGGCTCTTCCACCCAAACTACTTCCTGTGTGATAGTCTCAGAGGTAGAGCCTACTCTTCCTACAGCCAAAAAGATATATTCATCCAAAAAGTCACGAGCAAGCATCTGTATTTCGTTAGGAAAAGTAGCACTAAACATCATGATGTGATGAATGCCCTTCAGTGGCATAGTATCTTGTTCAAGTATAAGATGTATCTGAGGTCCAAATCCCATATCCAGCATCCTATCAGCTTCATCCAACACTAAGTATTTGCAGAAGTCTAATCCAATCTTTCCTCTTTCCATCAAATCCACTAGACCTCCTGGCGTGGCTACTAACAAGTGGCATCCATGTTCTAAGACCTGAATTTGCTGACCAATATCAGCATCACCATAAACTACACAAGGATGAACTCTAGGCTGGTATGAAAATTTTCTGACTTCCTCATATCTGTACAGCCAATTCTCTTGTTGGGGCTAAAACCCAGGAGATTGAGTATTGTTCATGGCATCCATACCTTCCATTTTCCTTCACAGCCTTCAAAGCTTTTCCTGGACCATCTATATATATCTGACTCAGTACGGGTAAAAGAAATGCTGCAGTTTTCCCAGACCCTGCTTGGGCACAAGACATTAAGTCTCTTTTTTTCCCCTAATAATAGGAATGGCATGTTTTGCAGTGGAGTAGGATGAGTATAGTAAGTAAGCTCTGTAAGGTCCTCTGAGCTGGCCGCACCATGGTCAAGCCATCGTGACATTCCCCCGCCCTTGTGATAATGTACTTTGTGATATTCCCCATCCTTGTGAAGGTAGTTTGTAACATTCCCCGCCCTTGTGACAATACACCCTCCCCGCCCTTGTTAATGTATTTGTAACATCCATCCCCTGCCTGCAAAAAATTGCTTCTGACTCCACTGCCTATCCCAAACCTATAAGAATAAATGATAATCCCACCACCCTTTGCTGACTCCTTTCTTGGATTCAGCCCACTTGCACCCAAGTGAATAAACAGCCTTGTTGCTTACACTAAGCCTGCTCAGGTGGTCTCTTATACGGACACACATAGTATTTGGTGCTGAAGACCCGGGACAGGGGAACTCCTTCAGGAGACTGGTCCCCTGTCCTCATGCTACCTCTGTGAGGAGATCCACCTACGACCTCAGGTCATCAGACCAGCCAGCCCAAGGACCATTTCACCAATTTCAAATCGGTAAGCAGTTATTTGCACTCGGGTAAGCAGTGTTTTTGCTCTCTACCTAACCTCTATTGCCTCCCTTCAATCTCTCTCCTTTCAATTTCAGTTTCTCTCCCTTCCTGGTAGAGACAAAAAGGAGACACACTTTATCTGTGCATTCAAAAACTCCGATGTTGGTCACGGACTTGGGAAGACAGTCTTCCCTTGGTGTCTGATCACCGTGGGGACACCTGTCTTGATCATTCACCCACATTCTCTTGGTGGCAGGTCAATTATGGGGATGCCTGCTTTGGCTGCTCACCCACATTACAGCCCAGGACTCAGTCAGGGATGCCTACGGGAAGCCTGTAGTTGCCACCTCCATTTCTCCGTGTCTCTACCTTCCTCTTTAAACTTACCTTCTCCACTATGGGCAACATTCTGCCATCCATTCCTCCCTCTTCCCCCTTAGCCTGTGTTCTTAAAAACCTAAAACCCCTTCGACTAACACCTGACCTAAAACCTAAACATCTTATTTTCTTCTGTAATACTGCTTGGCCCCAGTACAAACTCGACAATAGTTCCAAGTGGCTAGAGAATGGCACTTTTGATTTGTCTATCCTACAAGACCTAGATAATTTTTGTTGAAAAATGGGCAAATGGTCCGAGGTGCCTTATGTCCAGGCATTTTTTTACAATTCATTCCCTCCCTAGTCTCTGCTCCCAATGCCACTTGTCCCAGATTTTCCTTCTTTCTCTCCCATCCACTCCTCTTGTCTCCACCCCAAACTCAGAGTCCTCTGAATCCTCCTTTTCCACTGACCCCTCTTACCTCTCTTCTCCCCCGGCTGCTCCTTGCCAGGCTGAATCAGGTCCCAATTCTTCCATAGCCTCCGCTTCCCCACCCTATAACCCTTCTATTACCTTCCCTCCTCACACCTGGTCTGGCTTACAGTTTCGTTCCGTGACTAGGTCTCCCCCACCTGCCCAACAATTTCCTCTTAGAGAGGTGGCTGGAGCTGAAGGCATAGTCAGGGTACATGTGCCTTTTTCTCTATCAGACCTTTCCCAAATCAGTCAGCATTTTGGCTCTTTCTCATCAGACCCCAATAAATATATACAGGAATTCCAATATCTAACTCAGTCCTTCACTTTAACCTGGAGTGACTTAAATGTCATCCTGACCTCTACCCTCTCCCCAGATAAATGAGAAAGAGTTTATTCTCTAGCCCAGTCCTATGCAGACACCTGCCGGCTTCATAAGCCAGGCCTCCAAGAGGGCACTAGGGCAGTTCCCCGAGAGGATCCCCATTGGCAATACCACACAGACTCCCCAGGTATAGCTAGGTGAGATTACATGGTCTCCTGCCTAGTCTAGGGGCTCAAAAAGGCAGCATACAAAGCTGTTAATTATGACAAGCTAAAGGAAACTACCCAACGTGAAGATGAAAACCCAGCCCAGTTCATGGCCCACTTAGCAGCTACCCTTAGATGCTTTACAGCCTTAGACCCAGAGGGGCCAGAAGGCCGCCTTATCCTTAACATGCATTTTATGACCCAATCCACTCCTGACATTAGAAAAAAACTCCAAAAGTTGGATTCCGGCCCTCAAACCCCACAATAGGATTTAATCAACCTCACCTTCAAGGTGTTCAATAACAGAGAAGAAGCCGCCAAGTGGCAACGTATCTCTCAGTTATAGCTACTTGCCTCCACTGTAAGACAACCCACAACCACGTCTCCAGCATACAAAACCTTCGGAACATCCAAGCCACAGCTCCCAGGGGCTCCTTCAAAACCTCCCTGTGGACCTTGCTTCAAATGCCAAAAGCCTGGCCACTGGGCCTCGGAGTGCCAGCAGCCCAGGATTCCTCCTAAGTCGGGCCCTGTCTGTGCAGGCCCCCACTGGAAGTCAGACTGTCTGACTCACATCGCTGCCACTCCTAAAGCTCCTGGAGCTCAAACCCAACATTCCTTGGCCGACTCCTTCCCAGATCTCCTCGGCTTAGCAGCTGAATGTCGATGCTGCCTGATCGCCTCAGAAGCCCCCTGGACCATCACGGATGCCGAGCTTTGGGTAACTCTTACAGTGGATGGTAAGTCCATAACCTGTTTAATCGATACGGGAGCTACCCCCTCCACATTACCTTCTTTTCAAGGGCCTGTTTCCCTTGCCCCCGTAACTGTTGTGGGTATTGACGGCCAGGCTTCTAGACCCCTTAAAAGTCCCCAACTCTGGTGCCAACTTGGATAACATTCTTTTATGCACTCTTTTTTAGTTATCCCCACCTGCCCAGTTCCCTTATTAGGCCGAGACATTTTAACTAAATTATCTGCTTCCCTTGCTTCCCTGACTATTCCTGGACTACAGTCACACCTCATTGCTGCCCTTTTACCTGATTCAAGGCCTCCTTTGAATCCTCCTCTCATGTCTCCCTACCTTAATCCACAAGTATGGGATACCTCTACTCCCTCCTTGGTGACTGATCAGGTACCCCTTACCATCCCATTAAAACCTAGTCACTCTTACCCCGCTCAATGCCAGTACCCCATCCCACAACAGGCTTTAAGAGGACTAAAGCCTGTTATCACTCACCTGTTACAGCATGGCTTTTTAGAGCCTATAAATTCTCCTTACAACTCCCCTATCCTACCAGTCCAGAAGCTGGACAAATCTTACATGTTGGTTCAGGATCTTCACCTTATTACCCAAATTGTCTTACCTGTCCATACTGTGGTGCCAAACCCATATACTCTCCTATCCTCAATACCTCCCTCCACAACTCATTATTCCATCCTCGACCTCAAAGATGCTTTCTTCACTATTCCTTTGTACCCCTCATCCTAACCTTTTTTCGCTTTCACATGGACTGACCCTGACACCCACCAATCTCAGCAACTCACCTGGACTGTACTGCCACAAGGTTTCAGAGACAGCCCCCATTACTTTAGTCAAGCTCTTTCTCATGATCTACTTTCTTTCCATCCATCTGTTTCTCACCTTATTCAATATATGGACGACCTTCTCCTCTGCAGCTCCTCTTATTTATTTATTTTTTTTGAGATGGAGTCTTGCTCTGTTGCCCAGGCTGGAGTGCAGTGGCAAGATCTCGGCTCACTGCAAGCTCCACCTCCCAGGTTCAGGCCATTCTCCTGCCGCAGCCTCCCGAGTAGCTGGGACTACAGGTGCCCGCCACCATGCCCGGCTACTTTTTTTGTATTTTTAGTAGAGACAGGGTTTCACCATGTTAGCCAGGATGGTCTCGATCTCCTGACCTTGTGATCTGCCTGTCTCGGCCTCCCAAAGTGCTGGGATTACAGGCGTGAGCCACCACGCCTGGCCTGCAGCCCTTCTTATGAATCTTCCCAAAAAGATACCCTCCTGCTTCTTCAACATATATTCTCAAAGGGGTGTCATATATCCCCCTCTAAAGCCCAAATTTCTTCCCCATCCATTACCTATCTTGGCAGAGTCCTTCATCAAAGCACACATACTCTCCCTGCTAACTGTGTACAGCTAATCTCCAAAAACTCCAACCCCTTCTACAAAGCAACAACTCCTTTCCTTCCTAGGCATGGTTGGATACTTTCGCCTTTGGATACCAGGTTTTGCCATCCTAACTAAACCACTATATAAACTCACAAAGGGAAACCTGACTGACCCCATAGACCTAAGTCCTTTCCCCACTCTTCTTTTCATTCCTTAAAGACAACCCTAGAAACAGTCCCCACATTAGCACTCCCTAACTCGTCCCAATCCTTCTTATTACATATAGCTGAAATACAAGGCTGTGCGTTCAGAGTTTTTACACAGGATCCAGGCCCATGACCTGTAGCCTTCCTGTCCAAACAACTTAACCTCACAGTTCTAGGCTGGCCCTCATGTCTACGTGCAGCAGCAGCTGCCGCTTCAATACTTCTGGAGGACCTCAAGCTCACAAACCATGCCCCACTTACTCTCTACAGCTCTCATAACTTTCAACATCTATTTTCCTACTCACACTTGGTGTATATACTTTCCACCCCCTAACTCCTCCAACTCTACTCACAATTCATTGAAACTCCCACAATTACCATTGTTCCTGGCACAGACTTCACCCCATCCTCTCACCTTATACCCAGCACCAAACCTGAATCTCATGATTGTATCTCCCTAATCCATGTGGCATCCTCCCCATTTCCCCATATTTCCCTCTTTCCTGTTCCTAATCCAGACCACACTTGGTTTATTGATGGTAGTTCTTCAAGGCCCAATCATCAGTCACCAGCAAGGGCAGGCTATGCTGTAGTGTCTTCCACATCTGTCATTGAAGCTACTGCCTTGCCCCCTTCCACTACCTCTCAACAAGCCAAACTCATTGCTTTAAACTGGGCCCACACCCTTGCAAAGGGACTATGTGTCAATATCTACACTGATTCCAAGTATGCCTTCCACATCCTACATCACCATGCTGTTATATGGGCAGAAAGAGGTTTTCTCACTACACAAGGGTCCTCCATCATCAACTGCCTTTATAAAAATCCTCCTTAAGGCTGCTTTACTGCCCAAAGAAGCTGAAGTCATTCACTGCAAGGGGCATCAGAGGTCACCAGATCCCATTGCTTGAGGCAACACTTATGCTGATATGCAGCAAAAGAAGCAGCTAGTATTCCCACATCTGTCCCTCACAGCCAGTTTTCTTCCTTCTCATCTATCACTCCCACCTATTCTCCCACTGAAACTATTACCTATTAATCCATTCCTACTCATGAAACTATTACCTATTAATCCATTCCTACTCAAGGCAAATGGTTCTTGGATCAAGGAAAATTCCTCCTTCCTGCCTCACAGGCTCATTCTATCTTATCATCCTTTCAGAACCTCTTTCATGTGGGTTACAAGCCAATGGCCCATCTCTTAGAACCTCTCATTTCTTTTCCATCATGGAAATCCATCCTCAAGGAAATTACTTCTCAGTGTTCCATCTGCTACTCTACCACCACTCAGGGATATCTCACGCCCCCTCCCTTTCCTACACATCAAGCTAGAGGATTTGCCCCAACCCAGGACTGGCAGACTGACTTTACCCATATGCCCCAAGTCAAAAACTAAGGTACCTTTTGGTCTGGGTAGATACATTCACTGGATGGGTAGAGGCCTTTTCCACAGGGTCTGAGAAGGCCACCACAGTCGTTTCTTCCCTTCTGTCAGACATAATTCCTCGGTTTGGCCTTCTGACCTCTATATAGTCTGATAATGGACCGGCCTTCATTAGTCAGGTCACGTAAGCAGTCTCCCAGGCTCTCAGCATCCAGTGGAAACTTCATACCCCCTTACCATCCTTCATCTTTGGGAAAGGTAGAAAGAACTAATGGTCTTTTAAAAACACACCTCACCAAGCTCAGCCTCCAACTTAAAAAAGACTGGACAGCACTTTTACCATTTGCCCTCCTTAGAATTAGAGCCTATCCTCAAGAAGCTACAGGATATAGTCCATTTGAACTTTCATACGGATGTACTTTCTTGCTGGGCCCCAACCTCTTGACAGACACCAGCCCTCTAGGCGACTATCTTCTGGTACTCCAGCAGGCTAGACAGGAAATTCTCCAGGCTGCTAATCTTTTCTTGCCTACTCCAGATTCCCAGCAATATGAAGACACCCTAGCTGGATGATCAGTTCCTGTTAAGAATATGACCCCTCAAACCTTGATGGACTGGACCCTGCTTAGTCATCTATAGTACCCCAACTGCTGTCTGCCTGCAGGACCCTCTGTATTGGGTTCACCATTCCAGAATAAAGCTGTGTCTGCCAGCCAGCCAGCCTGATCTCTCCTCTTCCTCCTGGAAATCGCAAGTACTCTCCCCTGCTTCCCTTAAACTCACTTGCATTTCTGAAGAACAGTAATAACCCTTATGAGCCTAATATATCCCTTCATTCTATTAGGTCTATTCATCCTTACCCTACTTTTTGCAACAGGGCTTTACACAGTCACCCCCACTACTTGGACTGTGCCCCAAAAACTTGTCATCCCTACTATCTTCTGTCTAGTCATACTCCTATTCACCATTCTCAACTACTCATAAATGCCCTGCCCTTGTTTACACTGCCAGTTTACACTTTTCCTCCAAACCATCATAACTGATATCTCCTGGTTTTACCTCAAACCGCCACCCTTAACTCTCTCTGGGAGTGGATAGAAGCTCTTCAGTGGCAAGGTACACTCCAATTCCTCTATCCTGATAAAGTCCTTTTTTTTTTTTTTTTTTTTACTTTTCTACTTACTCTTATCCTTGACCCCATTCTCCAGTCACTATCTACCTCTCCCTAGTTACCTCCAGCATACTATCAATCTCACCCACTCTCTCCTCACTGCCTCCAATCCTTCTCTAGCAAAGAATTGTTGGCTATGTGTTTCCCTTTCTTCCTGCTCTTACAAGTCCCCGCTCTACAGGCCGACTGGGCTACCTCTCCTGTCTCCCTGCACCTCCAAACCTCCTTTACCTCATCTTTACCCTCCTGAGGAACTTCTTTACTTTCTAGACAGATTTGGTGAGAACTCCCCAGACATTTCACACCAACAAGCTGCCACACTTCTCCGCATCTACTTATGGTACCTTTCTCCTTATGTCAAGTCCACCCCCCCCCAAATTTGGACCCCTAACCACACAAACAACTATCCCTGTTGCTGCTCCTTTTTGCATCTCCTGACCACAGCCTACTGGAATCCCTTTAGGCAACCTTCCACCGTCCAAATGTTCCTTTACTCTTTATCTCCAGAACCCAGCCACACACACTACCAAACAGATGGGAGCATTCCAACTTCGCATTGCTGATAAGCCCTCTATCATTATTGACAAACTAAAAAACATTGGCAGTCACTATTGTTTAGGAAGACACCTACCCTGCATCTCACTCCATCCTTGGCTACCCTCCGCTTGCTCATCTGACTCTCCTCCTGACTCCTCCTCTTGCTTGCTTATACCCAGCCCCATCAATAGCAGTGAAAGGTTACTCATAGATACTATGCTCTTTCTCATATACCATGAGAACCAAACCTTTCATCTACACAATTGCACCATCAATCCCCATTACAACCTCTAACAGCTGCTGTCCTTGCTGGATCTCTAGGATTTGGGGTGCAGGACTCCTCTTTCAGTACACCCTCTCACCTTTTCACTTTACATTTCCAGTTCTGCCTGACACAAGGTTTCTTCTTTTTATGTGGCTCTTCCACCTACATGTGCCTACCTGCCAGCTAGATGGGCACATGTACTCTAGTCTTCCTTACTCCCAAAATCCAGTTTGTAGATGGGAATGAACAACTGCCTGTCCCCCTCATGACACCAACATGACAAAAAAGAGTCATCTCACTAATCCCTTTGCTTGTGGGTCTAGGACTTTCTGCCTCCACTCTTGCACTTGGAACTGGAATAGCAGGCATCTCAACCTCTGTCACAGCATTCCGCAGCCTCTCTAATGACTTCTCTGCTAGCATTACAGATATATCACAAGCTTTATCTGTCCTCCAAGCCCAGGTTGACTCTTTAGCTGCAGTTGTCCTGCAGAACCGCCAAGGCCTCAATTTACTCACTGCTGAAAAAGGAGGACTCTGTATATTTCTTAATGAAGAGTGTTGTTTTTACTTAAATCAATCTGGCCTGGCATATGGTAACATCAAAAAACTCAAAGACAGAGCTCAAAAACTCACTAATCAGGCAACTAATTATGCTGGACCCACCTGGTCACTCTCTAACTGGGTATCCTGGCTTGTTCCAATCATTAGTCCTGTAATACCTATCTTCCTCCATCTCTTATTCGGGCCTTTTGTCTTCCGATTAATCTCTCAATTCCTACAAAACTGCATCCAGGCTATCACTAATCACTCTATATGACAAGTGCTGCTTTTAACAAGCCCACAATATCACCCCTTACCCCAAAATCTTACTTCAGTCTAATCTCTCCCACTTTAGGTTCCCATGCCACCCCTAATCCCACTTGAAGCAGCCCTGAGAAACATCGCCCATCACCCCTCCATACCGCCCCCAAAATTTTCACCTCAAGTTTTCATTAATCTTTCTTGTTTTATTTCTTCATTATTAACATAAAAAGACGGGAATATAAGGTCCTCTGAGCTGGCCGCACCATGGTCAAGCCATCGTGACATTCCCCTGCCCTTGTGATAATGTACTTTGTGATATTCCCCATCCTTGTGAATGTACTTTGTAACATTCCTCCCCGCCCTTGTGACAGTACACCCTCCCCACCCTTGCAAATGTACTTTGTAACATTCCCCCCTGCCCCTGTGAATGTACTTTGTAACATCCATCCCCTGCCCACAAAAAATTGCTCCTGACTCCACTGCCTATCCCAAACCTACAAGAACCAATGATA
Organism: Homo sapiens; assembly: GCF_000001405.40. Lineage (NCBI taxonomy): Eukaryota > Metazoa > Chordata > Mammalia > Primates > Hominidae > Homo > Homo sapiens. The sequence continues at coordinate 74,121,719 of NC_000023.11, read as the reverse complement.
ATCCCACCACCCTTTGCTGACTCCTTTCTCAGATTCAGCCCACTTGCACCCAAGTGAATAAACAGCCTTGTTGCTCACACTAAGCCTGCTCAAGTGGTCTCTTATATGGACACGTGTAACAAGCTCAACGTTCCCCATGATAATTTCTCCCATGTCAACATTGCTGAAATTTTCAATATGTGGAGGACAGTTACTGCTGGTTGCCTCTATTGGTAGATAATCATATTTCTCAAAGTTAATCCCAGTGTTTTCTCCAGAAAAGAGTACCTGCTCCAAGCATTCACTTGGTGGAAGTGGTTTTGACCAATAATCTTTATCTGACTTGTCACACCAATGACTGTGTCCACTCCATTCAAATTTGCCAAAGCCAATTCTGTCACCATAACTGCCAATACCATCATAGTCACTCCATCCAGGATCATCACATCTTCCCCTTGATCCACTTCCACAATCACTGAAATAACCAGGCTTTCCTCTTGAATCTCGAGACCCAAAACTGCTATATGCATCCTTATTTTTGCTACAACTCCAATCTGAACTGTCTTTATCATGGAATCCTTTAGATCCTTCTCTGTTCCTTAAGTGAGGGGGTATATAGCACTCTTGGCTTGCTGTACTTCCTCCACTCTGTTTATCAGAGGAGTTCAGGTCCAGATGAGCAAACTGCTCCTCCAGGTCGAGGGCATTTTCTACCACCACATGACTCATCCCTGAAGAGAAGTGGAAAATCAAGGTCGTCCACCATAAGTATGAGACCAAATATCCTAGTTTGTTCATTTTTAAAAATTATTTCTTTATTTCCCCCCACCCCCACCCCACTGGGTTAGCTCAAATGGCCAGTCTTCAAGCTCTGAAATTCTTTCTTCTGCTTGGTCTAGTCTAGTCTAATGATAAATCTTTCAATTGCATTTTGATATTCTTTAAGTAAGTTTTTCAATTCCAGAAGCTCTGATTGATTTCTTTTTAAGGTGCTTATCTCTTCCTTCGTTTCCTGGATCGTGTTAGTAGTTTCTTTTTGTTGATTTTCAATCTCGTCTTGAACATCTTTGAGTTTTCTTGCAATCCATGGTTTGAATTCTTTAGCTGACATTTCTGAGTTTCCATTTTAGTTGAGGGCCATTGTTGGAGAGCTAGTGTGATCTTCTGGTGGTGACACAACATTCACATTTTTCATGGTGCCAGAATTTTTGTGTGGGTTCTTTCTCCTTTGGAGATAACTGGCATTTCTAATTTTTGTAATTATTTTCCTATAGATACAATTCCCCCCCTTTCAATCTGTATATTATTGTTTTTTCTTCTTCTTTCCCTTTCTCCTCCTTGACAGAGGATGTGACTATAGAGTATGTTGGAGAGGGTCTTTTGGCTTTACTTCCATATTGATACATAATTCTGTCAGCAGGTTTCATATTGGGCTGTGTAGTTCAACCTACATGCTGGTATATGGTGTTAAAGCAAACTAAATATGGCCTGAGAAGGACTCTGTACTTCTATATTTGAGTCCTTGTGGATGAACTGTAACCTAGCTTAATAGGCAGACAAAATGGAAAACCTAACTTAGTAGTATGCACTTGTAACAATAGCTAAGCCTTAGCCAATCCCAGCGGCCATACTTTAACCATTCATATACTGCTGAGTGTTCAAACTATGTTCAAAGAAGGCATACATTGAGCTGTAACCAGTCCAGCTGTTCTGTACCTCACTTCCAATTTCTGTATGTCATGTCCCTTTTTTTGTCTATAAATCTTCCACTATGTGGCTGCACTGGAGTCTTTGTGAATCTGCTGTGATTCTAGGGGCTGCCCAATTCACAAATTGTTCATTGCTAAATTAAACTTTTAAAAATATAATTCAACTGAAGTTTTTCTTTTATCAATGGTTTTATGGTTCAGAGCTAGTGGTTGTACAACAGATGGATATGTAACTGATCTTTGTTTACTGTGAGGTGCTCTGTGTTGTTTCAGCTAATGGGCTGAAGCATGAAGTTCTCTGTGACATGTGCTTCCTGTTCTGTGGGGGTAGGGGGACACAGCTAGGCAGAGCTGGAACTTCTGGCTTACCCTCAAATACTCCTATGTCAAGTGCAGGCACCAGCCCTAATGGAGGTGGCTAGGAGTGTGAGGAGCTCCTAATGAAATGTGCTGAAGTTTTTGTGTGGGACTGTGGGGCGCTGCACAAGCCCCTTGTCGTAAAGAGACAAGAATATGAACTGTTGCCTTATCACAACCCGGTTCCAGAGCTCATGACTCTTAGATGAGTCACATACTGTAGTCTGTCTCTGGGCCACAGTGTGGCTGAGAGCCTTGGGGACTGCTTAATTCGTGACTCTCCATGGGAGTGGTTTTGGGGCAGAACTTCATCACTCAGCCTAATTAATATAAATAGCTTCACAGCTTCCCTGTTCTCCAATGTGATATCATTACTTCTTTGTGTAAAAGGGGGTGAGTCTGCCTTTGGGTCTGTGTGTTGGTTATGGCGATATCAGCTGGTTGTGTCAGTTGGACCTCAGGCTCTGAGGGAAGTGGTCAGATGTCAGCAGAATTTGAATGGGGTAGGTAGTTCTCTAACTCCCCAGCCCCTAGATTGCTGGCTGAACATCATGTATGAGTCCTGATGGAGCTAGGTTGGGGTGGGGGGTGGGGTTCCTCAGGTGCTGGTCGTGATGGTAAGGGGCAGTCTGGTCCCTGGGTCACTGGCTGAACTCTTAGGTAGGGTTAGGCAGAGCACTTAGGCAGTGAGAGCCTAAGGGAAGATCACAGGCTTGTGGGGGTAAGGATTTTAGTAGGGCTCTGGACCACAGATGAAATAGTCATGTAGGGATTGAGTAGGTACACTGGAAGCCAGAAGGCATCAAACCCCATTTGGGAGGGTGCCCTGGTGGTGGTGGGTCACGCAGGAAGCATTCTGGCTGCCTCTGCAGGGTAGCTGCTGGTATGCTGGAGGCTTGCATAAGGGCTCAGGCTTTTTGTTTCCTCCCCAGCCTGGGGGCAGTAAGGGTGGGGACTGTGGTGGCTGCAACCACACCTCTCAGTTGCCTCAGGGAGCTCCACCCCAGAAAAATGCAGAGCCACAGCTGATCAGAGTGATCATGTCTGGGCTGGGCAGCTATCCTATGGGCCCCAGCAGTGTGGGGCCCAAGCAGTTAAGGGCAAGGGGAGCCTGCTTGCCGAAGAGCAGGGCGAGAGATGGTTCTTGTGTAAATAAGTCTGTCCTCTTTCTACATAGGGTAGATGCACAGGTGCTATGTGCTGGAGGTGTCAGTGAAAGCAATCAGGCTCTTCGTTCCCTCCCTAGCCTGTGGGCAGCAAGGGCGGGTACCCTGGCCCCAGCAATGGAAGAAGGCCTGTGAGTTTCTTCTGGGAGCTCCACCCCAGAGAAATGCTGAGCCAAGACTGGCCCGAGTGCTCAGGAGATGGTGGAATGGCTGCGCTGCAGGCCCCATTTGGGAGGCCCTGTCATGTGAGGAGCTGCAGAGATGGGGCCTGCAGTCCGTCTGCTTCTCATCACTGTGGATGCAATCTCTATCCTAGGGGCATGTGAAAGAGCCCGTCCTTCCTTGTTGGCAGGTCTATGCAAGCTGGTGCCTGGGTGCTCAGTGATCCAAGGTCCTTGGGGCTTCACATGACCTTGAGTGACGGCTCTGCCCAGACTCCAGGTGTTTCTTTGTGTCAGTCTGGAGGCCTGGGGGGTTGGGAGGATCTCCCATTCCTAGGATTGCAAAGGTCAATGGAGGAATTGTGGGTCCCTGGGGCTCTTCCTCACTCACCCTTTCCCTGTGGTAGTGAGCTTCCACTGCCTCTGCGCCAGTTCCAGGTGGGTGGCTGCTCTGCTTCATTCCTCTCTGTTCTCCATGGGTCCCGTTGCTTCTGTTACGAGTCCCAATGCGTTCTCGTGGATGATCCATTTGAAGAACTAGTGTTTACTAGCCATTCTGTTTCTTCTTCATGAGAGCAGAGCGCACTACCTGCTTCTAGTCAGCCATCTTTATTCTCTACTATTATATCCCACTTTTATTATTTTTGATATGAATACATATATTTTTTTATTGTGGTAAAAAGCATATAACATAAAATTTACCATTTTATTCATTTTTAAGTGTAGAGTTCAGTACTGTTAAGTATATTCACTTTTTCGTGAAATAAATATAAAGGTATAAATTTTAAATTTAATGTTTTTTTCTACTTATTCACTGAGTTGAATTATTATCTGAATTAGTTTTATCATTGATTCTTTGAAATTTTCCAGATATACTATTATTATTAACCACATTTATATCTGTATTTCTTCTGTCTTCCCTGATTGCATTTGAATAATACCTCTAATATAATGTTAAATTAGAGCAGAAATAGTGGGCATTTTTGTCTTGATCTTATTGAAAATGCTTTTAGTATTTCTCCATTCAATTAGACACTGGATTTAGGACTAAGGTATGAGTATTTTATTATGTTAAAAATATCGCTTATTTCTTACTATCTTGGATGTCTTTTTACATTTAACATGGATGGGCGTTTTCTCCAATTGTTTTTGCCGTATCTGTGGGGATAGTAATAATTTTCCTCTTAGATCTATTAATATTGTTTATGATATAAATGAATTTCCTAATATTAAACCTACCTTGAAATTTTGCTATAAATCCAATTTGCTAATGATGTATTATTTTCTTCACATCTTGTTAGATTCTGTTTACAAGTATCTTATTTAGTTTTTTTGCATCGACTTTTCTGACTGACATTGGTCTACAATTGTTTTAATACTGTCCTTATCTAGCTTAAGTGTGTGTTATACTTGGTACATGAAAGGAGTTACAATATTTTTCTTCTTTTTCAAGAAGAAGTTTGATGTTTTGGTAGAAGTCTCATGTGAAACAACTGCACCGGTTGCTTTTTTTTGTGAACTAGTTTCTTAATAACTTTATTTCTTCTATGAAATTGTTCTGTTTAAACATTTTAACTCTAATGGATTCAATTTTGGCAGTCTGTATTTTATTAAAAGATTATTTATCTTCTCCAGGCTTTCAAATTTATTTGCATAGAGGTCTAAAAAATATTGTAATTTTATTATTATTTTTTGTTTCAATAGTTATTTCCTCCTGAATATTTCTTGGTTTGTTAGTGCATTCTCCTACTTCTCCTGAACAAATTATCTAGTGATTTGTCAATTTTCTTAATCTTTTCAACAAACCAGGAATTTTGTTTATTAGTTTAATTAATTTATTTTAAAGGTCTCCTACCTTACTGATTTCTGCTTTATTATTTCCCTTTGCTTATTTTGATTTACTTTATTGTCCTTTTATTCAGTTTTTGATGCTTGGAATTTAATTAATATATTTTCAATCTTTGCTTTTTTATTGATTAAAGTGTTTAGTTCAATGAATTTTCCTCTGAGCACTGCTTTACATACATCCCATAGATGCTGATATGTAGTGGGTTTTTTGTTATTATAATTTATTAACTTCTGTCATTGTAGTTTGCATTTCCCCTTGCACACACTAAACTTGTTTAATGGGATGTTTTAAATTTCCAGGTGGAAGAATCTTTCTGGGTGTTTTTGTTTTGTTTTTGTTAGTAATATCTTGTTTTATTGCATTATCACCTGTATTGTTTATAATATTTATATTTTATAAAATTGCAGATTATTTTGCTGATCAATTGATCAATATTTGTAAATGGATCATGAGCCCATATACTACTCTAATACTCATGCAAATATTCTCTATTAGGAGCATGTATAGTTTAATATATATCCCTAACATTTACCCTAAGGATTATGTTGTCTATCTTTTTTCTCTCCTTAGTCATTTTTTCCCCTAATTGATCTGTCATGAACTGAGAGTGATGTATTAAGGTCTCCAATTATTAACATATTCTATCTATATTATTGACCCTCATTAGGTTTTACTTTATCAAGGTGGTTGCTGTTTTTGATGCATAGACATTCATAAGTTATATACCTTGATTGTTAATTGTGGCTTATAGCATTTAAGATTGATATTTGTTATGATTAATGCCTTTGGGCTTGAATTCTACTTTGCCTGATATCAGGTAACTATTACTACTTTCATTTTGCTTCAATTTGTCTACTGTTTTCTTGTTCATTACTGTATTTTTAGCCTTCTAAAACACTTCTTTCACGTATGTTTCTTGCATATAATATATGATTGGATCTTATTTTATAAGTCAAGTTGTAGAGCTTTGTATTTTAGAAAGGTAAGCCTATTTACATTTATTGATATGACTTGTAGATTTAGATACAAATCTGTTATTTTATACTATGGCTAATTTGATGTATTTGCTATGTTTGTCTCTATGAAAGCTGTAGCCTGTGTTTTTAAATATATATGTTTTCATATTTGGAAGGTTTTTCTTTTTGTCCTAATGATTAATTTTATATATGCCTTTCTTAATGCCTTAGTACTCTGTTTCTCATTTAAACTTTAGGAATTTTGTCTGTTTCTTTTTTTAAACTTTTAATGCCGATTTATTGCCTCTAATACAAAGAGCTTTTTCTACTTTCTTCTTTTTCCCATCTTAGTGCATTATTTCCACTTTGCCACAATATATAAGATCTGTACATTAGTTTTATCACTGTTTATGCCTTGGTTTTATTCTTTTATATATATATATATATATGTATACACACATGCACACATATTATATAAAATATATATATACACACACACAAAATATTGAAATAGTCTCCATAGTATATGAAATATATTTTTTGAACTTTATTGAGATATAATTGACAAATGAAATTGTGTAAATTTAAGGTTTCAATTTGATGATTAGATATATGTATATGTTGTGAGATGATTTCTGCACCCAAGTTAGTTACCATTCTGTCACCTCACTCAGTTAACATATTTTTGTGTGTGTGGTATGAACATTTAAGGACTACTTTCTTAGCACATTTCAAGGGTACAGTACAATATTGTTAAGTATAGTCACCATACTGTACATTTGATCTCCAGAATTTATTCATCTTATATCTAAAAGTGTGTGCCCTTTGACCGACATCTCCCAATTTCCCTCACACCCAGCCCCTAGTAATCACCGTTCTACACTGTTTCTCTGAGTTCCATTATTTTAGATTCCAAATATAAGTGAGATCATACCTCATTTGTCTTTCCCTGTCTGACATCTCTCACCTTGCATAATGCCCTCGAGACTCATCCATGTTGTCACAAATGGCAGGATTTCATTCTTGTTTATGGCTGATTAATATCCCATTTTGTATATATAGCCAAAACATGGAAACAATCTAAATGTCTGTTGACAGATGAATGGATAAGTAATTGTAACAATTACTGTCAACAGACACAGGTTGTTTCCTTGTCTTGGCTATTGTGAATAATGCTGCAATAAACATGGGAATGCAGATATCCCTTTGAGCTACTGATTTTGTCCAATAAATATATACCCAGAAGTGGGATTGCTGGATAATATGGTGGTTCTATTTTCATTTTTTTTAGGAAGCTCCGTACTGTTTTCCTTAATGGTTGTGCCAGTTTATGTTCCAATCAACCATGCACAAGAATTCCATTTTATTCAGATTTTGCCAAAAATAGTTATATCTTGTCTTTTTAATAAAAACCATCCTGACAGGTGTGAGGCAATAGCTCATTATGGTTTTGATTTGCATTTTCCTGATGAATAGGGTTGTTGAGCACCTTTTCATATACCTGTTGGCCATTTGTATGTCTTCCTTAGAAAATGTCTATTGAGGTAATATGACCATTTAAAAATCAGATTATTGATTTTTTTTTTGCCATTGAGTTGTAGGAGTTACTTATGTTATAAGCATATTAACCCCTTATTAGATATAAGGTTTGAAAATATCCTCTTCTATTCTGTCAGTAGTCTTTTCATTTTTTTGAATGTTTCCCTTGCTGTGCAGAATCTTTTAGAGTTTGATGTATTCTCATTTATTTGTGTTCTTGTTGCTTGTGCTTTTGGTGTCATATCCAAAAAATTATTGCCAAAATTAATGCCATGAAGGTTCCCCCCATGTTTGATTCCAGTAGTTTCATAGTTTTAAGTCTTATGTTTAAGCCTTTAATACATTCCAAGTTAATTTTTGTGAGGAGTGTAAAATAGGGATCCCGTTTTATTTTATTTTTGCATGTGTATATCCAGCTGTCCTTAAACCATTTATTGAAGAGACTGTCCTTTTCTAATTGTGTATTCCTGGAAACTTAAACTTAACTCAGATATTAGTTGATATGGTTAGTCTATTTCTGGGCTTTCAGTTCTGTTGCATTGGTGTAGGTATCTGTTTTTATGCCTGTGCTACATTGTTTGGATTTCTATAGCTTTGCAAAATAGTTTAAAATCAGTAAGTGCAATGCCTCCACCTTTGCTGTTCTTTCTCAATATGCATTAGCTATTTGGGATCTTTATAATTCCATATACATTTTAGGATTGTTTTTTCTATTTCTGTAAAAAATGTCACTCAGATTTTGATAGAGATTGCATTTAATCTGCAGGTTGCTTTGGGTAGTATGGACATTTTAACAATATTAATTTTTCTGATCCACGATCATGGGATATGTTTCCATTTATTTGTGACTTCTTCCATTTCTTTCATTAATGAATGTTTTATGCTTTTCATTATGCAAATTGTTTGCCTTCTTGATTAAATTTATTCCTAGCCTTTTAATGTTGATTTTGATGCTATTTTAAGTGGGATTGTTTTATTTATTTTTCTGATAGTTTGTTGTTAGTGTATAGGCAATTCTAATTTTTGAATGTTGATTTTGTATCCTGTATCTGTATTAAATTTGTTGTTAATTCTGAAAGTTTTTGGTGGAGTCTTATAGTGTTTTTATATATAAGACCTGACATCTTCAAACAGAGCAATTTTACTTTCCTTTCCTATTTGGCTATATTTTTTCTAATTGATACATAATAGTTGTAGTATTTGAGAGGTACATGTGATATTTTGATACATGCAAAAGTGTGTAATGATTAAATCAGGGTGATTGGTATATCCATGGCCTCAAATATTTATCTCTTTTTTTACAGTTGAGAATATTCTAATTCTTCTTTTCTAGCTATTTTGAACTATACAATAAATTGTTAACTAGAGTCACCCTACTGTACTATTGAATGCTGTATCTTATTTCTTCTATTTAATTGTATTTTTGTACTTATTAACCAACCTTTCTTCACTGCTCCCTCCCCCTATGCTTGCCTGACTCTGGAAGCCATCAGTCAACTCTCTACCTCCATGAGATCCTTTTTTTTTTTTTTAGCTCCTACATATGAATGAGAACATATGCTATTTGTCTTTCTGTGCCTAGCTTATTTCACTCAATATAATGACCTCTTATTCCAAGTTCCTGAAAATAATAATTTTATTCTTTTAGAGGGATGAATAATATTTCACTGTATATGTACCACATTTTCTTTATCCATTCATCCATTGATGAATACATAAGTTGATTCCATACATTGGCTATTGTGAGTAGTGCCACAATAAACATGGAAGTACAAATAGTTATTTGATATACTGATTTCCTTTCCTTTGGATAAATACCCAGTACTTGGATTGCTGTATCATATGCAAAAAACTAAAAGTTTTACTTTTAGTTTTTTGAGAAGTCTGCATACTGTTTTCCATAATGGCTGTACTATTTACACTCCTACCAACAGTGTATAAGAGTTCCCTTTACTCATCATCCTTGCCAGCATTGCTAATTTTTGTCTTTCTGATAATAGCTATTTTTTTTTTTTTTGAGACTGAGTTTCACTCTTGTTACCCAGACTGAAGTGCAATGGTGCAATCTCGGCTCACCACAACCTCCACCTCCCAGGTTCAAGCAATTCTCCTGCCTCAGCCTTCCGAGTAGCTGGGATTACAGGCATACACCACCATGCCAGGCTAATTTTTTGTAGTTTTAGTAGAGACGGGGTTTCTCCATGTTGGTCAGGCTGGTCTCGAAGTCCCGACCTCAGGTGATCCGCCCACCTCGGCCTCCCAAAGTGCTGAGATTACAGACATGAGCCACTGCTCCCAGCCTTGCTAATAGCTATTCTAATTAAGGTGAGATGATGTCTTCTTATGCTTTTAATTTGCATGTTCCTGATGATTATTGATGTTGAGCATTTTTTTCATATACCTGTTGGCCATTTGTATGTCTTCTTTCAAGAAATGTCAAAATCCTATGCCCACTTCTTAATGGGATTATTTGTTTTTGTTTTGTTTTGTTTTGTTTTTTGTTTGCTGTTGAGTTATTTAGGTTCCTTGTGTATTTTGAATGTTAGCCCCTTGTCAGATGAATAGTTTGCAAATATTTTCTCCCATTCAACAGGTTGTCTATTCACTCTGTTGATTGTTTCCTTTGCTGTGCTGAAGCTTTTTAGTTTAATATAGTCCCATTTGTCTATTTTTATTTTTGTTACCTGTGCTTTTGAGGTCTTAGTAATAAAATCTTTGCCTAGACAAATATCTGAAGTGTTTCTTCTAGGTTTTCTTCTAGTATTTCTATAGTTTGGGGTCTTTCATTTAAGTCTTTAATTCATTTTGAGTTGATTTTTGTATATGATGAGAGAGAGGAGTTTAGTTTCATTCTTTTCTGTGGATATTTAGTTTCTTCAGCATCATTTATTGAAGAGAGTGTTATTTACCCAATGTATGTTCTTGACACCTTTGACAAAAATCAGTTGGCTGTAAATATATGAGTTTATTTCTGGGTTCTCTTTTTTGTTTCATTGGTAGTTGTGTTTGTTTTTATACCAATACCATGCTGTTTTGGTTAATATAGCCTTGTAATATATTTTAAGTCCGGTAGCATGATGCCTCCAGCTTTGTTCTTTTAATTCAGGATCACTTTGGCCATTTGAGATCTTTTTTGGTTTCATACAAATTTTAGAATTCTTTTTCTCTATTTCTGTGAAAAAATGTCACTGGTATTTTGATAGGGATTGCATTGAATCTATAATTACTTTTTGATTCATGAGCATAGGATATCTTTCCATTTGTATCCTGTTTAATTTCTTTTACCAGTGTTTTTTAGTTTGTCTTGTAGAGGTCATTCATCTTCTTGGTTAAATTTATTCCTAAGTATTTTTTTTCATCTATTGCAAGTCGTTTTCTTGATTTTTTTTTCAACTAGATTGTTATTGGTGTGTCAAAATGCTACTGACTTATGTAGGTGGATTTTGTATCTAGAAATGTTACTATACTTATTATCACATCTAAGAGTTTTTGGTGGAGTCTTTAAATTTGTATAAATATAAGATCATGTAATCTGCAAAGATGGACAATTTGACTTCCTCTTTTCCAATTTGTATGACTTTTATTTCTTTCTCTTGCCTGATTACTTTGGCTAGGACTTCCAGGACTATTTTGAATAGGAGTGCTGAAAGTGCGCATCCTTATCTAATTCCAGTTTATAGAAAAAAGACTTTCAGCTTTTCCCCATTTGGTATAATGATAGCTGTGGACTTGTCATATATGCCTTTATTATGTTGAGGTATGTTTCTTCCATGCCTAGTTTGCTGCATGTTTTTATCAGGAAGGGATGTAGAATATTATCAAATGCTTTTTCTGTTTCTATTTAGATGATCATGTGTTTTTGTCTGTAATTCTATTGATGTGAATATCATGTTTATTGATTTGCATATCTCAAACCAATCTTTCATCCAATGAATGAATTCTATTTGATCATAATGAATTAGCTTTTTGCCATGCTGTTGGATTTGGTTTGCAAGCATTTTGCTAAGTATTTCTATGTTTATATTCATCCAGGGATATTGGCCTGTAGTTTTCTTTTTTTCATTGTGTCTTTGCCAGATTTTGGTTTCAGGGTAATGCTGCCCTTCAGAGAATTAGTTAGGGAAGAGTCCTTCCTATTCTGTATTTTGGAATAGTTTCAGTAGAATTGGTACCAGCTCTTCTCTGTGTGTCTGGTGGAATTTGGCTGTGAGTCCATCTGGTTCAGGGCTTTTTTTGGTTAGTAGGTTTTTTTAATTACTGATTCAATTTGAGAACTTGATATTGGTCTGTTCAGGATTTCAATTTCTTCCTGATTCAGTCTTGGGAGATTTTGTGTCTTCAGGAATTTATTTATTTCCTCTAGGTTTTCTAGGTTGTGTGCATAGAGGTGTTCATAGTTTCTGAGTATCTTTTATATTTCTGGGGGGTAGGTTATAATGCCAGCCTTGTCATTTCTGATTGTGCTTATTTGAATCTTCTCTCTTTTTCCTTTGTTAGTCTAGCTAATGGTGTTTATCCTTTTAAAGAAGAAACTTTTGGTTTTGTTGATCTTTTGTATGAATTTTTGGGTCTCAATTTCCTTCAATTCTGCTCTGATTTTAGTTATTTCTTTTCTTCTGCTAGCTTTGGAGGTAGTTTGTTCTTGTTTTTTTAGTTCCTCTGGAAACTAGAGGTTAGTTTATCAAAACTAGAGTTTCAGTTTAGCTAAAGTTTTGATGTTAGATAGTTGATTTGAGATTTTTTTTAGTTTCTCTATAGGTTACTGGGGTACGGATGGTATTTGGTTACATGTGTAAATTCTTTAATGGTGCTTTGTGAGATTTTGGTGCACTCATCTCCCAAGCAGTATACAACACACTCTATCTGTAGTCTTTTATCCCTTGCCCCTCTCCCACCCTTCCCCACAAGTCCCCAAAGTCCATTGTATCATTCTTATGCCTTTGCATCAGATTGATTTTTTTATGAGGTATTTATCTCTTCCTTCATTTTTCTGGACTGCTTTAGAAGTTTCTTTATGTTGATTTTCAACTTTGTCTTAGATCTCATTGAGCTTCTTTGCAATCCATACTTTGAATTCTTTATCTGTCATTTCTGAGTGTCCATTTTGGTAGGGACCATTGCTGAAGAGCTAGTGAAGTTCTTTGGTTGCATCACTACATTCAGATTTTTGATGGTGCCAGCATTTTTTTTCTGCTCATAAAATATTTACTAAGGTATACTTTAGGGAATATAGTAAGTATAAAATTTAGGATCACAATATAAAGCAATTTCAAATCCTCTCAAAGGTCAAAACTCTGCAGATGTAAAACCGCTGTGGAGACATTAAAAGCAGTTCGACTAGTACAGAAGTGGATTTTCATGAACATTTACAACTAGAGCATATGAATACCTTTCAAGTGCAAAAACATACCACATTACACTAATGCAGCAACAATACATTCATTATTGTTCTCATTAGCCATTAGTAGTCAACTTGCATAAAACACCAGAAAAAAGCACAGTGGAGTTCACAAAGTGGTCAAAAAAATGAACCTGTCCTTGCAACACACACATTGTAATGGAAGAAGAGATGTTAAAAGAGTATATGCACACTATAGAAGCTGTGTTCATTCCAAGGATCTCAAGTGTCATTTCCTTTTCTGTAAAATCAAATTACATGAACCAGGCACAATTAATATTTGGGAGGCAGTGTGTAGCTAAAATTTCATTTAACTGGTTATTCAATGATTTTTTAAATCTCCATGAATCTTTTCTGTCCTGAGGTAGTTGCAAAATAAATCATAACTTGGATATCATCTAGAGCTGGGGCTTTGACTTTTTACTCATTAAAACTAGTTGTTACAGGAACTACCTTTAGATATTTAAAAGACAGTTGAGAAATGGGCCTCTTACTACACACAAAGATGATGGCTATGTGGGAAAGAGAATTAGCTGCTTCAGAACATGAGAGATACTGTACACCATTCCACCCTCCCCACCCATTTTAGATTCTTTATTGTCCAAAAACCCACCATGAACAACCCAGTGAAAGCAGACAGATCATCATCCTTTGCTGTAGCCAGGGAAGAAAAGGTCTAGTAGAGTCTGCAGAATCTCATGGGGAATTATGACATAATTCTGGCCAAGATCATGCCAGCAAGCAGGGCAGGAGAAAACCTATGCCTTAAAGGAGCACTGTTGGCAATTTTTACAGACATTCTGGAAGCACTCAGTTGTCACAGGCTGGTAAACTAGCTTCTGGCAGCAAACACACATAAAAGATTGTTCCAATTTTTTCAGAAAATTTGGTCCTTCCACAAGATATGCAAGCACTTCATCCCACAGCTTCTGGTTTTGACAGTCTTCTCTGATGAGATGTTGCTGTTGAGGAGTTAGTTGAAAAGCCTCAATTGCTCCTGCTGAATCTGATGCTTTGTATACTTTGGAGGCACTTAGACATTTGAAATCGGCCTTTTTGTGGTTCCACTGGCCTGCTTCTTTGACTGTCCTTTAGTCTTCTTCCTTTCTTTATCTGAAGGGTAACCTGCTGGATACTGTAAATGTAGACATAATCTCCTTGACCATTCTATTCCTTCAGAGGTCCAAGGAGCAGGTTCAACATCATCTCTTCTTAAAAGATAGCGCCAAATCAAGAGTCCATGGCTTGATGAAATCTCTGGCCAGTATTTCACTACCTTATAAATGCCATCATATCTGTTGCCTTCTTCAGGAGCATATTTGCTGATCTTCCTCCCTTTAAAACTGCATATCACTCTGACTGGCTTACCAGCTCTCCAATTCCAAGACTCTGCTCCAATTTTATCACCCAATGTAGCATCACAGTTTAGGGCCAATGCCCTGTTTGTGTTTGTTAATGTTTGATCAGCTGAAGGTGTGCCAATTCTTTTATTACCAGCAAGCTTTTTACCACCACTTCCAGTGTACAAGAACTCATCACCTCGGTCAACTTTATCCACAAATCCACCAACCAAGACAAGAGAATAAACTCCATCATTACTTCGACCATGAAGTCCACCAACATGGGGTCTGTGAACACCTACTTCACTCACCTGAACTCTAAATCTCCAAGTTGATCCAACAGGAATAGGTCCATAATGATTAGAAGAGACAATAGTGCATTCTGTCATATGACCAACACAAGCCATTCTCCTGCACCAGTCTCTCTGGCTTTCAGTACTAGCGGATGGCATCTTTGCTTTCTTTTCACTCATCTCGAGTCTTTCACCAGCCTTTACAACTTAACTGGAATCAGTTTTACAGGAAGAACAATACCAGTATTCCTCTTCTGGGACTTTATCCAAAGGTGTATTCAAGCAGTAAATATGATAAGCCGCATTACATTCATCACATAGAAGCTGCATGTTGGGTTCATGTTTCCCACCATATACATGAAAGAAGCAAGAATGGCATTTCTTATCTGGGTCTCCACCACACAGGTCATATTCAGAGTTATTTCTCCTTAAAAACTTTACATCTGCAAACGAAAGAGGATAGGCTCCAGGTTTCTCAGTCTTGAAGATTTCATCTACAGATATTATTTTGCACTCATTTAATGCCCCTTCAGAACCCCCCCACACCCAGGAAAATTTTCACACGAAGTTCATTTTTGGTCCTGGAGATTGCCTTCAATGTGGTAATTTCTGCATCAAACAGAATCCTCTTTGTCTAGGACTTTCTACATTATAATTAACCATTACCACATCACCAACATTTAGTTCCTTTCATTTCAAAATGGTTCTAGCTCATGGTCTAAGGTTCTTGCCATTCATTTCTAGAGTACCACTTTCTGGGTATTCATCATACTGGATATGGTAAATAACGTCTTCATCGGCAGCGACAGAGTCTGAATTAGATGTAGAGAGTACATTGTCCAATTTATTTATGTTCTCTTTGATTTATGATGTATATTTCCATTAGTCCTTTTACAAGAACTGCCATTCTTCAGTGGAGTTTTGCCACGTGACTGTCCATCAGAAGCTCTAGCAACACTAGGTATGTGTGCTTGAAACCAAGCACCAAGGCCAACATCTCTGGCATCCACCAATTCATTTACCTTATATAGTCCAAAGCTAGGATCAGTAAGATGGGCACGAGCTGATGTAGGTGGCTGACTGGAAGGTCCCACCCTTGGAGCTTTCTTTGCTTTAGGTGGACTATCAGAACAGGGTTTAGCCTCAATCTGTGTAGATGTTCCAGGAAGATGATTAGGGTCTGGGCAAACTAGCAGCTGAATTATATCATTCAGTCCAACATCCTAGTCAAATAAGGCATATCCATTTTCAAACTGCTTGCCCCGGTAGAAGAGGTGCTGGCACTCGGGCCGCACGTCGAACAGCACCCACATCTGCTCCGCAGCTCCTCAATCGTGGCTTTGTGAGACACGTCCTCTGTGGTGCACGTCTTGGAGCCGTGATGGGAACCTGGATCCACATCTTGGCGTTGGGAGAGGAGCCGGTCCCATTTGTCTCCCGCTGCGCTCGAGGCGCCGCGCCCCGCCCGGTCCACGCCGCTTCCCCTGCGGCTACGGCCCTCCGCGGCAGGCGGGCGAGCGCACGCACTGTACCGACCCGGACTGACGCCGGGCCCGACAGGCGGTGGCAGCTCTCATCCCGCTTGCCAGGCCGCCAAGCTGAGAGATAACCGGAACCACTCCGAGTCGCTGCTGCAGCCACCGCCTCAAAAATAGAAAGAGGCCATGCTTGTGCCTTGCGGAGTGTTTACTTATAGAGCTGAATCTCCCTCATGGAGGTCAGGGTGCCAACCAGATCTCTGGTGCCAGCAATTTTACACTGGTTCTTTCTCACCCAGAGACGCTTGAACCTCTAATTTTTATAATTATTTTTTGTTCAGGTAGGATTTTTTTTCTTTTTTACCCTCTGATATTTTTTATTCTTTTCCTTTCTCTTTTTCTCCCTCCCTAGGGGGTGTGACTGTAGAAAATGCTGGGTAAGGTCTTTTGGCTTTTCTTCTATAGCCTTATGCACTCTGCCATCAGGTTCTATATTGGGCTGTACAGTTTAACCTACAAGCCAGAACATGCTGCTTACGGGCAAGAGCCAGCTGTGGTCAACATGGATGAGTATATACTTCATCCTTATTTACTGAAAGAAGTTCTCTGTTCCCTCAGGCAATGGGCTGATTCATGGAGTGCTCAGTGGTCTAAGTTCTCTGCTCAGCCCCAGGGGGATGGGGGCCAATATAGGTGGGGCTTGACTGGGCAGGTCTGCCCAAAGTTCTCCTAATGGCAGGCAGAAGCACCAGTACTGAGGGAGAATCTAGTGGGTGGCCAACAAGCACTTAGAGCTGTGCCTGGGTGTGGAGCTGGGAAACCTCAGACCCAAGTTCTCTGGATGAGGATGGGTGCTGACCGAAATTCTTAATCCAGAAGTGTGGGTACTTCAGATTCCTGGAGATCTGCCTCAGGGTGGAGCAGAGAGGCCTCCGCTCCACCAAGATCTCTGCACAGCAGGGGTGGAGTGACTCAGGCTGCTGAACCAGGCAAGCAGATACTTTTGAATGCCTGGAGATGTGCCTGGGTATGAAGCAGAGAGGGCCTCCCTGCACATGGATCTCTGCACAGAAAGGGTGGGGCAACTCAGGCTACCAATCTGGACAAGAAGATCCTTGAATGCCTGGAGATATACCTTGGCGTGGAGCAGAGGGGGCGTCCCTGCACCAGGATCTCTGCACAGAAAGTATGGAGTGGGTCAGGTTGCTGATCCATGTGAGCAGGTGCTCTGAATGCCTAGAGATCTTCTTGTGTGTGGAATGGAGAGAGTCTTACTTCACCATGATTTATGCCCAGGAAGAATAGGGTGGCTCAGGCTGCTGAACCAGGTGAACATGTGCTCCAAATGCCTGGAGATCTGCCTGGGCATGAATTGGAGAGAGCCCCCCATACTATGATCTCTGCATAGGAAGTGTGGAGCAACTCAGGCTGCTAGTCCAGGTGAGCAGGTGCTCCAAATGCCTGGAGATCTGCCTATGTGTGGAGCTTAGAGGATTCCACTATGCCACAATCTATGCACAAGAAGAGTGTGGCAGCTGAAGCTACTGATCCAGACAAGGAGATTCTCCAAATACTTGGAGATCTACCTGTGTATGGAGCTTAGAGGGCCCTACTGCACCATGATCTATGTCTATGTCCATGAAGGGTGGGACAGCTCAGGCTGCTGCTCCAAATACCTTGATTTCTTCCTGAGGGTGGGGCAGAGAGGGTCCTGTTGTACCATAATCTCAGAGGAGTAGGCTGGGGCACCCAGCAGTAACACATGCAGACCAGTTCCAGGTTGCCAACCTGGGCCTAGCTGCAAGTCTTGTTGCCCAGGAGAAACCACAGCTGTAGCCGCTCTCCTCCTCTCCTAAGGCTGCTACGGGGGAGAGCACCATTCCAGTGCCTACTGCTGAGGCACTTTCCTCAGTTCTGGCTTTGGAGGCCTGTACCCCACTCCAGAGCAGGTGTTCCAATCTCTGGCCTGAGACTAAAAGGCCTGCATGACCATGCAGCTGCATCACCAAAGAATGGATGACTTTGTATGTACCCAGATTAAAAATGGCATCCTGTTCTTAGTACAGGGTCTAAGAAAATGTCGGCAGCTTTTCCTGGTGTCTTTCCCTCACAATATTTCCAAGCCTGTCTCCAAGTTAGCACCAGGGCTTGGGAGAAACAGTATGCTCAGTAGGCCTGGGTTGCTCAGGTCCCCAGTGGAAAGGCGAGTCACAGAGGGCAGCTCTCTTCCTCTTTCACATACTCGGGCTTCACTCACTTTTATCAGCTGGACACCATCATGGAGGCTGTTTGCCCATGTTCTCCTCTCTTGGGTCTTGTGTGTCCTTCACAATTCTAGTAGATTCCTATTTTCCTTCTTGAATTAAAGCTCACAGGGTTTATCTTTATGCACTATTTTGCTATTTCCAAGTGGCTAAATTATGCTAAAAGCCTCTAATCTGCCATCTTGGAAAAAAAAATCTGTGATTTCTTTTAAAGGCCCCTTGATTCCTCTAAACCATGGTTTCCTTGTCAGCATAATGGAGTTAATATCATTAGCTCTGCCTACCTCTTTTCGGTGACCAAATAATGTAAGGAACATACAAGTCCCAGTTTGAGGTATTCTTAGAACAGTAAAGTTCTGGTTAGCCCTTCTGAATGTTTGTCAATTGTGTTTATTTTTTCAAAAAGCCTACTTTTAGTTTCATTACTTTTTTGTTTTAGTATCAATTTAATTTATTTCTGCTCTGATCTTTATCATGTCTTCTACTAATTTTGAGTTTAGTTTATTCTTGCTTTTCTAGTTCTTTAGGTGCATTGTTAGGTTTTTTCTTTGAAATCTCTTCACTCTTTTGATGTAGGCATTTATTGCTCTAAACTTCCCTTTTAGTACTACTGCTTTTGCTGTATTCCATAGATTTTGCTATGTTGTGTTTCCATTTTCATTTGTTTCAAGAGAATGCTAACTTTGACATTTCTTTGTTTATTTACCCACTGGATGAACTGTCTGTTACTGAGATTGGGCTGTTAATGTCTCCTATTATTATTTTGTTGTATTTCTCCCTTTAAATTTATTGTTTGTTTTATATAATTGGGTGCTCCAGTGTTAGCTGTATATATATTTACAATTCATATGTCCTCTTGTTGAATTGATTTATTTATCATTTAACCTTCGTTTCTATTTATAGTTTTTGACTTGAAGTCTCTTTTATCTAAGTACAGCTACTCATGTTCCTTTTTGGTTTCCATATGCATGGAATATCTGTTTCCATCGCTTCATTTTCAGTCTTTATGTGTCTTTTTAGGTGAAGTGAGTTTCCTATAAGCAGCATATCATTGAGTCTTGTTTCTCTAGCTGTTTGTCCACTCTGTCTTTTATTGGAGAATTTAGTCCATTTACATTCAAAGTTATTTTTGATATGTAAAGTCCTACTAATACCAGCTTGTTCCTTGTTTTCCGGTTGTATTGTAACTCTCTCTTTCTTACTGTTTCCCTTTCAGGAAAAGTTATTTTACCTGATGGTATGTTTTAATTTTTTCCTTTTTATTTTTTAGCGTATCTATAGCAAGTTTCTGCTTTGTGGTTACCATAGTACTTAAAAAATGTCTTATGGATGTAGCAAGTTATTTTAAACAGATGAGAACTTAATTTTAATTACAGACAAAAGAATAGAAAGAAGCAAACAAAGGAAAACTAAAAACAACTCTGTACTCTAACTTCATCCTTATCACATTTTGGCTTTTTATTGTCTCAATCTACATCTAGTATTTACATTTTCCAGTGAATTTTTTGTCTTTGAGTGTTTTCTTTTGCAGGTTACCATTCTTTTCTTTTCTTTTTAAAATTGTATGTTAAGTTCTGGGATACATGTGCAGAACATGCAGGTTTGTTACGTAGGTATCATGGTGGTTTGCTGCACCCATCAACCTGTCATCTACATTAGGTATTTCTCTTAATGCTATCCCACCCCCTAGCTCCAAACCCCCCGACAGGCTGCAGTGTGTGATGTTCCCCTCCCTGTGTCCATGTGTTCTCATTGTTCAACTCCCATTTATGAATGAGAACGTGCAGTGTTCGGTTTTCTGTTCCTGTGTTGTTTTGCCAAGAATGATGGTTTCCAGCTTCATCCATGTCCGTGCAAAGTACATGAACTCATCCTTTTTTATGGCTGCATGGTATTCCGTGGTGTATATGTGCCACATTTTCTGTATCCAGTCTATCATTGATGGGCATTTGAATTACTTACTGGTTTATCTTTGAGTTTGTTGAGTTTCCTTAGATGTGCTGTTTTGAATTGTTCATCTAAAAGCTCACACGGGGGGGTGGAGCCAAGATGGCCGAATAGGAACAGCTCCCAGTGTGAGCGACACAGAAGACGGGTGATTTCTGCATTTCCAACTGAGGTACCGGGTTCATCTCACTGGGGAGTGCCGGACAGGGGGTGCAGGACAGTGGGCCAAAGCATGCGTGAGCCAAAGCAGAGCGAGTCATCGCCTCACCCGGAAAACGCAAGGGGTCAGGGAATTCCCTTTCCTAGTCAAAAAAAGCGGTGACAGACGGCACCTGGAAAATCGGGTCACTCCCACCCTAATACTGCACTTTTCCAACAGGCTTAACAAATGGCACACCAGGAGATTATATCCCACACATGGCTTGGAGGGTCCTATGCCCATGGAGCCTCGCTCATTGCTAGCACAGCAGTCTGAGATCAAACTGCAAGGTGGCAGTGAGGCTGGGGGAGGGGTGCCCGCCATTGCCAAGGCTTGAGTAGGTAAACAAATGGCCAGGAAGCTCAAGCTGGGTGGAGCCCACCACAGCTCAAGAGGCCTGCCTGCCTCTGTAGGCTCCACCTCTGGGGGCAGGGCACAGACAAACAAAAGGCAGCAGTAACCTCTGCAGACTTAAATGTCCCTGTCTGACAGCTTTGAAGGGAGTAGTGGTTCTCCCAGCATGCAGCTTGAGATCTGAGAATGGGCAGACTGCCTCCTCAAGTGGGTCCCTGACCCCCAAGTAGCCTAACTGGGAGACACCCCCCAGTAGGGGTGGACTGACACCTCACACGGCCGGGTACTCCTCTGAGACAAAACTTCCAGAGGAATGATCAGGCAGCAGCATTTGCGGTTCACCAATATCTGCTGTTCTGCAGCCACCACTGCTGATACCCAGGCAAACAGGGTCTGGAGTGGACCTCCAGCAAACTCCAACAGGCCTGCAGCTGAGGGTCCTGACTGTTAGAAGGAAAACTAACAAACAGAAAGGACATACACACCAAAAACGCATCTGTACATCACCATCATAAAAGACCAAAGGTAGATAAAACCACAAAGATGTGGAAAAAACAGAGCAGAAAAACCGGAAACTCTGAAAATCAGAGTGCCTCTCCTCCTCCAAAGGAACGCAGCTCCTCACCAGCAATGGAACAAAGCTGGACGGAGAATGACTTTGATGAGTTGAGAGAAGAAGGCTTCAGAAGATCAAACTACTCTGAGGTAAAGGAGGAAGTTTGAACCAATGGCAAAGAAGTTAAAAACCTTGAAAAAAAATTAGATGAATGGATAACTAGAATAACCAATGCAGAGAAGTCCTTAAAGGACCTGATGGAGCTGAAAGCCATGGCACGAGAACTACGTGACGAATGCACAAGCCTCAGTAGCTGAGGCAATCAACTGGAAGAAAGGGTATCAGCAATGGAAGATGAAATGAATGAAATGAAGCGAGAAGTTTAGAGAAAAAAGACTAAAAAGAAACGAACAAAGCCTCCAAGAAATATGGGACTATGTGAAAAGACCAAATCTACGTCTGATTGGTGTACCTGAACGTGATGGGGAGAAT
This sequence comes from Homo sapiens, assembly GCF_000001405.40. Taxonomy (NCBI): domain Eukaryota; kingdom Metazoa; phylum Chordata; class Mammalia; order Primates; family Hominidae; genus Homo; species Homo sapiens. The sequence goes on along the minus strand of NC_000023.11, from coordinate 74,099,682 downwards.
GGAACCAAGTTGGAAAACACTCTGCAGGATATTATCCAGGAGAACTTCCCCAATCTAGCAAGGCAGGCCAACATTCAAACTCAGGAAATACAGAGAACACCACAAAGATACTCCTCGAGAAGAGCAACTCCAAGACACATAATTATCAGATTCATCAAAGTTGAAATGAAGGAAAAAATGTTAAGGGCAGCCAGAGAGAAAGGTCGGGTTACCCACAAAGGGAAGCCCATCAGACTAACAGCTGATCTGTCGGCAGAAACTCTACAAGCCAGAAGAGTGTGGGGGCCAATATTCAACATTCTTTTATTTATTTATTTATTTATTTATTTTTTATACTATTTATTGATCATTCTTGGGTGTCTCTCGGGAATTTGGCAGGGTCATAGGACAATAGTGGAGGGAAGGTCGGCAGATAAACATGTGAACAAGGGTCTCTGTTTTTCCTAGGCAGAGGACCCTGCAGCCTTCCGCTGTGTTTGTGTCCCTGGGTACTTGAGATTAGGGAGTGGTGATGACTCTTAACGAGCATGCTGCCTTCAAGCATCTGTTTAACAAAGCACATCTTGCACCGCCCTTAATCCATTTAACCCTGAGTGGACATAGCACATGTTTCAGAGAGCACGGGGTTGGCGGTAAGGTTATAGATTAACAGCATCCCAAGGCAGAAGAATTTTTCTTAGTACAGAACAAAATGGAGTCCCCCATGTCTACTTCTTTCCACACAGACACAGTAACAATCCGATCTCTCTTTCTTTTCCCCACATTTCCCCCTTTTCTATTCGACAAAACTGCCATCGTCATCATGGCCCATTCTCAATGAGCTGTTGAGTACACTTCCCAGACGGGGTGGCGGCCGGGCAGAGGGGCTCCTCACTTCCCAGATGGGGCGGCCAGGCAGAGGCGCCCCCCACCTCCCAGACGGGGCGGCTGGCGGGGTGGGCGCTGCCGTCCACCTCCCTCCCGGACGGGGCGGCTGGCTGGGCGGGGGATGCCCCCCACCCCCTCCCAGATGGGGTGGCTGGCCGGGCGGGGGCTGCCCCCCACCTCCATCCCGGACAGGGCGGCTGGCCGGGCGGGGACTGCCCCCCACCTCCCGGACGGGGCGGCTGCCGGGCGGAGATGCTCCTCACTTCCCAGATGGGGCAGCTGCCGGGCAGAGGGGCTCCTCACTTCTCAGATGGGGCGGCCGGGCAGAGACGCTCCTCACCTCCCAGACGGGGTGGCGGTCGGGTAGAGACACTCCTCAGTTCCCAGACGGGGTTGCAGCCGGGCAGAGGCGCTCCTCACATCCCAGATGGGGCGGCGGCGCAGAGGCGCTCCCCACATCTCAGACGATGGGTGGCCGGGCAGAGACGCTCCTCACTTCCTAGATGGGATGGCGGCCGGGAAGAGGCGCTCCTCACTTCCCAGACTGGGTGGCCGGGCAGAGGGGCTCCTCACATCCCAGATGATGGGCGGCCAGGCAGAGACGCTCCTCACTTCCCAGACGGGGTGGCGGCCGGGCAGAGGCTGCAATGTCGGCACTTTGGGAGGCCAAGGCAGGCAGCTGGGAGGTGGAGGTTGTAGCGAGCCGAGATCACGCCACTGCACTGCGGCCTGGGCAACATTGAGCACTGAGTGAGCGAGACTCCGTCTGCAATCCCAGCACCTTGGGAGGCCGAGGCTGGCAGATCACTCGGGGTCAGGAGCTGGAGACCAGCCCGGCCAACAGGGCAAAACCCCATCTCCACCAAAAAAATACGAAAACCAGTCAGACGTGGCAGTGCGCGCCTACAATCCCAGGAACTCAGCAGGCTGAGGCAGGAGAATCAGGCAGGGAGGTTGCAGTGAGCCGAGATGGCGGCAGTACAGTCCAGCCTTGGCTTGGCATCAGAGGGAAACTGTGGAAAGGGGAGACGAGGGAGAGGGAGACCGTAGAAAGGAAAGAGAGGGGTAGAGGGAGAAGGAGAGGGGGGAGAGGGAGAGGGAGAGCTCAACATTCTTAAAGAAAAGAATTTTCAACCCAGAATTTCATATCCAGCCAAGCTAAGCTTCATAAGTGAAGGAGAAATAAAATCCTTTACAGACAAGCAAATGCTGAGAGAATTTGTCACCACCAGGACTGCCCTAAAAGAGCTCCTGAAGGAAGCACTAAACATGGAAAGGAACTACCAGTACCAGCCACTGCAAAAACATGCCAAAATGTAAAGACCATCAAGGCTAGGAAGAAACTGCATCAACTAACGAGCAAAATAACCAGCTAACATCATAATGACAGGATCAAATTCACACATAACAATATTAACCTTAAATGTAAATGGGCTAAATGCTCCCAATTAAAAGGGACAGACTTGCAAATTGGATAGAGTCGAGACCCATCAGTGTGCTATATTCAGGAAACCCATCTCACGTGCAGAGACACACATAGGCTCAAAATAAAGGGATGGAGGAAGATCTACCAAGCAAATGGAAAACAAAAAAAGGCAGGGGTTGCAATCCTAGTCTCTGATAAAACAAGACTTTAAACCAACAAAGATCAAAAGAGACAAAGAAGGCCATTACTTAATGGTAAAGGGATCAATTCAACAAGAGCTAACTATCCTAAATATATATGCACCCAATACAGGGGCACCCAGATTCATAAAGCAAGTCCTGAGTGACCTACAAAGAGACTTAGACTCCCACACATTAATATAGGGAGATTTTAACACCCCACTGTCAACATTAGACAGATCAAGTTGGCTTCATCCCTGGGATGCAAGGCTGGTTCAACATACGCAAATCAATAAACGTAATCCAGCATATAAACAGAACCAAAGACAAAAACCACATGGTTATCTCAATAGATGCAGAAAAGGCCTTTGACAAAATTCAACAAGTCTTCATGCTAAAAACTCAATAAATTAGGTACTGATGGGACGCATCTCAAAATAATAAGAGCTATCTATGACAAACCCACAGCCAATATCATACTGAATGGACAAAAACTGGAAGCATTCCCTTTGAAAACTGGCACAAGATAGGGATGCCCTCTCTCACCACTCCTATTCAACATAGTGTTGGAAGTTCTGGCCAGGGCAATCAGGCAGGAGAAGGAAATAAAGGGCATTCAATTAGGAAAAGAGGAAGTCAAATTGTCCTTGTTTGCAGATGACATGATTGTATATCTAGAAAACCCCATTGTCTCAGCCCAAAATCTCCTTAAGCTGATAAGCAACTTCAGCAAGGTCTCAAGATACAAAATCAATGTGCAAAAATCACAAGCATTCTTATACACCAATAACAGACAGAGAGCCAAATCATGAGTGAACTCCCATTCACAATTGCTTCAAAGAGAATAAAATACCTAGGAATCCAACTTACAAGGGATGTGAAGGACCTCTTCAAGGAGAACTATAAACCACTGCTCAATGAAATAAAAGAGGATACAAACAAATGGAAGAACATTCCATGCTCATGGGTAGGAAGAATCAATATTGTGAAAATGGCCATACTGCCCAAGGTAATTTATAGATTCAATGCCACCCCCATCAAGCTACCCACGACTTTCTTCACAGAATTGGAAAAAAACTACTTTAAAGTTCATATGGAACCAAAAAAGAGCCCTCATTGCCAAGTCAATCCTAAGCCAAAAGAACAAAGCTGGAGGCATCACGCTACCTGACTTCAAACTATACTACAAGGCTGCAGTAACCAAAACAGCATGATACTGGTACCAAAACAGAGATATAGACCAATGGAACAGAACAGAGCCCTCAGAAATAATGCCGCATATCTACAACTCTCCGATCTTTGACAAACCTGAGAAAAACAAGCAATGGGGAAATGATTCCCTATTTAATAAATGGTGCTGGGAAAACTGGCTAGCCAGATGTAGAAAGCTGAAACTGGATCCCTTCCTTACATCTTATACAAAAATTAATTCAAGATGGATTAAAGACTTAAATGTTAGACCTAAAACCATAAAAGCCCTAGAAGAAAACCTAGGCAATACCATTCAGGACATAGGCATGGGCAAGGACTTCATGTCTAAAACACCAAAAGCAATGGCAACAAAAGCCAAAATTGACAAATGGGATCTAATTAAACTAAAGAGCTTCTGCACAGCAAAAGAAACTACCATCAGAGTGAACAGGCAACCTACAGAATGGGAGACAATTTTTGCAACCTACTCATCTGACAAAGGGCTAATATCCAGAATCTAAAATGAACTCAAACAAATTTACAAGAAAAAAACAAACAACCCCATCAACAAGTGGGTGAAGGATATGAACAGACACTTGTCAAAAGAAGACATTTATGCAGCCAACAGACACATGAAAAAATGCTCATCATCACTGGCCATCAGAGAAATGCAAATCAAAACCACAATGAGATACCATCTCACACCAGTTAGAATGGTGATCATTAAAAAGTCAGGAAACAACAGGTACTGGAGAGGATGTGGAGAAACAGGAACACTTTTACACTTTTGTTGGGACTCTAAGCTAGTTCAACCATTGTGGAAGTCACTGTGGCAATTTTTCAGGGATCTAGAACTAGAAATACCATTTGACCCAGCCATCCCATTACTGGGTATATACCCAAAGGACTATAAATCATGCTGCTCTAAAGACACATGCACACGTATGTTTATTGCGGCACTATTCACAATAGCAAAGACTTGGAACCTACCCAAATGTCCAGCAATTATAGACTGGATTAAGAAAATGTGGCACATATACACCATGGAATACTATGCAGCCATAAAAAATGATGAGTTCATGTCCTTTGTAGGGACATGGATGAAGCTGGAAACCATCATTCTCAGCAAACTATTGCAAGGACAAAAAACCAAACACCGCATGTTGTCACTCATAGGTGGGAATTGAACAATGAGAACACATGGACACAGGAAGGGGAACATCACACGCCAGGGCCTGTTGTGGGGTGTGGGAGGGGGGAGGGATAGCATTAGGAGATATACCTAATGCTAAATGAAAAGTTAATGGGTGCAGCACACCAACATGGCACATGTATACATATGTAACAAACCTGCACGTTGTGCACATGTGCCCTAAAACTTAAAGTATAATAATAATAAAATTTTAAAAAATAAATAAATAAATAAATAAAAGCTCACACATTGCCATCTCACTAGGGTCAATCACTGGTTCCTTGCTTTGTCCATTTGGGAAAGCTATGATTTTATGTTTGCTTTTATTTTTTCTAGACTTTTGTCTATGAAAGATTAGTGATTTATTCCAGTCTTTGCTGGCTGGCTTGCTTTGGTATTTCTATGGTGTGTTTGTTTAGAAGTTCTTTGAAGTTTGCCTGTTGAGCACCCTTAATCCTAGATCATTGCCTCCTTTTCGGCACTAGATAGCACCTTAAGCCCAGGATTGCCTCAATTCTTGGTCACGTTTGGAGCACTGGTCATCCAAGATAAAGGGGTTTCCAAAGGAAATACCCTGGTTGTGTGGGAAGGCTGGCTAGAAGTTGTTGCTCAAAGTACCCATGATGCATGCCTCCTCCAGCATGGTGCTGCTGAAAGCCACTCTTATTTGGCATCCCTTTTGGTTCGGATAAAGAGCAAAATTTTCCAGGTTGGGGTTGCTAGTCACATCTCCCTTCTTTGTCTCTAGCTTCCCTCAAAATTTTTCATCCCTATTGGCCTTACAATATTTTTGTGGGTTGAGACAGAAACATTTTTCCTGTGAGAGTACAAGATAGTGTGGAAGCTGACTGTCTGCTTCAGTCTAACGTTTTCTAGTGTAGAAACTGTGAGTCCAGGGGGAATTGTCTATGCACAGTGCCCAGCAGATTTGGGGACAGTCCGTTCCTCTTAGTGTCCACTTGAAGTTCTTTTTACTTCTCTGTGTTCCTGGGGAAATCCCAGCATCAGATTTTAGTTATAGATATTTCTGGTTGAAATCTTGATGCTAGATATTATTTGTTTGTTTTTGTTTGTTTGTTTTTGTTTTTGTTTGTTTGTTTTGCTTTCTTTGGAGGTAAGTGAAGACAGATTGCTTCTATTCTATTCTGCCATCTTGGTAATATCACTCCCTTTATGTCTTCCGTTTCTTTTATTTGTCTAATTGCTCTGGCTAGACTTTTCAGTACTTTGATGAACAGAAATGTTGAGAGTGGGTATCTGTCTTTCTTCTGGTCTTAGAGAAAAAGCACTCAACTTTTCACCATTGAGTATAATGCTAGCTGTGGGCTTGTCATAGATGACCTTTATTATGTTGAGATACAGTGCTTTTATACCAAATTTGTTGAATTTTAATCATGAAAGAAGTTGGATTTTGTCAAATGCTTTTTCTGCATCTATTGAGATGATATAATTATATACTTTATTCTGTTAATTTGGTGTATTGCATTTATTGATTTGTCCATGTTAAAGCATCACTGCATCCCAACGATAAATCCCAGTTGATTGTGGTATATGATCTTTTAAACGTGCTGTTGAATTTAGCTTGCTAGTATTTGGTTGAAGATTTTTGCATCTATGTTCATCAGAGTTATATGTGTGTAACTTTCTATTCCTATGGTGTCCATATCTGCCTTTGGTATTAGGGTACTGCTGGTCTCATAAAATGACTTTGGACCTGTTCTCTCTTCTTCAGTTTTTTTGGGAGAGTTTGAGAAGTGTTGGCATTAATTATTCTCCAAATATTTGATAGAGTTCACTATTGAAGCCATCTTATTCTGGTATTTTCATTGTTGGGAGGTTTTATTACTGATTTAATTTCCTTGCTCATTATTGATTTGTCCATATTTGCTATATTTCCATGATTCAGTCTTGGTAGGTTGTATGTTTCTAGGAATTTATCCATTTCTTCTAGGTTATCCAATTGTTGGAATATAATTTTTCATAGCACTGTCTTATGATCCTTTGTATTTCTGTGGCGTTAGTTGTAATGCCTTCTTTTTAATTTGTAATTTTATTTTAGAGACAGAGTCTTGCTCCATCACCCAGGCTGGAGTGCAGTGGTGTGATCTCAGCTCACTGCATCCTCTGCCTCCCAAGTTCAAGTGTTTCTTCTGCCTCAGCCTCCCAAGTAGCTGGGATTACAGGTGCACACCATCACACCTGGCTGATTTTTTTGTATTTTTAGCAGAGACATTGTTTCACCGTGTTGGCCAGGCTGGTCTCAAACTCCTGACCTCATGATCCACCCACCTCAGCTTCCCAAAGTGCTGGGATTAAGGCATGAGCCACTGTGCCTGGCCTTCAATTTATAATTTTATTTATTTGTGTCCGCTTTCATTTTTTTCATGGCTAGTCTTGCTAAAGATTTGTGATTTTTTTAACAAAACAACTTTTATTTTCATTAATTGTTTCCATTTTATTCTACTGTTTCATTTATTTCTGCTCTGTTCTTCATTATTCCTTTACTTCTACTAACTTTGGACTTAGGTTGTTCTTTTCTAGTTCCTTGAGGTGTAACATTAGGTTGTTTATTTGTAATCTTTTTTCTTTTTTGATGTAGAAGTTACTGCTATAAACTTCTGTCTTAGAACTGCTTTTGCTGGTCACATAAGTTTTGTATTTTGTATTTCCATTTTCCTTTGTCTCAAGATGTTTTAAATTTTTCTTAAAATGATCTCTTTGACCTATTGGTTGTTCAAAAGTATGTTGTTGAATTTTCACATGTAAGCATTTGCCCATTTATGATGGGAGTATATTCTGAGAAATATGTTATTAGGTGATCTCATCATTGTGCAAACATCATAGAGTGTGTTATACAAACCTAGATGGTATAGCTTACTGTACTTTTAGGCTGTATTGTATAGCCTATTACTCCTAGGCTACAAACCTATACAGCATGTTACTGTACTGAATACTGTAGGCAATTGTAACAATGGTATTGTGTTTCTAAACTTAGAAAAGGTAATGTGTGGTAATGTCTTGATCTATGTCGTTATAACAGCTACAACATCAAAAAGTAATAGGAATTTTACGGCTGCATTGCAATCTTATGTGACTGCCATTGTATATGCAGTTCATTGTTGACCAAAACATCATTATGTGTTGTATGACTATATTTGTGAGTGATATAGTTTGGATATTTGTCCCCATGAAAGCATGTTGAAATGTAATCCCAAAGTCAATGGATCATGGGAATGGATTTCTCTTAAATGATTTAGCACCATTAGCTTGGAGCTGTCCTCATGATAGTGAGTGACCCTTCATAAGATATAGTTGTTTAAAAGTATGTGGCACAGGGCTCACGCCTGTAATCTCAGCACTTTGGGAGGCCAAGGTGGGCGGATCACCTGAGGTTGGGAGTTTGAGACCAGCCTGACCAACATGGAGAAACCCTGTCTCTACTAAGAATACAAAATTAGCCGGGCGTGGTGGTGCATGCCTGTAATCCCAGCTACTCGGGAGGCTAAGGCAGGAGAATCACTTGAACCCAGGAGGCAGAGGTTGCAGTGAGCCATGATTACACCACTGCCCTCCAACCTGGGCAACAAGAGTGAAACTCCATCTCAAAAAAAAAAAAAAAAAAAGGAAAAGTGTGTGGCACCTTCCCCACCCTTTGCTCCTGCTTTCACATGTGATGTGCCTACCCCTGCTTTGCTTTTTGCCATGATTGTAAGAAGCCCAACTCCTCACAAGAAGCCAAGCAGATGCTGACACCATGCTTCATGTACAGCCTGCAGAACTGTGAGTCAATTAAACCTCTTTTCTTTACACATTACCCAGTCTCAGATATTTCTTTATAGCAATGCAATAACAGCCTAACACAGAAATTTGGTTTTGAGGAATGGGACATTGCTATAAAAATATGGAATAGGCTTTGGAACTGGGTAGCAGGCAGAGATTTGAAGAGTTTGGAGGCCTCAGAAGAAGATAGGAAGATGAGGGAAAGTTTGGAACTTGTTAGAGACTGGTTAAATGGTTGTGACCAAAATGCTTATAGTGATATAGACAGTGAAGTCCAGGCTGATGAGGCCTTATATTGAAATAAGCAATTTATTGGGAACTGGAGCAAAGTTCACCCTTCTTACACCTTAGCAAAGAACTTGGCTATATTGTGTCCATGCCCTGGAGATCTGTGGAAGCTTAAACTTAAGAGTGACAAACTAGGATATCTGATGGAGGAAATTTCTAAGCAGCAAAGTATTCAATAAGTGGCATGGCTACTCCTAACGGCATATACCCAGATGCAAGAGCAAATAAATGACTTAAGTTGGGAATGTATATTTAAAGATAAAGCAGAGTGTTAAAGATTGGAAAATTTGCAGGATAGCCACATGGCAAATAAAGGAAATGATTTTTGGGGAGAGGAATCCAAGCAGGCTGCAGAGCAAGCACTTGCTAGAGAGATTTGCCTGACTAAAAGGAATCCAGGTGCTGATAGCCAAGACAATAGAAAAAAGGCCTCAATGGCATTTCGGAGATCTTTAATGCAGCCCTTCCCATCAAGGGCCCAGAGGCCTAGGAGGACTGAATGGTTTCATTGGCCAGGCCCAGGGCACCAGTGCCCTGCACCACCCAGTGGTATGATTTTGTTTTTGTTTTTGTTTTTTGAATATGCTTTGCATTGTTTTATGTTTGATTGTCCCGTCAATTTTAGAGTATGTGCCCTGTGGCAATGAGACGGATGTATATTCTGTTGTTTTGGGTAGAAACTTCTGTAGATGTCTATTAGGTCCATTTGGTCAAATATTGAGTTCAGGTCCTGAATATCTTTATTAATTTTCTGCTTTGATGATCTGTCTAATACTGTCAGTGGGGTGTTGAAGTCTTCTAGTATTATTGTGTAGTCATCTAAGTCTCTTTGTAGGTCTCTAAGAACTTGCCTTATGAATCTGGGTGCTCCTGTGTTGGGGGCATATATATTTAGGATAGTTAGATTTCTTGTTCAATTGAATCCTTTATCAGTATACAATGCTCTTCTTTTTCTTTTTTGATCTTTATTGGTGTAAAGTCTGTTTTGTCTGAAATTAGGATAGCAACTCCTACTTTTTTTCTATTTGCCATTTTCTTGGTAGATTTTTCTCCATCCCTTTATTTTGTGCCTATTTGTGTCATTGCATGTGAGATGGGTCTCTTGGTCACAGCATGCCATTGGATCATGCTTCTTTATTCTTTATTTATTCAGCTTGCCACTCTGTGCCTTTTAATTGGGGCATTTAGCCCATTTTCATTCAATGTTAGTATTAATGTGTGCAGATTTGTTCCTTTCACTATGTTGTTAGCTGGTTATTATGCAGACTTGTTTGTGTGGTGCTTTCTAATGTCATTGGTCTGTGTACTTAAGTGTGTTTTTGTTGTGGCATGGCTTCTAATGGTTTTTCCTTTCCATATTTCACACTCCTTTTAGGACCTCTTGAAAGGCAGATCTGTTGGTAATGAATTTCCTTAGCATTTACTTGTCTGAAAAGGATCTTATTTTTCTTTCACTCGTGAAACTTAGTTTGGTTGCCTCTGGGACTCCTCTCCAGGGAAACTTAGAGCCACTACTAGTGGGTATGGTCAGCTGTGGGTGGGGTGGCTCATCTGTGGTCCTGATACAGGGACCCTAAATAGTAGGGGGTAGGGGCTCACAGGGAAGAAGTACTGGCTGCCTCTTTGTGTGGCGGCTGTGGTGTTCTGGAGGTTCCAACATAGTGACTAGGTCCTCTGTTCCTTCCCTACCCTAGGGCTGTTAGGGTGCTACCAGTGCAGCTGCAATGGTGGAGGAGTTGTGGGTTGTTTCGGGGATTTTCTCCTCAGAGAACTGAAGAACTGTCTTTAACCAAAGTATTCGTGTGGGAGCAGGGTAGATGTTCTGCAGTCCCAGGTTGGAAGGCCCTGCCTAGTAAGGAGAAGCAGGATTGGGGACCCATGTAGAAAATAGTCTTGCCACTTTTTCTGTGGAGTGGCTGCATCAGCTGGTGATATGCCCCAGTCTCTAGTCACTGCTCACTCCCTGGAGCCTGAAGGGAACAATGGTGAGGACTGTGAGACAGCAAAACTGGTGGCCTGCTTCTCCCTGTGGGAGCTCTGTCCCAGGGAAGTGCAGAGCTGCTGCTAGCCTGAGAGCCCTGACAGGGGGTGGGCTGGAGTCCCTGGTCGGAAGGTCCTGCCCAGTGAGGAGAAGCAGGATCATGGATCTGTGCACTAACAGTCTGTCTGTTTTTCTGTGGGGTGGCTGCATTTTGCTCAGGATCTGTGACAGTCCCTAACCACCACACAGTCTCCAGAGCCTGAAGGCAACAGTGGTGAGGGTTGCAAGACAGCAAAAATAATGGCTTGCCTCTCCCTGTGGGTGCTCCATCCCAGAGTTCAGAGCTGATACTGGCCTGAGAGCTCTAGCAGTGGGTGGCTGGAGTCCCGGACCAGTGAGTCTTATCCTCCGAGGTGCAGCAGAGGCAAGGCCTGCAGGCTCTCGCTGTTCAGCCCTATGTATTTGGCACATTTCCTGAGTGCACACGAGGGAGCCTGACTTCCTCCATTGCTGGAGATGCAGCCACCAATACCAGGATGCCTGGGGATCCAAGGCTTCTGGGACTCCACGTGTACCTGAACAGTGGTGCTGCCCAGACTCCATGTAGCTCTGCATATCAGTGTAAAGGCCCCAGTGGCATGGGCTCATGAGGGCTCATGAAGGTTGCAAAGGTCTGTGGGAAAAGTATGGATCTCCAGGGACTTTCACTCACTCACCATTTCCCTGTGCTGGAAAAACCTCCCCTGGCTTGATGCTACTCCCAGGTGGGCAGTCATCTTGTCTCGCTCCTCTCCATTCTCTGTGGGTTGAGTTGTTTCTTTGTCTTCCTGGATGTTTCAGTTGAAGATCTAGTATTTACTCACCACTTTTTCTTCTCTCCATGAAAGTGGTGCACATTAGTTGCTTCTAGTTAGCCATCTTGGCCCTGCCCCCAATAATACTACTTTTACAAAAATATGTTTCAGAGCTGATCCTGCTAAGTTAATTATCCTGGTTATCTTGTGACTCATTTTGTATCAATTATCTGTTGCTGCATAACAAAGTACCACAAATTTAGCAGCGTAAAACAACACACATACATTCATTATCTCCCAGCTGTTGTGACTCAGCAATGTGGGGCTGGCTTAGGTGGATCCTCTGACTAGTTCTCATAGGCTGCAATTAAGGTGTTGCCCAGGGCTGAGTACTCATCTGGAGACTTGATTAGGTCCCAAATATGTGAGAACATATGATATTTGTCTTTTTGTGCCTGGCTTATTTACCTTAAGATAAAGTCCTTTAGTTCCATCCATGTTTCAGCAAATGACATGATTTTATTCTTTTTTATGGCCAATTAGTATTTCATTGTGTGTGTGTGTGTGTGTGTGTGTGTGTGTGTGTATTTTTTCTTTATCCATTCACAATTAATGGACACTGCAGTTGATTACATATCTTCACCATTGTGAATAGTGCTGCAGTAAAAATGTGAGAGTGGGTATCCATTTGATATATTGATTTTTTTTTCCTTTGGCTGGATGACCAGTAGTGAGATTGCTGAATTGAATGGTAATTCTATTTTTAGTTTTTAAAGAAATCTCCATATTGTTTTCCATAGTGGCTATAATAGTTTACATTCTCACCATCAGTGTATTCCCTTTTCTCCACATCCCCACCAATATCTGTTATTTTTTGTCTTTTTAGTAATAGCCATTATTTTCAGCTATAAACAGTGTTAGTAGTATTTGTGATGAACTCAGTGGCTTAGAGTATAGTTATTAATGGAGGCTGTGGTGAAGTTCTTGTATGCCTGATGGGCCAGTCTTCAGGTGCCAGTAGTGTCAGTGGTGGGTTGAACATGCCTGTATTTGGGCCTCAGGGTGGCATATGTTGGCATCTGTGTATGTAGGTTCAGGTGGGCTGATTCCTGGTCCTCTAAGTGGCTTGCTCATTTGCTGGTAGTAGCAATGATAATCTGGGCATGTTGGTGACTTCTTGAGTCTCTAGAGAGTGGTTATGATGTGCACAACGGCAGTAGTGATGGTGGAGCAACCTATTGGAACCCAAGTAGTTTATGATGGTGTTGGCAGTGGCTATGACAGGTTGGGTGGATTAGTCACCTGGCCCATTGGTGGTACATGTGGGTGGGTGTCAGCTGTGATGGTATTGGTAGGTTTTTTTGGCCCAACTTTATACACCAGGAGGGGTGTTCAGGTACCAATGTTGGTGGACTTGGCTGGGTGGTTTCCATGCCCCTGATAGCATGCTTGAATACTGATAAGTTAGGACTGGATGAGTGGACTTGTTCTCAGGCTCCCTGGTAGTCCATTCAAGTGCTGGCTTTGACTGGTAGGAACAGGGTGGTCCCCCGGCTGCCAGAAGGATACTCAGGTGTAGGCAGCAGTGGCTGCATTGTGGGCCTTCCACTGGGGAGGGTGAGGCCATTCTTAGCGAGATCAATGTAGGGAGGTAGCTGTAGGATGCATGGTTTCCTTGCATTTTTATCCCACAGCATCCCACAGTAGCATTGGTGGAATTTATCTTCATAGCATGTGAAAGTGCCCAGTATTCCCTCTCCCAGTGTGGCCCAGTAGCTGCAGTGGCATTGTCAGCCCTAGCCCCAGAGCAGAACACAGCCTTTTGGAGTATAGGCTCTCAGAATGGTGCTGGCTCTGGGCCTGCAATCAGGAAGGTCATAGTCCTTTCCAGCTGGAGCAGTGTAGGCAGGTAGCTGTGGGGAGCATGGTTTGTTTGTGCTTTGGTCTCACAGCAGCCCACAGCAATGGTGGTGGAATTTGTCCTTGCATCATGTGAAAGTGCCTGGCCTCCCCCCTTTTCCTCCTTGGCCCAGCAGTGGAAGCAGCAGCAGCAGCAGCCCAGGACTCAGGGCAGGATGCAGCCCTTTTGAGTCTAGGCTCTCATAATGGTGCTAGCTGTGGGCCTGTGATCAGGGATGGTGAGGCCCTTCTCAGCAGGAGCAGCATAGGTGGACAACAGTGGGGAGTGTGGTTTGCTTGCACTTTGGTCCCATAGCAGCTTGCAGCAGCAGTGGTGGAATTTGTGTTTGCAATGAGTAAAAATGCTTGCCCTCTCCTTTCCCTCCTTGGCCTGGGGCAGCAGCAATGGCATCAACCCCGGGACAGCACACAGTCTCTTGGGGGCTTAACTCTCAGAATGGCACCAAGCTGCAGCTGCTTGGGGCTCAGAAGCCTTTGGGACTTAGTTATCTCTTTGGAGAAATGCCTTTGCACAATCTCTAGGAATCTCCTTATATTAGTCTTGAGGTCTGCATGGGTCAAGTAGTTCTCCTGTAACTGGGATTATGATAGTCTGTATTGGGAATATGGAGCCCTGGGGGACTCCCACTTACCCCTTCCTCATGTCTGTGTGCCTCTTCCAGGTCCTAGCCCATTCTGGCTGAGCAGGCTACCTAGATTCCCTCTCCTTTGCTTTCAGTGCTTCCTGTCATTTCTCCCTTGAATCCCAATGTTCTCTCTTAGATTATCTATTTGAAGTGTGAATACCTACTTGCTATTTTGGTTCTTCTCCAAGGAGGCATATTCTAGCTGCATCTATTGGCTGGCTTGAACCAAACTTCAGTGTTTTCATTTGTTATTTGTACTGCCATTACTCACTTGAGTTTATTACCTCTTGGGCATGTTTCAGCATAGTCTTTGCTTATGAGATATGCTTTGTAAGTTCAGTAAACTCTTTTTCATGTTTATTTTGTTTATATCTGAGTTTAGTTTTCTAATTTCTGATGCAAGGTAGTGTTTTTTATACTCTCAAGTGCTTGTTTGAGTGTACTTATTTATGAACTATTAACTTATCGTTTCTTTGTTCCATGTTTGTTTATTATGGAACATTTCATTTGATATGGGTAAAATTTTATTACCTGATATTTTGCAGTATTTTTGTATGGACTTGCTGAGCTTCCTTTTGTTCACTTTTGTGGTATTGTCATGTTTGAGAGGATTTGGAGTTGAAGCATGAAATTATCTGTCAATACAGCACAGTCCAGATACATGCTCAGGGTTTTGTTTCTTTGTTTGCTATAATAGTGTAAGGGGTTGTAAATTCTCCAGTTTTATAGCTCTGTTTTCTCTCGCAGAATCCTAAATTTGGGGCAAGGCTGGGTGGGTGGGGGGGCAATTTGTAAATCCTCCAGTTTTATGGTTCTATTTTTTTTTTTTTTTTGTAGAAGCCTTATTTTCCCCCTTTTCCTTTTTCTACTTTTCACCACCCAGTTGCTGTAGGATTCTTCCGTTTTCCTTTGGCATCTTTTGTCATTATCCAGAACCTACACATTTTGAAGAGTGCTGGCTTATTGTGCCTTTTAATGTGCTTCTACTTCTTTAAATCATCTTTTAAAGGCACACATCCTTTAAAATATCATCCCTATAGTCAATGTTCTGATCTTCCCAGATAGTCTTCCAGTATTTTCAGAATTGTGTTGGACAATCCTTTTGGCAGTTAATCCAGGTCACCTATAGCCCCCTTATTGGCCTCCCTCTTCTGTGTTCTCTACAGTTTTTCATGATTTTCCTTTGCTTGCCACAAATCCTTCATGAGGGGAGGAATGGGGTGAAGGTAAGCAAGATCATACACTTTGATTTGATAATTTACTTATCATTATTCACAATTATTTGCAGTTTTGGCATTTTTTGTCTTCAAGTTATGTTGGAGCATATTTTGGCTTAGGATTTAACTTTTCCCTGTGTTATTTCATATACCTTGGAGAAGAAATTTTGGGAGGTAGGTGACTATGCATTTACCCATGTCTTTGTAAACCCAGAAATATCTGCTGAGATTATTTTATAGACTACCTTAAATTTATACATCAATTTTAGAAAAAAGTTGTTTTCTTAATGTTGAATCTTCCAATCCATGTGCATTTTATATATATAATTTACTTTATCTCATCAATGTTTGTCAGTTTTAGTGTTCAGGTGTTGGACTTTTGCTTTAATTTATTTCTAAAAATTACATTATTCTGATGTTATTGTGAATGGAATTTTTTCTTAATATTTTTTGACTTGTTCATTGCTATTATATAATGATACAATCTATTTTTATGTGCTAATCATGGGTTTCTGTGACCTTGTTAAACTTGCTTATTAGTTTTGGTAGTTCTAGTAGTTTTTTGGTAAGTTCCTTGGGATTCTTTTTTCAACAACCACTTGTCCAACAGAATCTTGGGATTTTTTTTTTTTGTTTTAAAAAAACATATGAGATTCTGTCACATGAGAATAAATACAATTTTACTTCTTTTTCCAGTCCGTATGCCTTTAGTTTCTCTTTTTTGGCATGACTGTCTTGGCTGAAACTTTCGGTTGAGCATAAATGGCAAGAGTGAACATCTTTTCTTTTACTAATCTTATAGAGAAATTTCTTAGACTTTTACCATTAAGTGTGATTTTAATGGCGGTTGTTTAATAGATGATTTTACCAGTATAAGAATGCTTTCTTCTATTCCTTGTTTTTGAGAATTTTCATCATGACTGAGAATTAGATTTTTGTCAAATGATCTTTCTTCATCTATAAAGAAGTTGATGTGGTTTTTGCATTGTATTCTATTGCAGTATATTACATCAATTTTTTTGTTTGTTAAGTCAACTTTGCATTCCTGCAAAAGACTCCTTTTTTACAATATAGAAATGTTTTATACACTTCTAAATTTTATTTGCTGATATTTTATTAAGATTTCTTAAAATGTATTAGAAATATTGTTTTATAATTTTATCTTTTTGTTATGTCTTTGATAGTATTATCAGAGTAGTATAGACCTTATAAAATGAGGTGACACAAACAACAAACAACTTAAACGAGCATTTTTTAATATGTTTGTTGGCCATTTGTATATCTTCTTTTGAGAAATGTCTATTCATGTCCTTTGCTCACTTTTAAACGGGATTATTTGTTTTTAAAATGTTATTATGAACTCATAGATTCAAACATAGTTACTATGTTTCCATCCATTGCCTTTATTATTATTTTATTCTTCTAGATTTAGGGGTACAAGTGCAGTTGTGTTACATGGATATATTATGTGGTGATAATGTTGGGGTTTCAAGGGAACTCAAGAGCCAACTTCAAGAGGCTTCCACCAGACAAATATGGTACAATTTGAGCATCAATAATATCTGTTGTTTTTTGACTTTTAAATAATGGCCACTCTAACTGGGATGATTGGATTTAAAATGCAATATATATATATATATATATATATATATATATATATATATATATATATATATACACACATACATATACACACACATACATACACACACTATGGAATACTACTCAACCATACAAAAAGAATAAAATCATATGTTTTACAGCAGTACAGCTAGAACTGGAGGCATTATCCTAAGTGAAATGACTCGGAAACAGAAAGTCAAAATCCACATGTTCTCACTTAAAACTGGGAGCTAAGCAATGTGTACATGTGGACATACAGAGTGGAATAACAGACGTTGGAGACTACAAAAGGTGGGATGGTTGGGAGTGAGATGAGGGATTAAATACTACCTAATGGGTACAATGTACACTATTTGGGTGATGAGTACACTGTATTTCTTTTAAATAATAGATTCCACCAGAGATGCCACATAGGCCTGGGCTTTCATTGTGAGAAGCTTTTAAGTTTGGAATTCAACTTTTTATTTGACCGAGGCCTATTCATATGGTCTATTTTTTTAGAAACAATTGGTAATTTATGTCTTTGTCAGAATTTGTACATTTTATCTGAGTTTTATTATTTGTTGGTATAAAGATTTTCATAATATTCTTTTATAAATCTTCTAATATCTATGGGTTCTTTGATATTGTTCCCATTTTCATTCCTGATTTTGATAATTTGTGTCTTCTCTCTTTTTTCCTTATTCATCATGAACTTTTATCAATTTTGTTGATCTTCTCCAAGAATCAAGATTAGTTTTAAGTATTATTTTTTCTATATATTTGTGTTTTCAATTTTACTCGTTTATTTTTTGTTCTTTATTATTTTCTTCCTCCTACTTATTTTGTGTTTGGTGTGATGCTATATTTTCTTTACTTTTTTTTTTTTTTTTGAGATGGAGTCTCACTCTCTGACCCAGACTAGAGTGCAGTGGCATGATCTTGGCTCACTGAAGCCTCTGCCTCCCGGGTTCCAGCGATTCTCCTGCCTCAGCTTCCTGGGTAGCTGGGATTACAGGCACACACCACCATGCCTGGCTAATTTTTGTATTTTTAGTAGCGATGGTATTTCACCATGTTGGCCAGGCTGGTCTCAAACTCCTGACCTCAGGTGATCTACCCACCTCAACCTCCGAAAGTGCTAGGATTACAGGCATGAGCCACTGTGCCCAGCCTGTTTTCATATTCTTAAAAGCTTAGAATATTGATTGTAGATTTTCCTTCTTTAAACATTTTATTTTTGTTTTTTGTAAGGCGGACCAATATGGCAGAATAAAGGCTCCACTGATCATTTCACCTACAAGGACACCAATTTAACAACAATCTACACAGCAAAAAAACACCTTCATAAGAACCAAAAATCAAGTGAGCACTCATAGTACCTGGTTTTAACTTCATATTGCTGAAAGAGGCACTGAAAAGATAGCAAAAAACAGACCTGACTGGAGTCACCAACTCCATTCCCTCCCCCACCCTGTGGCAGTGCAGCATGGTACAGAGAGCATCTCTGGGCACTGTGGGAGGGAGAACACAGTTGTGAGGCATTGAATTCAGTACCAGAGTAGAGTAGAAAGGAAATAAAACTGAAAATCAGTAACAAGAGAGATTTTGGAAACTACACAAATGCATGGAAATTGAATAATATGCTCCCAAATTACCAGCAGGTCAATGAAGAAATTAAGAAGGAAATTGAAAAACTTCTTGAAACAAATGATAATGAATACCCAATATACAAAAACCCATGGGATACAGCAAAAGCAGTACTAAGAAGGAGGTTTGTATTTATAAGTGCCTATATCAAAAAAGAGGAAAAACTTCAAACATCTTATAAATCCTGTCAAAAATTAAAAGCAAAGTTATAAACCAAAATTACAATATTAATTACAAAATTACAAATTACAATATTACAATAATATTTGGTTATGTATCTATATGGACATCTTTACCTGAGACCTTTTACTGTCAGATAGCTTTGTGTTACTGTCAAGTATCTTTTTATTTTAACTTGAAGGACTTTCTTTGCATTTCTCATAGAGCAAGTCTAATGATAATGAATTACCTCAGCTTTTATTTATCTGGGAATGTCTTAATTTCTACCTCATTTTTATTTTTAAAGTATAGTGTTGATGGTTGTAGAATTCTCATTAGACAGATTTTTTCTTTTAATACTTTAAGAATGTCATCCCACTGTCTTCTGGACTGTAAGGTTTCTGCTGAGTAATCTGCTGATATTGGAGAATCCCTTGAATGTGATGAGTCACTTTTCTCTTGGTGCTTTCAGGATTTTCTCATTGTCTTTTGCTTTTAACAGCTTGACTATAAAGTGTCTAGGTGTATTTCTGGTTTATCCTACTTGGAGTTCATTGAGCTTCTTGAATTTGTACATTCATATCTTTCCTCAGATTTGGTAAACTTTCAGCCATATTTCTTCAAATAATCTTTCCTTTTTCTGTATCTCTTCTTCTTCTGGAACTCATACAATGTGTATATTAGGCCACTCAATTATGTCTTATAAATCCCTTTAGGCCCTGTTCACTTTCTTCCATTTCTTTTCTTTTTTTTTCTGACTCAATGATTTCAAATGACCTATGTTGAAACTCACTGATTCTTTTTTCTCCCTGTTTGAGTCTGCTGATAAATACCTCTAGTGAATTTTTCAATTCTTTTATTGTATTTTTAGCTCCAGAATTTTTTATATAGTTTCTATCTTTTTGTTTATATTCTCATTTTGTTCATAAAATGTTTTCCAGGCTTCCTTTAGTTCTTTGTTTCTATTTTCCTTTGGCTTTTTGAATATATGTAAGACAGTTGTTTTAAAGTTTCTGTCTAATAAGTCTGTTGAATGTCTCATCAGAGACTGTGTCTAGAAATTTAATTTATTCATTTGAATGGCCATCTTCCCCTATTTCTTTATATTCTTTGTCATCTTTTGTTGGAAATGGAACATTACAATATAACATCTATCCCAGTCTTTGAAGACTGCTATGAAGGCCTTTACTAACTAGGGGGTTGTTGAGCTTTGAGATCAGTCAGGAGTCAATGCTTAAGGGCTTCCCTGGTCTTTTGTGGGTATGAGTTCTGTCTGGGCTTCTGTATGTGTGCTGTATTTCCCCCCAGTTTACCTGAGATTATTAATATTTAAAACAGTATCACCCGAGGTTCTTCTCTGAGCCTTAGATATGCCATTATATTCCTCTACCCACAATCTATTGCTACCAGTCATGTGTGACTCTGTAGTACTTCTTCAGTATCACATGCTGCTGCACCTGCCACTCCCTTCTTCACCTTTCAGTCTAATATTCAAACTATGCACTGTTATCTCTCTGAGCTCCAAGACAGGTAAGACACATACCAGTCCCTTGGACACAGGCAATAACTTTACAATTAGCACTCTGCTTTTTCCATTTTAATGGAGGGGACCAGGGAGTGAGCCTCTTTCTTCTGACCATTTTGCTTTGTGCCAGTGAAGTGGTGGGGCAAGGGTGAGTAAAAACACCATGAAATTGCCTACGATTTTGAATGTGGCTTTTTCTTGACTGGGCATTTGTTTGTTTGTTTGGTTGTTTCAGTAGTATCTTGTCATCTAAGAAAAGAGAACAAATGAGGGTGGATAGTTGATTAAATCTTGATTTTTCTGACCATGCCTGTTTTATGAATTTGATATGGTAACTATGAAATAGTGTATAGAATTGTAAAACAAAACTATTTTTTAAAAAAAAATCTCTAAAACTCAAAAGAAAAATGAAATAATTGAATTTAACCATGTGACAGGTTGATGGCTTAACCACTCAGAAAGTTCTTTGAATGACTTTAAAACATAGTAATTTGTCATTTGACTATACGTTTTTAACAAAACATATCCTAAGTACAAAAAGAGCTACCAAAACAAAAATGAAACAAATGTAAAAACACTAAAGTGTTTAATTTTGTGGTGTGTGTATATGTGCATGTGTTTGGATAATGGAAATGTGCAACATTGTTAATATCGATAAAATTTGAATTTTCAATTTAAGAGAAAGGAGATACAAAAGTAACATCAATGAGGCTATGCAATCAGTATAATATCATGATGTATATTGTCATCACATACAAATGTATTCACGGCGGCTGCTGGCAATATGGCTGAATAGTAACAGCTCCAGTCTGCAGCTCCCAGTGAGACCAATGCAGAAGGCAGATAATTTCTGCATTTTCAACTGAGGTACCCTGTTCATTTTATTGGGACAGGTTAGGCAGTGGGTGCAGCCCATGGAGGGTGAGCAGAAGCAGGGTGGGGCATCACCTCACCCAGGAAGTGCAAGGAGCAGGGTAGCCTCCCCTTCCCAGCCAAGGGAAACCATGAGGGACTGTGCTATCCAGCCTAGATACTTTGTTTTTCCCACAGTTTTTGCAATTCACAGACCAGGAGATTCCCTCATGTGCCTACACCACCAGGGCCCTGGGTTTCAAGCACAAAACTGGGCGGCTGTTTGGGCAGACACCAAGCTAGCTGTAGGAGTTTGTTTGTTTGTTTGTTTTTCATACCCTAGTGGTGCCTGGAACCCCAGCAAGATAGACCCATTCACTCCCCTGGAAAGGGGGCTGAAGCCAGGGAGCCAAGTGGTCTCGCTCAGCAGGTCCCACTCCCACAGAGCCCAGCAAGCTAAGAACCACTGGCTTGAAATTCTTGCGCCAGCACAGCAGTCTGAAGTCGACCTGAGATGATTGAGCTTGGTGGGGGGAGGGGCGTCCATCATTACTGAGGCTAGAGTAGGTGATTTACCCCTCACAGTGCTAAGGACTAGGTGGAACTCAACACAGTGTGACAAAGTGGCTGTGGCCAGACTGCTCCTCTAGATTCCTCTTCACTGGGCAGGGCATCTCTGAAAGAAAGGCAGCAGCCCCAGTCAGGGCTGTAAATAAAACTCCCATCTCCCTGAGACAGAGCACTTGGGAGAAAGGGTGGCTGTGGGCACAGCTTCAGTGAACTTAAATGTTTCTGCCTGCCAGCTCTGAAGAGAGCAGCAAATCCTGACAAGGAGGGTTCTCCCAGCACAGCACTTGAGTTCTGCTAAGGGACAGACTGCCTCTTCAAGTGGGTCCCTGACACCCATGCCTCCTGACTGGGAGACACGTCCCAACAGGGGTTGACAAACACCTCATACAAGAGAGCTCTGGCTGGCATCAGGCCAGTGCCCCACTGGGATGAAGCTTTCAGAGGAAGAACTAGGCAGCAATCTTTGCTGTTCTGCAGCCTCTGCTGGTGATAACCAGGCAAATTGAGTATAGAGTGGATCTCCAGCAAACTGTAGCAGACCTGAAGAAAGGGGCTTGACTGTTAGGAGGAAAACTAACAAACGGAAAGCAATAACATCAACATCAACAAAAAGAACCCCCACACAGAAATCCCATCCAAAGGTCATCAACCTCAAAGATCAAATGTAGATAAATCCCTGAAGATGAGGAAAAGCCAGCACAAAAATGATGAAAATTCCAAAAACCAGAATGCCCCTTCTCCTTCAAATGATCACAAATCCTCTCCAGCAAGGTCAAAAAACTGGACAGGGAATGAGCTTGACAAATTGACAGAAGTAGGCTACAGAAGGTGGATAATAACAAACTCCTCTGACCTAAAGGAATATGTTCTAACCCAATGCAAGGAAGCTAAGAACCTTGACAAAGGTTACAGGAAATGCTAACTAGAATAACCAGTTTAGAGAAAAACGTAAATGACCTGATGGAGCTGAAAAACACAGCACGAGAACTTTGTGAAGCATATACAAGAATCAACAGCCGAATTGATAAGTGACAGAAAGGATATCAGAGATTGAACATCAACTTACTGAAATGAGGCATGAAGACAAGATTAGAGAAGAAAGATTGAAACAGAACAAACAAAGCCTCCAAGAAATATGGGACTATGTGAAAAGGCCAAATCTACGATTGATTGGGGTCCCTGAAAGTGACAGGAAGAATGGAACCAAGTTGGAAAACAGACTTCAGGATATTATCCAGGAGAACTTCCCCAACCTAGCAAGACAGGCCAAGATTCAAATTCAGGAAATACAGAGAACACCACAAAGATACTCGTCGAGAAGAGCAACTCCAAGACACATAATGTTCAGATTCTCCAAGGTTGAAATGAAGAAAAAAATGTTAAGCACAGCCAGAGAGAAAGATCAGGTTACCTACAAAGGGAAGCCCGTCAGACTAACAGCAGATCTCGCTGCAGAAACCCTAAAAGCCAGAAGAGAGTGAGGGCCAATATTCAACATTCTTAAAGAAAAGAATTTTCAATCCAGAATTTCATATCCAGCCAAACTAAGTTTCATGAGTGAGGGAGAAATAAAATCCTTTACAGACAAGCAACTGCTACGGGATTTTGTCAGCAGCAGGCCTGCCTTACAAGAGCTTCTGAAGGAAGCACTAAATATGGAAAGAAAAAACCGGTACCAGCCACTGCAAACACACCACATTATAAAGACCAACGACACTATGAAGAAACTGCATCAACTAATGTGCAAAATAACCAGCTAGCATCATAATGACAGGATCAAATTCACACATAACAATATTAACCTTAAATGTAAACAAGCTAAATGCCCCAATTAAAAGACACAGACTGGCAAGGTAAATAAAGAGTCAAGACCCATCAGTGTATCCAGTATCCTGTATCCAGAAGACCCATCTCACATTCAAAGACACACATAGGCTCAAAATAAGGGGATGGAGGAATATTTACCAAGCAAACGGACAGCAAAGAAAAGCAGGTTTTGCAATCCTAGTCTCTGATAAAACAGGCTTTAAGCCAACAAAGATTTAAAAAAGACAAAGAAGAGCATTAAATAATGGTAAAGGGATCAATGCAAAGAGAAGAACTAACTATCCTAAATATATATGCACCCAAACAGGAGCACCCAGATTCATAAAACAACTTCTTAGAGACCTACAAAGAGATGTAGACTCCCACACAATAATAGTGGGAGACTTTAACACCCCACTGTCAATAATAGAGAGATCAACAAGACAGAAAATTAACAAGGATATTCAGGACCTGAACTCAGCTCTGGACCAAGTGGATCTCATAGATATCTACAGAACTCTCCACCCCAAATCAACAATATATATTCTTCTCAGCACCACATAGCACTTGTTCTAAAATCGACAACATAATTAGAAGTGAAACACTCCTCAGCAAATGCAAAGGAATGGAAATCATAACACGCACCCTCCCAGACCACAGTGCAATCAATTAGAACTCAGAATTAAGAAACTCACTCAAAACCACACAACTACATGGAAACTGAACAACCTTCTCCGGAATGACTACTGGGTAACTAACAAAATTAAGGCAGAAATAACAAAGCTCTTTGAAACCAATGAGAACAAAGGACAATGTACTAGAATCTCTGAAACACAGCTAAAGCAGTATTTAGAAGGAAATTTATAGCACTAAATGCCCACATCAGAAATTGGGAAAGTGGGAAAGATCTAAAAGTGGGAAAGTGGGAAAGATCTAAAATCAGAAAGTGGGAAAGATCTAAAATCGACACCGTAACATCACAATTAAAAGAACTAGAGAAGCAAGAGCAAACAAATTCAAAAGCTATCAGAAGACAAGAAATAACTAAGATCAGAGCAGAAATGAAAGACATAGAGATATGAAAAGCCTTTCAAAAAATCAATGAATCCAGGAGCTGGTTTTATGAAAAGATTAACAAAATAGATAGGCTGCTTGCCAGAATAATAAAGAAGAAAAGAGAGAATAATCAAAGAGATACAATAAAAAATGATAAAAGGGATATCACCACTGATCATACAGATATATAAACTACCATCAGAGGATACTATAAACACCTCTATGCAAGTAAACTAGAAAATCTAGAAGAAATGGATAAATTTCTGGACACGTAATCCCTTCCAAGACCAAACCAGGAAGATGTCAAATCTCTGAATAGACCATTAACAAGTTCTGAAATTTAGGCAGTAATTATTAGCCTACCAACAAAAAAGAGCCCATGACCAGACTGATTCACAGCCAAATTCTACCAGAGGTACAAAGAGGAGATGGTACCATTCCCTCTGAAACTATTCCAAACAATAGAAAAGAAGGACTCCTCCTTAACTCATTTTATGAGGCCAGCATCATCCTTATACCAAAACCTGACAGAGACACAACAAAAAAAGAAAATTTCAGGCCAATATCCCTGATGAACAGCAATGCAAAAATCCTCAAAATACTGGCAAACCTAATGCAGCAGCACATCAAAAAGCTTATCCACCATGATCAAGTCAGCTTCATCCCTGGGATGCAAGGATGGTTCAACATATGCAAATCAATAAATGTAATCCATCACATAAAAAGAAGCAATGACAAAAACCACATGATTATCTCAATAGATGCAGAAAAGGCCTTCGATAAATTCAACACCCCTTTATGCTAAAAACTCTCAATAAACTAGGTATTCATGGAATGTATCTCAAAATAAAAAGAGCTATTTATGACAAACCCATAGCCAATATCATACTAAATGGGCAAAAGCTGGAAGCATTCTCTTTGAAAACTGGCACAAGACAAGGATGCTCTCTCTCACCACTCCTATTCAACGTAGTTTTGGAAGTTCTGGCCAGAGCAATCAGGCAACAGAAAGAAATAAAGGTATTCAAATAGGAAGTGAGGAAGTCACATTGTCTCTGCTTGAAGACAACATGATTGTATATTTAGAAAACCCTATCATCTCAGCCCAAAAACTCCTTAAGCTGATAAACAACTTCAGCAAAGTCTCAGGATACAAAATCAATGTGCAGAAATCACAGGCATTCCTATACACAAATAATAGTCAAGCAGAGAGCCAAATCATGAGTGAACTCCCATTCACAATTGCTACAAAGAAAATAAAATACCTAGGAATACAATTTGCAAGGGACATGAAGGACATCTTAAGGAGAACTACAAACCACTGCTCAAGGAAATAAGAGAGGACAGAAAAAAATGGAAAAACTTTCCATGGTCATGGATAGGAAGAATCAATATCGTGAAAATGGCCATACTGCCCAAAGTAATTTATTGATTCAATGCTATTCCCATCAAGCTACCATTGACTTTCTTCACAGAATTAGAAAAAGCTACTTTAAATTTCATTTGGAACCAAAAGAGATCCCATATAGCCAAGACAATCCCAAGCAAAAAGAACAAAGCTGGAGGCATCACGCTACCTGACTTCAAACTATACTACAAGGCTACAGTAACCAAAACAGCATGATACTGGTACCAAAACAGATATATAGACCAATGGAACAGAACAGAGGCCTCAGAAATAACACCACACATCTACAATGATCTGACCTTTGACAAACCTGACAAAAACAAGCAATGGGGAAAAAATTCCCTATTTAATAAGTGGTGCTGGGAAAACTGGCTACCCATATGCAGAAAACTGAAACTGGACCCCTTCCTTACACCTTATACAAAAATTAACTCAAGATAGATTAAAGACTTAAATGTAAAACCTAAAACTATCAAAACCCTAGAAGAAAACCTAGGCAATACCATTCAGGACATAGGCATGGGCAAAGACTTCATGACTAAAACACCAAAAGCAATGGCAACAAAAGCCAAAATTGACAAATGCAATCTAATTAAACTAAAGAGCTTCTGCACAGCAAAAGAAAATATCATCAGAGTGAACAGGCAACCTACAGAATGGGAGAAGCTTTTTGCAATCTATCCAGCTGACAAAGGTCTAATATCTAGAATCTACAAGGAACTTAAACAAATTTACAAGAAAAAAACAACCCCATGAAAAAGTGGGTGAAGGATATGAACAGACACTTCTCAAAAGAAGGCATATATATGGCAAACAAACATATGAAAAAAAGCTCATCATCACTGTTCATTAGAGAAATGCAAATCAAAATTAGAAAATGAGATACCATTTCATGCCAGCTAGAGTGGTGATCATTAAAAAGTCTGGAAGCAACAGATGCTGGCAAGGATGCGGAGAAATAGGAACAATTTTACAATCCTGGTGGGAGTATAAATTAGTTCAAACATTGTGGAAGACTGTGTGGCGATTCCTCAAGGATCTAATACCAGAAATACCATTTGATCCACCAATCCCATTACTGGGTATATACCCAAAGGATTATAAATCATTCTACTATAAAGACACATGCACACATATGTTTATTGCAGCACTGTTCACAATAGCAAAGACTTGGAACCAACCCAAATGCCCATCAATGATAGACTGGGTAACAAAAATGTGGTTCATATACAACACGGAATACTATGCAGCCATAAAAAAGATGAGTTCATGTCCTTTGCAGGAACATAAATAAAGCTAGAAACCATCATCCTCAGCAAAGTAACACAGGAACAGAAAACCAAACACCATGTTTTCACTCATAAGTGGGAGTTGAACAATGAGAACACATGGACACAGGGAGGGGAACATCATACACCAGGGCTTGTCAGCGGGTGGGGGGAAAGGGGAGGGAGAGCATTAGGACAAATACCTAATGCAGGCAGGGCTTAAAACCTAGGTGATGGGTTGATAGGTGCAGCAAATCACCATGGCACATGTATACCTATGTAACAAACCTGCACATTCAGCACATGTATCCCAGAACTTAAAGTAAAATAAAAAAAGTATTCCTTAAAAAATTTCTTGAAATAATTACCAATCCAGTAGGAATGAGCACCCTTAGCGACCCAGATTGGGATCCCTAACTATCTCTTCTCTCCAAAGGAATGAGGGCCTGTTCATCAAATGGCTGATTTCACAGCTAGAATTTATTTTCATATTGAATACAAGGAGAACAACTATATGCCAATAAGTTGGAAAATCTAGAAGAAATGGACAAATTCCTAGACACATACAGCCTACCAAGATTGAACCAGTAGAAATCCAAAACCTCAGCAGACCAATAACAAATGATGAGATTGAAGTCATAATAAAAATTCTCCCAGGTTTAAAAAAAAAAAGAAAGAAAGAAAGAAAAAAAAAAAAAAACCTGGGGCCCTATGGCTTAATTGCTGAATTCCACCAAACATTTAAAGAACTAATATCAATCCTACTCGACCTCTCCGGAAGGAAGGAAAATATAGTCCAATATCTCTGATGGATATTAATACAAAAATCCTCAACAAAATACTAGCAAACTGAATTCAACAATGCATTAGAAAGGTCATTCATCATGAACAAGTAAGATTTATTCCTGAGACACAAGGTGGTTCAACATACACAAATCA
This sequence comes from Homo sapiens, assembly GCF_000001405.40. NCBI lineage: Eukaryota > Metazoa > Chordata > Mammalia > Primates > Hominidae > Homo > Homo sapiens. The sequence goes on along the minus strand of NC_000023.11, from coordinate 74,071,386 downwards.
ATGTGATACATCAATATCAACAGAATGAAGGATAAAAACCTTATGATCATTTCAATGGATGCTGAAAAAGCATTTGATAAAATTCAACATCCCTTCATGATAGAAACCTCAAAAAGCTGGGGATAGAAGGAACATACCTCAACGTCATAAAAGCCACATGCAGCAGACCCACAGCTTGTATCATACTGAATGGCGAAAAACTGAATGCCTTTCCTCTAAGATCTGGAACACAACCAGGATGCCCACTATCACCACTGTTATTCAACATAGTACTGGAAGTCCTAGGAAGAGCAATGAGTCAAGACAAAGATGTAAAGGGCTTCCAAATTTGAAAGGAAGGAGTCAAATTATCCTTGTTTGCAGATGATATGATCTTATAGTTGGAAAAACCTAAAGACTTCACCAAAAACTATTAGAATTGATAAACAAATTCAGTAAAATTACAGGATAGAAAATTAACATAAAAAAACAGTAGCACTTCTTTTTTTCAAGTCAAGCTATTTAATTATCCAAAAGACTCCTTCTGTGGTAAGAGGAGGTGAGCACCCTGAGCCCTCACTTCCTAGCACTCTGTGTGCTGATGTAGTTCTGGAGAAGTGATAGCACCTCTGCCTGTTGGCTCATGTTGGTGACTTTGCCCTGAAAGCAGCCTTTCTTCCCTGCTCCTTTGCCTTCTAGGACCTCATCCACCCTGGGCCCCAGGGTCTCCATGGTCTCAGGTGGCCCTGCCAGTAAAAAGAGCCCAGCACCTTTCTCATCACCCATGTTTAAGAACAGGAAGGAATCCTCTGACCCAATCTCATTGGCAACAATATTCATGAACTATGAATCACCCTCCTTCCTGTGTAATATGACCACATCCCCCGAGTCTGGGTTGGTCCTGAGGCTATGGGCAATGTGCACAGCTGAGTCTCTGAGCAGATTCAGGTTGTTCTTCTGCAGGAGCTTGGTGGAGTTCTGGAACTTTTTCTTTTTTATTTTATTTTATTTTATTTTATTTTATTTTATTTATTTATTTATTTATTTATTTATTTATTTATTTATTTAGAGACAGAGTCTCGCTCTGTCGCCCAGGCTGGAGTGCAGTGGCGTGATCTCAGCTCACTGCAAGTTCCACCTCCTGGGTTCACGCCATTCTCCTGCCTCAGCCTCCCAAGTAGCTAGGACTACAGGCGCCCGCCACACGCCCAGCTAATTTTTTATATTTTTAGTAGAGACGGGGTTTCACCGTGTTAGCCAGGATGGTCTCGATCTCCTGACCTCGTGATCTGCCCGCCTCGGCCTCCCAAAGTGCTGGGATTACAGGCAGTAGCCACCATGCCTGGCTACATTCTGGAGCTTTTTCACTGCTTCCATGTGATCCTCTGCTCCACACTTAAGCAGAGTGATTCAGTGCTCTTTCAGTTTCATGACTTCTCTTCATCCATTTCAGCATCTGGTTCCCAGCCAGAAATATCAGTTTGATTTTATTCCTTTTCCTCTTCTCGGTGCCTAATCTTAATGACTGGAAAGTCACGGAGATTGCTCATGGGGATCCCACAGCACATGTTGGAATCAACACCCTTGATGGTAACAATTCCAATGGGCCCAGCATGATCATCTGGCAGGCCCCAGCCTCTCACCTGCTCCGCCTCAGGATCATTCAGGCTCAGTTCTCATACTTTGTTGAGCAGCTGATCTCTGATATTTTTATTGACACTCTTTTCAGTGGCGGTTATTTTCTCTGCATTCACAGAGGGGCTTTCCAGCATCACACTCCGAAATTTCCCTAACTCCCATGATGTTGTCTTTAACTCAAACAGATAATCAGCAACTGCTGTGATGAGATGCTGCCTTTAATGCTGCTGCATGTGGTCAAACCTCCACTCCCAGTCTACCCAGACCAGGACTTGGCTTCCAGGATCCAGGGGTGTCTGTGTGAAATGATCAGCCTGGGCCCCCAAGCAGGTCACTCCCAGCACAGAGATGTCATTGATTGTACCACCGTCATCAGGCTGTCTTCCGCCCTCAGGGAAAAGTAGCATGTCTTCCAGCACCATATGACAACTGCTCAGCACTTATTTCTTGTCATTGCTCCCTTCTGACTGCAGCTCCGTGGGATCACAGGAGATTATGGTGGTGGTGGACTCCCAGGCATTGCTATTCTCCTGACACCAGAACACCATCATGGTCATCTCTGAGGCATCAGTAGTGTTTCTATATGCCAACAGTGAACAATCTGAAAAAGATATTAAAAAGTAATCTCATTTACAATAGCCACACATAAAATTAAATACCTAGGAATTAACCAAAGAAGTTAAATATCTCTATAATGAAAACTATAAAACACTGATGAATGAAATTGATGAGATCACCAAAAATGAAAAAATATTCCATGTTCATGGATTGGAAGAATCAATATTGTTAAAATGTCCATACTACCCAAAGCAATCTACAGATTCAGTGCAATCCCTATAAAAATACCAATGACATTCTTCACAGAAATATGATCCTAAAATGTATACAGAACCACAAAGACCCAGAATAGCCAAAGCTATCCTAAGCAAAAAGAACAAAACTGGAGGAATCACATTACCTGACTTTAAATAATACTACAGAGCTGTTGTAACCAAAACAGCATGGTACTGGCATAAAAGCAGACACACAGACCAATGGAACAGTACAGACAACCCAGAAACAAATCCACACACAAACAGTGAACCCATTTGTGACAAAGGTGCCAAGAATATGCACTCGGGAAAACACAGTCTTTACTCCACAAGCACAAGCAACCAAAGCAAAAATGGACAAATGGGATTACGTCAAGTTTAAAAGCTTCTACACAGCAAAAGATACTATCAACCAAGTGAATAGACACCCCAAAGAATGGGAGAAAATATTTGCAAACTACCCATCTGACAAGGGATTCATAACCAGGATTTATAAGGAGCTCAAAGAACTCTACTGGAGAAAATCTAGTAATTCCAGTCAAAAATGGGCAAAATATTTGAATAGGCATTTCTCAAGAGAAGACATACGTATTGCAAAGAGGCATATGAAAATGTGCTCAACATCATTGATCATTAGAGAAATGCAAATCAAAACTACAATGAGATCATCTCACCCAGTTAAAATGGCTTATATGCAAAAGTCAAGTAATAACAAATGCTGGCTAGGATGTGTACACTGTTTGGTGGGAATGTAAATTAGTACAACCTCTATGGAGAACAGTTTTCAGGTTCCTAAGAAGACAAAAAATATTGAACTACTATATGATCCAGAAATCCCAGTGCTTGGTATATACCCAAAAGAAAGAAAATCAGTATATCAAAGAGATATCTGTGTGCCTATGTTTGTTGCAGCAGTGTTTACAAGAGCTAAGATTTGGAAGCAACGTAAGTGTTCATCAACAGATGAATGGGTAAAGAACGTGTGGTACATATACACAATGGAGTACTATTCAGCCATAAAAAAGAATGAGATCCAGTCATTTGCAACAACATGGATGGAACTGTAGATCATTACATTAAGTGAAATAAGCCAGGCACAGAAAAACAAACATTTCATGTTCTCATTTACTTGTGGGATCTAAAAATCAAAACAATTGAACTCATGGAGATAAAGAGTAGAGGAATGGTTATCAGAGGCTGGGAAGGGTAGTGGGGGCATGTGGGGGCAGTGGGGATGTTCTATGGGTACAAGTAATAATCAGAAAGAATGAATAAGAACTACTATTTGATAGCACAACAGGGTGACTATAGTCAATAATAACTTAATTGTACATTTTAAAACAACTTAAAGAGTGTGATTGGATTGTTTGTAACTCAAAGGATAAATGCTTGAGGGGATGGATATTTCATTCTTCATTATGTGCTTATTTCACATTGTATGCCTGTATCACATCTCATGTACCCAATAAATACATACCTCTACTATGTGCCCACAATTTTTTTCCAAACTATTGCATTTATTATAAACAAGGGTGCAGACTCTAGACTCTCAGAAACACAACAGATACGAAGCTGAGACAGCTCTGGTGAAACAATAACTGAGAGACAGGGAATACCGAGGTATTCATGTCTGCCATCCAGGACCCCACACCCCACCTTTGGTCCAGATGGCCCCTTGGCCCAGGTGTCCCTGCTGCCAGAACACACTGGACTGGGGTACAGGAGTTGCATATTCCATGAGGCTGGTGTCAGGGGAAGCAGGGACTCACAGTTGCCAGGTTTTCCCTCTTCTCCTGGCCAATTTCCCTCCACAACCCAGGGGTTTCAGTCTCACATCAACTATCACATTTTAAAACAGAAAACAGGCAAAATGTTTGGTTAAAATAAAATGAAAACACTGCAGGGAAGAGACCTGAGTGTGCTGGTGGACAGAGCGCCCTGTTCACCTGTGGGAAGGGCAGGGCCAGCAAGGGCAGGAGAGCTCCCTGTGGGTAGCTAGGCTGTGTGTGTGGCCCTCCAGGTGGTCCTAGGGAGGATGTAGGGACAGGAACAGTCCAGGTAGACAGCTATCAGGTAAGCAGGGCTCTGCCTGAGGTGTTCTGGCATCAGGAGGCTGCCTGATCCCCAGTCGGCATGACACAGGCTCCAGGAAGCAATGGGACATCTGCCCAAAGGATCAAAGCCCAACTTGGTCAGATCCCAAGCTTCACCTGCATCATGTCTCTGGCTCTGCAAAGGGTACCCCCAACTCTGGGGACAAACCATGCCCCTGAGCAGCAGCTGGCTACGTTGCCAAAACCAGGACACATCTGTATCATACTCACAGAAAGCTGCACCATCCTGGTGTGACAGGCCACACTTGGTCACCCTAGGGTAAGCTGGAAAAGAACTCCAGATGTGCCATGGAGAGCCCCCCACCTCTCAGGGGCCACCTCACAGGGTGCTCCCCACCCCATTCTTTGAGTTTGGCTTGAGATTTTAGGAAGCATAATTTCAGGTGAGGAAGAGAAGAAAGTCTGGTCCCAGCCCACTCTGGCAAGGAACGTTCCCCACCTCGTCAGCATCAAAGGAAGCCACATATACAGGCAGGACACACACAGCACGCACGGGGCGTAAGGAACCGTGCTTGCACACCACTCACACACACACACAACATAATCTAGTGGCAGCCGGAGAGGCCGGGGCACGCTCCGGGAGCCGCCTTCGGGGCATATATGTAGGCCGGGTTGTAAGGAGGCTGGCTCGTGGGGTATGGCGCGGTTGCTCCTCCAGCCAGCGTCTCCTGGTAGGCCGGCGGGCCCATGGGCTGGGCCGAGTAAGGTGGTGGGTACTGTGTTGGGTAGGGTGCTGCTGTCATCCCTGGCTGGGGGAGCATGGGGTAGTAGCCCTGGTAGCTCGATCCAGGGTAGCTGGGCGGCACACTTGGAGGCTGAGTGTAAGGGGCGTGCACCACAGTGGTGAACGTGATGCTGGTGACAACCGGACGTGTTCGGCGGCACATCTTGTACAGGCAGCAGCAGGAGCAGGTGAAGCAGATGATGATAGTGATGACAGACAGCACAAAGTTGGTCAGGCTGATGGCCACCCATAGCTACGAACCCCATGTTAGCCTCTGCCTTCACCCAGGGGCCTTCTGCACCCCTGGACTTCCCCTCTTTCCATCATGGGCCACTCAGTTTCAATTTCTTCCCCTTTCGGAGAAAAGGAAAGGAAATCTCCCCCCACAAGTTTTTTTTTTTTTTATAATACAAGGAAAGTGTCAGGCGGGGCGTGGTGGCTCATGCCTGTAATCCCAGCACTCTGGGAGGCCAAGGCAGGCAGATCACTTGAGGTCAGGAGTTCGAGACCAGCCTGGCCAACATGGAGAAACCCCATCTCTACTAAAAGTACAAAAATTAGCCGGGCATGGTGGCAAGTACCTGTAATCCTAGCTACTCGGGAGGCTGGGGCAGGAGAATCGCTTGAACTCAGGAGGCGGAGGTTGTAGTGAGCTGAGATTGCACCACTGCACTCCAGCCTGGCGACAGAGTTAAGACTCCATCTCAAAAAAAAAATATATATATATATATATCAAAGACCATTGGGTCATGTCAAAGAGACTCAGAAGTCAATTTGATGAAAATCTCACAGGCCAAATATGGGACAATCTGAGCATCAATAAAAATCATAACTGCAATGAACTGTAAGCATAAAATATGTCTCACACAGAGATTTCATATTGATATTTGCAAAAAAAGTAATGTTCCTGTTGGTTGAATTGTGTCTCCCAAAAACATTCACATGTTGAAGTTTGGCTCAGTGGTACATGCCTATAGTCCCAGCTACTCAAAAGGCTGAAGCAGGAGGATAAAGTCCAGAGGTTCAAGGCTGTAGTGAGTTATAATCATGCCTGTGAATAGCCACTACACACTAGCCTGAGCAACATACTGAAACTCTGTCTCCAAAAAAGAGTCCAAATGTTGAAGTCCTAACCCTCAAAACCTGAATGTGACAATAATTAAAGTTAGGATTTTTGAAAAGGTAATTAAAATAAAATGAGAAGCATGTTAGTAGAAGCCTTGATTCCTTTGAAGTGACTATTGGTAGAAATATGAACATTAAAATGATTTTGGTGAAGGCTCAGAAAGAAAAGAGAAGAGCTGTAAAGACAGAAAGCTTCTGTCATCTTATGGAATATATATATCATCATGAACATCATATGGTAAAAATATGAATGTTTAAGGTTCTTCTGGTGCGGTCTCAAACAGAAATGAGGAACATGTTATTGGAAACGGGAGGAAAGGTTATTCTTGTTATAAAGTAGCAAAGAACTTGGACAAATTGTGTTCTAGTGTTTGGTGGAAAGTAGAATTTGTAAGTGATGAATGGATATTTAGCTGAGGAGATTTCTAAGCCAAGTGTCAAAGACCTGACCTGGCTTCTTTTTGCTGCTTTATAGTAAAATGTGAGAGAAGAGAATTAATTTGAGGAATGAATTGTTAAGTAAAAAGGAACCAGACTTGAAGATTTGGGAAATTCTCATCCTATTCATATTGCAAAACTTAGAAAATGTGTTCTGGAGAGAACATCAAGGATATGGCTGGAAAACAATTTACTAAAGATATTACATGTGCAATTCATAGATCCAATGAACAGCTCAGCAGAATCCAGGAATAGACAGGCAGTTGTCTAGGAAATATATGTCAACGACTCTCATCTGATTTTGTACCCCCTTTGAATTGCACAGGAGGCCCAAAAGGGTTTTGAGAATTTTGTACCAGCAGAAATGCTGCTAGCTTGGACTGAAGGGGACAGAGACGGGATAAAATGAAGGAAGGCTGTTGGACTTCTGGAATTCTACAAAATGGGCCAATAGCGCTATCCAGCTGTAAACATGTCTTATCCTTCAAGAAAAGAGAAGAATAACCCAAAGGTAGATCAGAGGTCAGCAGGGCTTACTTCTCCCTTGGGCCCAGAGGCATAGGCCTAGGGAATGTGGCTATATCCTCCAGATTTCATCTAGCCAGGCATCTGCTTGTGAGTGCCAGAGGGTGTGGGTCTGTTTTCTAGGGCTGAGGTGAGTAGGGCTGCTTTCCAGAGCTGAGAAGGCTTGGCCACCACCTGGGTGGGCTCAGAGGACAGAACACTGAGCCAAAGAAATTTATTCTTGAGCCTTAAAATCTAATGGAATTTTCCCTGTTCTGATTTGAATTTACTTGCAATCCATGATCCTTTTTTTTCTCATTTTTTCTCCTTGAAATAGGAATTTCTATCCTATGTCTGTTCTACTATTGTATTTTTAAAGCAGATAACCTGTCTGGTTTTACAGGTTTTCAGATGGAGAGGAATTTTGCCTCAGGTTGAATCATACCTCAAGTCACTCATATCTGATTTAGATGACATTTATATAAGATTTTGGTGCTGAAATGTGGGGTGCTGCTTTAAAAATATAGAAGTGCCTTTTGAATTGAGTAATATGTAGGTGCTGGTAGAGTTTTGAGGAACAGAGTGAAGACAGTGTGAAGGCACAGGGTGAAGATGGCCATCTCTAAACCTGAAAATTCTTCCCTGGTGGCCCCTCAGGAGGAACTAACTCTGCTGACAACTTGACTTCAGCCTTCTAGCCTCCATAACTGTGAGAAAATAAATTTCTGTTGTTTAAAGCTACCCAGTCTGTGGTACTTTGTTATGACAGCCCTCGCAAATTAATAAATGTCCTTTGGAAGATGATAGAGAACAATTGTTTGGAAAGCTGATTTTCAAAAAGGTAAAGAGAGAAGCATTTATTTTGACCTCCTATACAAACTGTACCTCAAGTTAAACAAAGCATCTGTACTTTTAAATTTTTTTTATGGGTGGGGTCTCATTGTGTTTCCCAGGCTGGAGCACAGTGACTGTTCACAGGTGTGATCATAGCATACTGCAGCCTTGAACTCCTGGTCTAAAGAAATTTTTTTGCCTTTGCATCCTGAGTAGCTTGGACTACAGGTGTGTGTCACCCTGCCTAGCTTATATTTTGTAAGAAACATAGAGCCAGGGGAACATGTTAAATGACATCATTGAAACTCAATCAGCAAAATCCAGACTCTGGAAAAGTCTAAACAATAATTGACTATATTTCTTCAACAAATAATTTGCAAAGAATAAAAAAAATAAGAGAACGAGGGGGAACTTAGAGAGTTAAAGAGGCTTAAGAGATATATTAACAAAATGCAAAACAAGTACCTGTAAGGTGCTTTGGGTACAGCTTGTGTGCATGTCAAATCATGTCTTCTCTTAATCGAGTCACTGCTGTGGTGACCAGTTCTATGCAAGCATAATCTGACAAGGCCTTGCACTGGCCCAGTGCAGTGTATATCTTGCTTCTTGCACAGGGGCTTCTCTGATGCCAAATCACTGGGCAAATTACAGACCAGTGGGCAGTCAGACATGTGCAAATAGGATGTGTGGCAGAATTAGGTTACATGGGATTATCTTGACTAATAAGGGAATGGGAGGTGTTGGCTAAATCCTTCCCTCTTATGTCCTTCAACTAGACAGTTCTGAGATATATTTCATAATGCAACTCAGAAGGTCCCCAAGATCATATACCTGTTATCAGTTGCATGGTAACTAAAATTTGGAATTATTCCTTGTACTGGCTTTCCTTCCTTTTTAAAATACTCCTATATACTTCATTTCTACTCTTGGGATCAGTTCCCAAATAAATTACCCCACAGAGCTTTTGTCTGTTTGGGGTAGTGTTTTAAAATATGGCTTTTATTATTATTTAAGTAGGTAAGACCAACAAATCAGGAAATCTCTGCCATTGAAAAGACTGTTATACTCACAGATCACAAGAAGAGGCATGCCACACCGTCAGGGTTCACCCAGGAAAGCACCAGTGTCAGTCAGGAGGCAGAGGGTGAGGGAAGAATGTGGGCGAGAGCCTTTATTGTGGTTTCTGAGGGAAGGAATAGGCAAGTTAAAGTAAGCAGGTTTAGAATTAGCTAGTTTGAATAATTTTAGCAGGCTCTACAGCTTAGGGGCTTTTCCTAGTTGTCTGATACCCGACCCGGGGGTGATTTGGGCAGGTAAATAGTGGTCCTGTGCCTGAGAAGCCAATAAAGGAGGTGATGGAGGATATGGACTCTGGAGTGGTTGGTTTGCATATGAAAGACACTTTCATAATCCAGTTGTTTACTGTCTCTAGAAATTGGCTAATCCTGGGAGGAGCAATCCTTCCAAGGTCAGCACTGCCTCAAGATGTCAAAGCATCAGAATATAGAAAATTAAAGACATGGTTAATACAATTGAATACAATTGGCCCTGTGATACTTTGATATCATATTAAAAACATATTGGGATGATGATAGAGACTATACATTAGGACATATGTTTTCCCAAATGGCCTAGAAAACATTTTATAATGGGAATCAAAAGAAAGGAATGCAAGTAGAAGTATTAAATATAAGAGTCTTTATAGGCTGGACCATGATTAAGTTTCTCATTTATATGGCATTAACCAAAAAAAGTAGATCTGAAATTTCTGAGATCTCTAACAATATCTTGTTGGAGTTGTAAAGTGTGTTAAAGTTTATATATATGTATGATATATATATATTTATATATACATACGTATGTGGATATATATCACATATACACATATAAATGTGTGTATGACAGATATAGATACACACACACATATATACGTATATATAAACAGTAATATCTTGGTGTATTTCTTGAGTCAAAGTGAAGAGTCAAACAGTTATGTTGCTGCAGGCAGGTTACGAACTGATAAGTTAGTAAAGTATATGTAGATATTAGTGGTATTTTTGTGTGACCAAGGGGAAAGGGTGATTGCTGTGGTAGTGATTGGAGAAGAAGGGCAGGATGTAACGCTGGAGGTGGAGAAGGAGAGGGCACAGTAGAGTGAGTGGTCCCCTCTCTAGGGAGTCAAGGAGTTGACTGATACGTGACAGGTCCTTCTGGGGAAAATAATGATCTCCATTAATTTTTAGAGAGGTACAGATAGTAGTAACCTCTCCTAGATTTCGTATATATGTAACCTCCATGTACTTAAAAACACATTATATATGAGACTGCTATAGTTCGGAAGTTTGTCCCATCCTAATCGCATGGTGAAATTTGATCCTCAATGTTAGAGGTGAGGCTTAGTGGGTGGTGTGTGGGTTATCTCCCTTGGGTGTGAGTAAGTTCTTGTTCGATTATTTCCCACCAGAGCTCGTTGTTAAAAAGAGCCTGGTACCTTCCTTCTTGAGACAGGCAGGCTGGTTGGTTTCCTGTTTTAATATGGTCTGGAGAAAAAGGATAAAAACCTCTCACTCAAGATCTAGCTTATGTGACCCTCAACCAGTCAGTAACAAAAGACCCAAGAAATAATTATCGCAAGTTTCTGTTTCAGGGGGCTAGAGACTTCCCTGGAGTACCTGCATGTGCAGATATACTTAAATTCCAACCTATAGTTAACTCTTCCTCATTTTTAATGCGAAAAATCATGCCCAAGGGTGATTTAAAATGCTAATGCTACATACAATGTATGAAGAAGCATGTTGAGCCACTGCACAAACACTAGAAAAACCTCTCCTATACATGCCCTGATGTAACCCTTCCCTGTAGAAAGATCCTACAAAACTAACTCAGACACTTCCCTTGTGGAGCAGCCTATTTCTATTTGTAAATGAGGAATGCGTTGCCATCAGAACTCAAAAAGGATTAAAAGATGTTGGACTTGTAGATTCTAAATGAATGTATCAAATGAATCTCCTTGGAGGATGATGTTATACCTGTGATCCTGGTAAAAGGTGAAAGTAGTTAGGCTCTCATCTGCAAAGATTGTGTGCAATGGCAAAGCTGTTTAGGTACCCCATGGGTAGCCTGAAGAAGAGTATTGTGTTCCTTTGGAGATGAAGGCAAACTGTGGTGAGATGCTGTTGAAATAGGCACTGAACAGAACATATTAGCCAAATACGTAATAGCAAAATATTTATCAGTTGTTGATTGGATAGAGTCAGTAATTTTCGTAATATTGGGTATTTCGTATGGGGGCCTTAATGGATGAGACCACAGGTTGTAATAATCCATCCTGAGATGCCATCAGGTGTATTTTTGTATCTATGTATCTATGCCAAATAAATATATTTTTAATTTTCTTGTTAAGAACAAGAAAATTTGGCTATCAAATCAAGAAGCAGTGGAGATAATCACCTCTTTATTAATTAGGTTTTTTAAATTGTGGTAAAATATACATAATATAAAACTTACTATCTTAAAACCATTTTTAAGTTTCCAGTTCAGTAGTTGTAAGTACATTTTCATTGTGGTACAACCAATCTTTTGCAAAATTGAAACACTATACTCATTAAACAAGACTCCCATTTCTCCCTCCTTTCAGCCTCTAGAAACCACCCCTCTACTTTTTGTTTCTATGAATTTACTCTAGGTACCTCATATAACTGTATACAGTATTTATCTTTTTATTATTGATATATTTCACTTAGCCTAATGTCCTCAAGTTTCATCCATGTGTCAAAATTTTCTCCCTCTTTAAGGCTGAATAATATTCCATTGTATTTATATACAACATCTTGTTTATTTATTAATCAATTAATGTACACTGGGTTGCCACCATCTTTTGTGTATTGTGAATAATGCTGCTATGAACATGGGTGTGCAAATATCTGCTTGAGTCCCTGCCTTCACTTCCTTGGAATATATACTGAGAAGTGGAATTACTGGATCATATAGTAATTCTGTTTTTAATTTTTTTTTTTTTTGAGACAGAGTCTCCCTCTGTTGCCCAGGCTGGAGTACAATGGCATGATCATAGCTCATTGTAACCTCGAACTCCTGGGCTCAAGTGATCTCTGTCTCAGTCTCCTGAGTAGCTAGGACTACTGGTATGCAGCACCATGCCTGGCTAATTTTTTTTATTTTTATTATTTTTGTAGAGACAGGGTCTCACTATGTTGCCCAGACTTCTCTTGAATTCTTGGCCTCAAGTGATCCTTTCACCTCTGTCCCCCAAAGCACTTGGATTACAGGTGTGAGCTATTCCTGGTCAGGACCATTTGTTGATCAGGGCATCCAATGCTAAGATGACTGCCTGAGGTTTGGCTAAGTGTGTTGTTTCTTGGGCCCTATCCTAAGATGGGCTCCACCCAAGTTTGGCTCCACCCTGTTTTAACGAGGTCTTCCTTCATAGCCAGGCTGAGCTTGTGGCGTGCTGCTTCCATGACCCAAAGCATAATGAGCAGCTGGGTATGGAGGGTCACAGGCTCAAGGTCTATGAGATCTTCTATTTCCAAATGTGCCCAGTATGTAGGCAGGTATTTGTTGTTTTAATGGTGCATAGCACAAGGCCAAGAGGGGCAATATGTTGCATTAGAAGCCCTGGAGCAACTAATGGCCATCAGGAGTGATCCACAGACTCCAGAAGGCGTGAAAAAGTTGTCGTGAATGAGGTTTTTTGAAAGCACTAATAGGAGTGATGGTCAATTTTAATTTATAAGTAAAAAACATACTGGACTTATATGTACTTAGTGAGTGTGTCACATGAATCTCCTTGAAAGAGGATGTCATTCATGTAATATCAGACCTTTATTCCTGGAGAAAGATACATGCCATCAGGGTCTTATCTCCAAAGATTGCATGTGATAAAAAAGCTATTGTGGGCTGGGCGCGGTGGCTCACGCCTGTAATCCCAGCATTTTGGGAGGCCAAGACGGGTGGATCATCTGAGGTCAGGGGTTCGAGACCAGCCTGGCCAACATGGTGAAACCCCATCTCTACTAAAAATACAAAAATTAGCTGGGTGTGGTGGCACACACCTGTAATCCCGGCTACTCAGAGGCTGAGACATGAGAATCGCTTCAACGCAGGAAGCGGAGGTTGCAGTGAGCTGAGATCGCACCATCACACTCCAGCCTGGGCAACAGAGTGAGACCCTGTCTCAAAAAAAAAAAAAAAAAAAGCTATTGTGGTACCCCATCAGTAACCTAGAAAAGGTGTATTGTGTCCCTTTCGGAGGTGGAAGCAAACTGCAGCTGAGAGACTGTTGAAACAGGCATTAAACAGAACATATTAGCCAATCTATAAGAACAAAATATTTACTGATTGTTGACAGAATAGAATCATTAATATTAATAATTTCACATATTGGGTAGGGAGCCTTGATGATTGGGACCACATCATTAAGGTGGTAGTAAGCCATCTTGAGAACCCCTTTTTAAATTTATTTATTTCAGATTTAAGAGCAATCAAATGTCAAAATGGTCTGCTAAATGGAGAAGCATTGAGAATAATCACTTCTTTATTAGTTGGGTTTCATGTAATAAGTTTTAAGCTTTGCAGCCCTCATTTTAGCTTACATTGGGCCATATGAAGTCTTTTAACTGGGTGTTCATGGAATCCCATTCCATCAAGCCAGTTTTTAACAGCCAAAGATTTGCTTTGACTTTAATTCATTATTTGTTGTGTCAGAGCATTTAATTCCAATATGGTATATGTTACAGCATTGGGTACTATGACTATGAGAAATTTAGGCAAGGCAACAAATTAAGGCATATCTATTTTTCTCTATTATATTTAGTTACCATTTTAAGAATATAGGGGGCACAATGTTTAAATTTATTGAGGTGCCCAGGTATAATTTGAGCCCTAGTATTGATTAAATCCATAGATTTTTTTCAATTTTGGTCCATTCTACCAGTTGTTAAAGTTAAGTTATAATCTATGTTGTAGAGGCACAAAAACCAATCAGCACCCTTTTTAAACATTTTTTTTTTTAGACAGGGTCTCACTCTGTTACCCAGGCTGGAGTGCAGTGGCATGATCCTAACTCACTGCAGCCTCAGACTCCTGGACTCAAGCAATCCTCCCGTGTCAGCCTCCCAAATAGCTGGGACTACAGGCACGGGCCACCACTCCCAGCTAATTTTTAAATTTTTTGTAGAGATGAGATCTTGCTTATGTTGCTCAGGCTGGCTTCAATCCTCCCACCTTGGCCTCCCAATGTGCTGGGATTACAGGTGTAAGCCACCATGCCTTGCCTAAACCTTTTTGTTATATAAATTTTGAATTTTTAATTGAATCAAGGTGTGGAATTTTGCTTTTAGTTACATATCATATATACACATATACACAATTTATCATACATTGATATCAAAATATATGTATATATAATTTATTATGTATCTTTTATCCCCTTTTATTAGGGGTTTATTTATAAATCGATAAGTAATCTAGGGCTAGTATTTTGCTTGCTAGAGCTGATTTTCCTCAATTCTTAAAGTTGAAGTTCCTCTTTGTTTTTTTCCTTCAACTTGAAGCCACTGAAAGCAGCAGTATTTTTTCCTTATTGTGTTTTGTTTTGTTTTAGGTTTTTAGCCTCCTGACACTGTGGTTCATAGTTTCTGTATCTGGTTTATTAGAGGAATACAGGGAGGAGGAAGGGACCTGGTGTCTCCAGGTCCCTTTCCCTGGGACAACCTCCCACAACAGGACAATGAGCCTCCACCATTCTTTTCTTTTAAGTAAAATCTTTAGAATGGCTTGTATTTCTAGGTGACTAAAAACATTCTCTTTTCTCTCTCTTTTTGGATGTTTGCCTAACAAGCTCCTGGTGGTTCCAAGTGGCTCCTGTTGTGACCAGTGGCCTCCATTTGTGGTTTTCATTGGTCCTGTTGTAGGTAGCTGCCTTGCTCTCCAAGGCATCCCGATCAACATCATCTGGATTTGGATCAGCCTCCACTAGTGCAACAGTGGCAGGATCACTTGGCAAGGCCCCAAGCCCTATTTCTTTAATAGTTTGCTAACCTCCTCAGAGATCATGGGAGAGTTGGCAAAGAAATGTTCTGGCCTTTTAATTTGAATCATTAAGTTCTTTGTCATCACACACAATGGGGTTAAACCAATAGGGTAACACATAGGGTAAGGGGATCAAGAGTGACAGAAGGAAGAGAAGACAGAAACATATCGATTGTAGATCACAGTGCCACTGCTGCCAGTGAGATGCTGTCATCTCCCCAGTGAAGTAGGCACCCCTCTTGTCATACTGGAAAGTCTAGCCCCAGATACTGCCTCACCAATTCAGTGGGTAGTCAGAGTATATCTTCCTCTTGCCATCTGCTAAGGCTTACACTGGCCCAGTATCTTCCTGACAGCCCCTTAGCACAGGTTACTCCCTTTAACCTCTCAGTAATAAGCCATTCGAATCTGGGCAAGGCCTTCAGAATACAGTCAACTTAACTGTGACTAGTAGTTCCCATTCAGGAGAGTGATAGCGATCATGGTTGCCTCTCTTGCTGTACTAAGGCAGGTGATTGTTGGTTCTTGGAGAGAACTCCAACTTTCTAGGACGCACTCAATTTAGGGAGGGGAGTTTTGGCGGTACTTAATAAAGACAATAAGCAGTAGGATGCAGCAGCACAGACACACATCAGCAAGCCATGGAGCCTTCTCAAATGGTGTTAGCCAGGTGAGAGGGCCAGCTAACAGGCCAAAAGCAGTCTAAAGGCATTTTGTTGTATCCCTCATGGTCATGACCACTCTGCTTGATGCATCAATTGCTATATATATACACGTATATATATATACACACACATACACACACACACACACACACACACACACATATATATATAAAATTTGGTCTTGGGGTCTCTCTCTGGAGAGTGGCCACAAATCCTTGCTCTGCGCTGACAAGACTCCAGGGGAGGTTGTCCTGGATGTTTACAATGTACCTTTTATGGGATACCTCTTTATCCTGGAGGACAGCCTAATGCCTAAGTGTCCAACCCACTTGACCATGATCAGGTGTCCTTCTGATAAGAAACATGTTTATACTGGAAGATGCCCTTGTGGCTCTTCTCTGATCTGTGTCCAGTTTATTCCTACCAAGATAGCCACTCTCTAGGAAAGCTCTAACTAGGAGGAGAATTAGATTCAGGTGTGATGGTCAGGTGAGACACAGAAGAGGCAGCACAAAAAAAAAGGATATATGAAATAAGAAGCAGTTTTTATTACTTACAGATATTTGAGAGAAGAGGGCAGCATGCCTCAGAGGGCCATTGGGAAATGGGGAGTTCTTCAAGATATGTATGTTCCAACAGTGGGTGAGGAGCAAGAGCAACTCAAGAGTAGATTTGATTTGCCAGAAGAAAGAATCAGTGAACTTGGAAATAGATTAATAGAGATTATGCAATCTGCAGAGCAGAGTGAAAAACATAAACAAAAATGAAAAGAAACTCAAAGAAAGATGGGCCACCATTAAGTGCACTAACGTATACATAATGGAACTACCAGAAAGAAGAAAATGAGCAGAAAAACTATTTAATTTAAATAATGGCTGAAATCCTCCCAAATTCGGTGAAAACATTCGTCTACATACATCTAATAGGATCAACGAACTGCAAGGAAGATAAACACAGAGATCGACACCCATACAAATCAGAGTAGAATTGGTTTTGCTAGTTGAGCTCATTTTTGGTTCCAAATGAATTTTAGAATGTATTTTTATAATTCTTTGATAAATATCATTGGTAGTTTGATATGAATAGTATTGAATCTGTAAATTGCTTTATGCAGTATGAACATTTTAACAACATTGATTTTTTCCTATCTGTGAGCATGGAATGTTTTTCCATGTTTTTGTGTCTTTGATTTCCTTCAGTACTGTTTGGTAATTCTTGTAGAGATTTTTTGCCTCCCTTTTTAGCTGTCTTCCTAGGTATTTTATTTTTGTGGAGATTGTGAGCAGGATTGCATTCTAGATTTGGCTCTCAGCTTAGACATTATGGGTGTCTAAAGCACTACTGATTTTTGCACATTGATTTTGTATCCTGAAACTTTGCTGAAATTGCTTATCATATCTGGGAGGCTTTGGGCAGAGACTATGGGGTTTTGCAGGTATGGTATCATATCATCTGTGAAGGGAGATAGTTTTACTTTCTCACTTCCCATTTGGATGCCTTTTATTTCTTTCTTTTGCCTGATCGCTCTGGCTAGGACTTCCAGTATTATGTTAAATAGGAGTGGTGAGAGTGGGCATCCTTATCTTGTTCTGGTTCTCAATGGGAATGCTTCCAGCTTTTGCCCATTTAGTATGATGTTGGCTGTGGGTTTATCATAGAGATGGCTCTTATTATTTTGAGGTATGTACTTTTGATGCATAGTTTGTTGAAGGTTTTTAACATGAAGTGATGTTGAATTTTATCAAAACGCTTTTCTGCATCTTTTGAGATGATCATGTGGTTTTTGTTGTTAGTTGTTTATGTGACAAATCACAATTATTGACTTGCATATGTTGAACCAATCTTGCATTGCAGGAATAGATTTGACTTGAGCATAGTGGATTAGCTTTTTGATGTGCTGCTGGATTTGGTTTGTTTGCATTTTGTTAATAGATTTTGCATCTGTGTTCATCAGGGGTATTGGTATGAATTTTTTTTTCACTGTTCTCTGCCAACTTTTGGTATCAGAATGATACTAGTCTCATGGAATATGTTAAGGAGGAGTCCCTTCTCCTCAATTTTTTGAAATATTTTCAGTAAGATCAGCACCAGCTCTTATTTATACATCTGGAAGAATTCACCTGTGAATCAGTCTGGTCTAGGGCATCTTCTGGTTGGTAGACTTTTTATTTCTGATTCAATTTCAGAACTCATTATTTGTCTGGTCATGATTTCAATTTCTTCCTCGTTCAATGTTGGGATGTTGTATGTGTCTGAGAATTTATCCATTTCTTCTAGGTTTTCTAGTTCATATGTGGAGAGGTGTTGTAATAATCTCTGAGGGATTTTTGTATTTCTGTGGAGTCAGTGGTAATGTCCCGTTTTTCATTTATCTTTATCATCTTTTTTTCTTTATTAGTTTAGCTAGTAGTCTACCAATCTTATTTAGTCTTTTAAAGAACCAAGGTTTAGTTCATTGATTTTTTGTGTGTGTGGTTTTTCTCATCTCTATTTCATTCAGCTCAGCTCTGATTTTGGTTATTCCATGTCTTCTTCTAGCTTTGGGATTGGTTTGTTTTTATTTTTCTAGTTCCTCTAGGTGTGATGTTAGGTTGTTATTTTGAGATCTTTCTAACCTTTTGATGTGGGTGTTTAGCACTATAAACTTTCCTCTTAACACTGCTTTAGCTTGGTCCCAGAGATTATGGTATGTTGTATCTTTGTTGTCATTAGCTTCAAAAATGTCTTGATTCCTGCCTTCATTTCATTGTTTACCCAAAAGTCATTCAGGAGCATACTGCTTAATTTCCATGTAATTGTATGGTTTGAAAGAACTTCTTGGTTTTGATTTCTATTTTTATTGCACTGTGGTCTAACAGTATGGTTGATATGATTTCGGCTTTTTAAAAAAATTTCTTAGCAATTGCCTTATGGCTGAGCAAGTGGTCAATTTTAGAGTATGTGCCATGTACAGATGAAAAGAATGTATATTCTAATTTTGTTGGGTGCAGTGTTCTGTAGATGTCTGTTAGGTCCATTTGATCAAGCATCAAATTTAGGTCTGGAATATCCTTGTTAGTATTGTCCCTTGATGATCTGTCCACTATTGTCAATGGGGTGTTGAAGTATCCCACTATTATTAAGTGGTTATCTAAGTCTCTTTGTAAGTCTCTAAGAACTTGTTTAATCAATCTGGATGCTGCAGTGTTGGGTGCATATATATTTAGTTACATCTTCTTGTTGAATTGAACTTTTTATAATTATGTAATGCCCTTCTTTGTCCTTTTTGATCATTGTTCATTTAATGTCAGTTTTGCCTGATATAAGAACAGCAACCTCTGCCCTTTTTTGTTTTCCATTTGCCTGATAGACCTTTCTCATCCCCTTACTTTCAGCCTATAAATATCCTTTTGTGTAAGATGGGTATCTTGAATACAGCATACAGTTGGGTCTTGCTTCTTTATCTAACTTTCCACTCTGTGCCTTTTAAGTGCGGATGTTTAACCCATTTATGTTCAAGGTCAATATTGATAATGTGTAGATTCGATCCTGTCATTATGTTGTTAGCTGGCTGTTAGGTAGACTTGATTGTGTATTTGGTTTATAGTGTTGATGGTCTATGCACTTGAGTGTGTTTTGGTGGTGGTTAGTAATGGTCTTTTCTTTCTATGTTTAGCACTACATTAAGGACCTTTTGTAAGGCAGGCCTGTTGATCACAAATTCCCTTAGCGTTTGCTTGGCTGGGAAGGATTTTATTTCTCCTTTGCTTAAAAAGCTTAGTTTGGCTGGATATGAAATTCTTAGTTGGATTTCTTTTCTTTTCTTTTTTTTTTTTTTTTTGAGACGGAGTCTTGCTCTGTCGCCCAGGCTGGAGTGCAGTGGCCTGATCTTGGCTCACTGCAACCTCTGCCTCCTGGGTTCACACCATTCTCCTGCCTCAGCCTCCCGAGTAGCTGGGACTACAGGCGCCTGCCACCATGCCCAGCTAATTTTTTTGTATTTTTTTAGTAGAGACGGGGTTTCACTGTGTTAGCCAGGCTGGTCTCGATCTCCTGACCTCGTGATCTGCCCACCTCGGCCTCCCAAAGTGCTGGGATTACAGGCTTGAGCCACCATGCCCGGCCCGGATTTCTTTTCTTGAAGGATGCTCAATATAGGTCCCCAATCTCTTCTAGAATGTAGGATTTCTGCTGAAATGTTCACTGTTAGCCTGATGAGGTTCCCTTTTTAGGTGACCTGCCCCTTCTCTCTAGTTGCCTTTAATATTTATTCTTTGGCATTGACCTTGGTGAGTTTGATCACTATGTGTCGGGGATGGTTGTCTTGTATAGTATATTGCAGAGGCCACCTGAATTTCTTGAATTTGAATGTTGACCTCTCTAGCAAGGTTGGGAAACTTTTCATGGATGATATCCTCAAATATGTTTTCCCATTTGCTTGCTCTCTCTCCCTCTCTTTTAGAGATGCCAAAGAGTCATAGGTTTGGTCTCTATACATAATTCCATATTTCTTGGAGATTTTGTTCATTTTTTAAGTTTTTTTTTCTTATTTTTGCCTGACTCAGTTAATTTGAAGAACCGGTCTTTGAGCTCTGAGAGTCCTCAGCTTGATCTATTCTGCAGTTAATTCTCCCCATTGTGTCATGAAATTTTTGTAGTAAGTTTTTCAGCTCTATCAATCAGGTCAGTACGGTTCATTTCATAAAATGTCTATTTTGTCTTTCATGTATTGAATTATTTTACTGTATTCCTTAGATTCCTTAGAATGGGTTTCAACTTTCTCCAAATTTTGATGGTCTTTATTGCCATCCAGATTCTGAATTTTATGTCTGTCATTTCAGCCATTTAAGCCTAGTTACGTACTATTGCTGGGAAACTAGTGCAGTCATTTGGTGGTAAGGAGACACTCTGGCTTTTAGAGTTTCAAAGGTTCTTGGGCTGGTTCTTCCTCATCTGTGAGGGCTTACGCTTCTATAAATGTGGGATAACTTGGGTATAGTCAGTTGATGACATTTTTATATGTTTTCAGAGAGTCAAGGCTTTGTTCAGGGTCTTTATTTGTGACTGAATTTTTCACCTTGATTTTGCAGGGCGGATATATTAGGAAAGAATTTTTGGTGTTGAAGTTTGGGCTGCGACCTTGTAGATGGTGCTTAAGTGTGATGGGTAGTAGGTAGGCTCTTGCTCAGCCACACAGCTCCCCTGTATTCCTTCACAGTTGCAGCCATGCTTCTTCTAAGTGCTCTGAGAGTGTTGGCTCCTATCCCACTTCATTGCTGGCTTCAGATCTCACCTTGGCACCATCAGGCTGCACACCACAGCCACGGGGCATGCTCAGGCTTTCTGTTTCCTTTCCATTTGGGGGCAGCAGTGGTGGGGCCTTGACAATGACAATGGCAGAAAAATGTTCACTTGTTTCTTGAGGTGCCAACCCAGAGAAATGCAGACTCACTGCTGACTGGATCAATCAGCCAGGTGTGGGGCAGCTGTGTTGCAGGTCCAAGCCAGGGGGCCATGCCTGGTGATGAACACAGTGGGTGTGTGGCTTGAGTGGAAGACAGACTGGCTTCTTCTTCATAGGGCAGCTATATTGTGGTGTAGGTATGAGTAGAACCCTCAGGGTCTTGACACCTTCCCCAATCCAAGGGCAGCAAGGGCAGTACCACTGCTGTGGCAGTAGCAGAGGGGCTTTCAGTTGCCTCTGGGAGTTGCACCCCAGAGAAATGCAGAGCCACTGCCAATGGAAATGTTCAGCCAAGGGTGGAGTGGTTGCATTGCAGTCCCTTGCTGGGGGGCCCTCCTGGTGAAAAGTAGGTGGTGGGGGCTCACAGGGAAGAGAAATTTGACCCCTCGCCATATGGCAGCTGCAGCATACTGGAGGTGCCAGTGAAGTGAACAGGTCCTTTGTTTCTTTCCCAGCTTGAGGACAGGAAGGGCGGTACTGCTGTAGCTGCAATGGTAGAGGGGCTGTGGGTTGACTCTGGGATTTTCTCCTCAAAGAAACAGACAGCCACCACCAACAAGTGTTCAGGCAGGGGCAGGGCAGCTTTACTGGGGGCCCAGGTCAAGACACCCTGACCAGTGAGGAATGGCAGGGGCAGGGACTCATATGGAAAGCAGCCTGGTTACCTTTCCATAAGGCAATTGTGCTGTGCTGGAGGCCCATGATCATTCTTAAGCTCTTTACTTCCTGTTATGCCTGAGGGCAGTAGGGGTAAGAGCTGCAAAGCAGCAAAAATGGCAGGCCTGTCCTTTACCTCTAGGAGCTCAATCCCAGGGAAATGCTGGGATAGAGTTCAGGTGGGGCCAGGGTGGCTGTGCTGGGGTCCCAGATTGGGAGATCCTGACCAGTGACAAGTAGCAGAGGCAGGGGCCCATGTGGAAAACCATATGGCTTCTTTTCTGTAAGGAAGCTATGTTGTGCTGGAGGCCTGCAATAGTCTTTAAGCATTTTGCTCTCTGCCAAGCCTAAGGGCAGTAGGGGTGGGAGCTGCAATGTGGCAAAAATGAGGGGCCTGTCTTTTACCTCTGGGAGCTCTGTCCCAGGGAAATGCAGAGCTGCTAGTAGCCCAAGAGCTCAGGCAGGGGTGGGGTGGCTGGGCTGGCTTCCCATGCCAGCAAGCGTTGTTCTGATGAGATGTAGTGGAGGTAAACCTGTGGTCTGTTTGCTCTTCAGAACCTTGGATGTGGCACGTATCATTAGATTTTGTGAGAGAGCCTGGCCTCCTTTACAACTAATTTTTGTACATTGGCCTTTAATCCTGCAATCTTGCTAAATTCATTAATTTTAATAGAAATTTTTGTATATTCTTTGGGAATATTTTACATAAATAGTCATGTCATCTGTGAATAGAGACAGTATTTTTCCTTCCTTTCCAATCTGTATGGTTTTTTCACTGTAAGTCTTGCTTATTTTATTTATTTATTTATTTATTTTTGAGACAGAGTATTTTCTTTTCTTTTCTTTTTTTTTGAGACAGAGTCTCGCTCTGTCATCCAGGCTGGAGTGCAGTGGCACCATCTCGACTCACTGCAAGCTCCACCTCCCAGGTTCATGCCATTCTCCTGCCTCAGCCTCCCAAGTATGAAAGCTACAGCCACAGCTTTCTTTACTTGGTAGAGCCCTGGAGGCCATAATTACCCCACAGAGCTTCAGACTGCTGTTTTACTATGAACAGATTTTCTCCATTTATGAGGTTTTTAGGTGACTGAAATTTTCTCTGATTGGCACAAAAGTATACTTTTTTAGTCAGAAAGGGCTGTCTAGGAAAGACATAGGATATATATATATATATATTTTTTTTCCTCTGTATGTGTTTCTACCTATTGTGTGTGAATATGTATCTAATGTGCTTATGTGTGTGTATTTAGAATATAGTGTATATGGCTATGACAGAAAAATTTTTAACTAAGTTGCATTTAGTGTTGCTCTCCTGGGACTCTGGGAGTGATGTCAATAATTTTTTCTAGGAAGTGATTAAATAGGCCTCAAGAATTATTTTTCTCAAATTTTCTTTTTATTTTTGGTTTGAGACAGAGTCTTACTCTGTCACCCAGGTTGGAGTGCAGTGGCGCAATCATGGCTCGCCGTCGCCTTGACATCTAGGCTCAGGTGATCCTCTCATCTCAGCCCCCCAAGTAGCTGGGACTACAGGTGTGTGCTACCACACTTGGCTAACTTTTGTATTTTTTTTTTTTTTTTGAGATGGGGTCTAGCTCTGTCGCCCAGGCTGGAGTGCAGTGGCGCAATCTCGGCTCACTGCAACCTCTGCCTCCCAGGTTCAAGTGATTCTCCTGCCTCAGCCTCCTGAGTAGCTAGGATTACAGGTGCCCGCCACCACGCCTGGCTAAGTTTTGTATTTTTAGTAGAGACAGGTTTTCACCATGTTAGTCAGTATGGTCTTGATCTCCTGACCTCGTGATCCTCCCGCCTTGGCCTCCCAAAGTGCTGGGATTACAGGCGTGAGCCACTGCACCTGGCCCAAGACAGAGTCTTGCTCTGTGGCCAGGCTGTGGTACAGTGGCGTGATCTCAGCTCACTGCAGCCCCCGGCTCCCTGGTTCAAGCGATTCTCCTGCCTCAGCCTCCCAAGTAGCTGGGATTACAGGCAGGTGCCACCACGCCCAGCTAATTTTTGTATTTTTAGTAGAGACAGGGTTTCACCATGTTGGGGAGGGTGGTCGCGATCTCCTGACCTTGTGATCCGCCCACCTCAGCCTCCCAAAGTGCTGGGATTACAGGCATGAGCCACCGCGCCCGGCCTGGCCCTTGGCATTTTAATTTACAACTGTTCCCATTCACCACCCCATCCCCCAACACTCAGTATCACAGCATGGTAAACTGGCAGTTTTGCTGTCCCCAGAGTCACCTGACTTAATTTGGATCGCTACAAAAATGCTTCTCACCTAACTAATTGTCAAAAACAATTAGTTGGTGGCAAACAATTAGGTAAATTCAACATTGTGGCTCTTTATTGCTGCAAGAAACAAGATAAAAAATTCAGTGGACAACCTGAGAAATGGGAAAATAATAAAAAGCTTAAGGGGGTGGCAGGCAAGATGGCTGAATAATAACAGCTGTGGTCTGAAGATCCCAGCGAGCTCATCACAGAAGGAAGGTGATTTCTGCATTTCCAACTGAGGTACCCAGCTCATCTCATCGGAATTGGTTAGACAGTGGGTGCAGCTCACGAAGGGCCAGCTGAGCAGGGTGGAGTGTTGCCTCACCCAGGAAACGCAAGGGGTCAAGGAACTCCCTTCCCTAGCCAAGGGAAGCTGTGAGGGACTGTGCCATGAAAAATGGTGCAGTCCAGCCCAGATACTATGCTTTTCCCACGCTCTTTGCAACCCACAGATCAGGAGATTCCCTCAGGTGCCTATGCTACCAGGGCCCTGGGCTTCAAGCACAAAATTTGGTGGCTGTTTGGGCAGACACCGAGATAGCTGCAGTTTCTTTTCATACCCCAGTGGCGCCTGGAACACCAGCGAGACAGAACTGTTGACTCCCCCTAGAAAGGGGGCTGAAGCCAGGGAGCCAAGTGGTGTAGCTCAGTGGATCCCACCCCAGCTTCGTGGGGGTAGAGGCGTCTGCTGATACTGAGGCTTGGTTAGGCAGTTTTCCGCTGTCAGTGTAAACAAAGCTGCCAGGAAGTTCGAACTGGGCAGAGCCCACCACAGCTCGGCAAAAACTGTAGCCAGACTGCCTCTCTAGATTCCTCCTCTCTGAGCAGGGCATCTCTGAAAGAAAGGCAGCAGCCCCAGTCAGGGGTTTATAGAAAAAACTCCCAACTCCCTGGGACAGAGCACCAGGGGAAAGGGGCATCTGTGGGTGCAGCTTCAGCAGACTTAAACGTTCCCACCTACCAGCTCTGAAAATAGCAGAAAATCTCCCAGCACAGTGCTCGAGCTCTGCTAAGGGAAAGATGGCCTCCTCAAGTGGGTCCCTGACCCCTGTGCCTCCTGACTAGGAGACACCTCCCAGCAGGGGTTAACAGACACCTCATACAAGAGAGCTCCAGCTGGCATCTGGCAGGTGCCCCTCTGGGATGAAGCTTCCAAAGGAAGAAACAGGCAGCAATCTTTGTGGTTCTGCAGCTTCCACTGGTGATACCCAGGCAAATAGGGTCTGGAGTGGACCTCCAGCAAACTGCAGCAGACCTGCAGCTGAGTGGCATGACTGTTAGAAGGAAAACTAACAAACAGAAAGGAATAGCATCAACATCAACAAAAAGGACTTCCATACAAAAACCCCATCCGAAGGTCACCAACATCAAAGACCAAAGGTAGATAAATCCATGATGATGAGGAAAAACCAGTGCAAAAGGCTGAAAATTCCAAAAACCAGAACACCTCTTCTCCTCCAAAGGATCACAACTCCTCGCCAGCAAGGGAACAAAACTGGATGGAGAATGAGTTTAACAAACTGACAGAAGTAGGCTTCAGAACGTGGGTAATAAACTCCTCTAAGCTAAAGGAGCATGTTCTAACACAATGCAATTAAACTAAGAACTTTGAGAAAAGGTTAGAGGAATTGCTAACTAGAATAACCAGTTTAGAGAAGAACATAAATGACCTGATGGAGCTAAAAAAACACAGCACGAAAACTTCATGAAGCATACACAGGTGTCAATAGATGAATTGATTGTAGAGTTTCTGCAGACAGATTCTGTTTCAAGCAGTAGAAAGGATATCAGAGATTGAAGGTCAACTTAATGAAATAAAGTGAGAAGACAAGATTAGAGAAAAAAAGAATGAAAAGGCACGAACAAAGCCTCCAAGAAATATGGGACTATGTGAAAAGCCCAAATCTATGATTGATTGGGGTCCCTAAAAGTGACGTGGAGAATGGAACCAATTTGGAAAACACTCTTCAGGATATTATCCAGGAGAATTCCCCCAACCTAGCAAGACAGACCAACATTCAAATTGGGGAAATACACAGGACACCGCAAAGATACTCTTTGAGAAGGGCAACTCCAAGACACATAATTGTCAGATTCAGCAAGGTTGAAATGAAGGAAAAAATGTTAAGGGCAGCCAGAGAGAAAGTTTGACTTACCCACAAAGGGAAGCCCATCAGACTAACAGCAAATCTCTCTGCAGAAACTCTACAAGCTAGAAGAGAGTGGGGGCCAATATTCAACATTCTGTAAAAAAAGAATTTTCAACTCAGAATTTCATATCCAGCCAAACTAAGCTTCATAAGTGAAGAAATAAAATCATTTAGAGAAGCAAATTCTGAGATTTTGTCACCACCAGGACTGCCTTACAAGAACTCCTGAAAAAAGCACTACACATAAAAAGGAACAACGGGTACCAGCCACTGCAAAAACATACCAAATTCTAAAGGCCATCGACACTATGAAGAAACTGCGTCAACTAATGTGCAAAATAACCAGCTAGCATCATAATGAGAGGATCAAATTCACACACAATAATAACCTTAAATATAAACAGGCTAAATACCCCAATTAAAAGACACAGACTGGCAAATTGGATAAACAGTCAAGACCCATCGGTGTGCTGTATTCAGGAGACCCATCTCATGCAAAGATGCACATAGGCTCAAAATAAAGGGATGGAGGAATATTTACCAAGCAAATGGAAAGCAAAAAAAAAAAAAAAAGGCAGGGGTTGCAATCCCAGTCCCTGATAAAAAAGACTTTAAGCCAACAAAGATCAAAAAAGACAAAAAAGGGCATTACATAATGGTAAAGGGATCAATGCAGCAGGAAGAGGTAACTCCTAAATATATATGCACTCAATACAGGAGCACCCAGATTCATAAAGCAAATTCCTAGAGACCTACAAAGAGACTTAGATTCCCACACAATAGTGAGAGACTTTCACACCCCACTGTCAATATTAGACAGATCAACGAGACAGAAAATTAACAAGAATATTCAGGACTTGAACTCAGCTCTGGACCAAGCAGAACTGATAGACATC
This sequence comes from Homo sapiens, assembly GCF_000001405.40. Classification (NCBI taxonomy): domain Eukaryota; kingdom Metazoa; phylum Chordata; class Mammalia; order Primates; family Hominidae; genus Homo; species Homo sapiens. Next base: position 74,044,077 of record NC_000023.11, on the reverse strand, counting down.
TACAGAACCCTCAACCAAAAATCAACAGAATATACATTTTTCTCAGCACCACATGGCACTTATTCTAAAATTGACCACATAACTGGAAGTAAAACACTCCTCAGCAAATACAAAAGAATGCAAATCATAACAGTCTCTCAGACCACAGTGCAATCAAATTAGAACTCAGGATTAAGAAACTCACTCAAAACCACAAAACTACATGGAAACTGAACAAACTGCTCCTGAATGACTACTGGGTGAGTAATGAAATTAAGGCAGAAAAATAAAGATATTCTTAGAAACCAATGAGAACAAAGACACAACGTACCAGAATCTCTGGGACACAGCTAAAGCAGTGTTAAGAGGGAAATTTATAGCACTAAATGCCAACAAGAGAAAGCAGGAAAGATCTAAAATTGACACCCTAAAATTACAATTTAAAAAACTAGAGAAGCAAGAGCAAACAAATTCAACAGCTACCAGAAGACAAGAAATAACTAAAATCAGAGCAGAACTGAAGGAGATAGAGACAGGAAAAAACTTCAAAAAAATCAGTGAATCCAGGAGCTGTTGTTTTGAAAAGATCAACAAAATAAATAGACTGCTAGCCAAACTAATAAACAAGATAAGAGAGAAGAATCAAATAGATGCAATAAAAAGTGATAAAATGATATCACCGCTGATCCCACAGGAATACAAGTTACTATCAGATAATACTATAAACACCTCTATGCAAATAAACTAGAAAATCCAGTAGAAATGGATAAATTCCTGGACACATGCACCCTCCCAAGTCTAAACCAGGAAGAAGTCGAATCCCTGAATAGACCAATAACAAGTTTTGAAATTCAGGCAGTAATAGCCTACCAACCATAAAAAGTCCAGGAACAGACGGATTCACAGCCGAATTCTACCAGAGGTACAAAGAGAAGCTGGTGCCATTCCTTCTGAAACTATTCCAAACAATAGAAAAAGAGAGACTCCTCCCTAACTCATTTTATGAGGCCAGCATCTTCCTGATACCAAAACCTGGCAGAGACACAACAAAAAAAGAAAATTTCAGGCCAATATCCCTGATGAACATCAATGCGAAAATCCTCAATAAAATACTGGCAAACCGAATACAGCAGCACATCAAAAAGCTTATCTACCATGATCAAGTCAGCTTTATCCCTGGGATGCAAGTCTGGTTCAACATAGGCAAATCAATAAGCATAATGCATCACATAAACAGAAGCAATGACAAAGACCACATGATTACCTCAATAGATGCAGAAAAGGCCTTCAACAAAATTCAACACCGCTTCATGCTAAAAACTCTCAATAAATTAGGTATTGGTGGACCCTATCTCAAAATAATAAGAGCTATTTATGACAAACCAACAGCCAATATCTTACTGAATGAGCAAAAACTGGAAGCATACCCTTTGAAAACCAGCACAAGAAAAGGATGCCCTCTCTCACAACTCCAATTCAACATAGTACTGGAAGTTCTGGCCAGGGAAATAAGGCAAGAGAAAGAAATAAATGATATTCAAATAGGAAGAAAGGACGTCACATTCTCTCTGCAGATGACATGACTGTATATTTAGAAAACCCCATTGTATCAGCCCAAAATCTCCTTAAGCTGATAAGCAACTTCAGCGAAGTCTCAGGATACATAATCAATGTGCAAAAATCACAATCATTCCTACAAACCAATAACAGACAAGCAGAGAGCCAAATCATGAGTGAACTCCCATTCACAGTTGCTACAAAAAGAATAACATACCTAGGAATACAACTTACCAGGGAGGTGAAGGACATCTTCAAAGAGAACTACAAACCACTGCTCAAGGAAATAAGAGAGGACACAAATAAATGGAAAAACATTCCATGCTCCTGGATAAGAAGAATCAATATTGTGAAAATGGCCATACTGACCAAAGTAATTTATAGATTCAATGTTATCCCCATCAAGCTACCATGTACTTTCTTCACAGAATTAGAAAAAATTACTTTAAATTTCATATGGCAGCAGAAAAGAGCCCATATAGCCAAGACAATCCTAAAAAAAAAGAATAAAGCTGGAGACATCACACTTCCTGACTTTAAACTATACTGCAAGTCTACAGTAACCAAAACAGCATGGTACTGGTACCAAAACAGAGATATAGACCAATGGAACAGAAAAGAGGCCTCAGAAATAACCACACATCTACAACCATCTGATCTTTGACAAACTTGACAAAAACAAGCAATGGGGAAAGGATTCCATATTTCATAAATGGTGTTGGGAAAGCTGGCTAGCCATATGCAGAAAACTGAAACTGGACCCTTTCCTTACACCTTATACAAAAATTAACTCAATATGGATTAAAGACTGAAACGGAAGACCTAAAACCCTAAAATCCCTAGAAGAAAACCTAGGCAATACCATTCAGGACATAGGCATGGGCAAAGACTTCAGGACTAAAGCAACAAAAGCCAAAATTGACAAATAGGATCTAATTAAACTAAAGAGCTTCTGCACAGCAAAAGAAACTATCATCAGAGTGAACAGGCAACCCACAGAATGGGAGAAAATTTTTGCAATCTATCCATCTGACAAAGGGCTAATATCCAGGATCCACAAAGAACTTAAACAAATTTACAAGAAAAAAAGGAACAAGCCCATCAAAAAGTGGGCAAAGGATATGAACAGGCACTTCTCAAAAGAAGACATTTACACAGCCAACAAACATGAAAAAAAGCTCATCATCACTTGTCATTAGGGAAATGCAAATCAAAACCACAATGAGATACCTTCTCACGCCAGTTAGAATGGCGATCATTAAAAAGTCGGGAAACAACAGATGCTGGAGAGGCTGTGGAGAAATAGGAACACTTTTACACTGTTGGTGGGAGTGTAAATTAGTTCAACCATTATGGAAGATAGTGTGGTGATTCCTCAAGGATCTAGAATTAGAAATACCATTTGACCAAGCAATCCCATTACTGAGTATATACCCAAAGGATTGTAAGTCATTCTACTATAAAGACACATGCACACATATGTTCATTGTGGCACTATTCACAATAGCAAAGACTTGGAGCCAACCCAAATGCCCATCAATGATAGATTGGATAAAAAAATTGTTGCACATATCTACCATGGAATACTATGCAGCCATAAAAAAGGATGAATTCATGTCCTTTGCAGGGACATGGATGAGGCTAGAAACCATCATTCTTAGCAAACTAACAAGAACAGAAAACCAAACACTGCATGTTCTCACTCATAAATGGGAGTTGAACAATGAGAACACATGGACACAGGGAGTGGAACATCACACACTGGGGCCTGTTGGGGAGGTGGGGCACTAGAGGTGGGATAGCATTAAGAGAAATACCTAATGTAGATGACAAGTTGATAGGTGCAGCAAACCACCATGGCACATGTATACCTATGTAACAAACCTGCACATTCTGCACATGCACCCCAGAACTTACAGTATTAAAAAAAAGAAGAACAGAAACCAAAATAGATCCATCCTTGTATGGTTAATTAACATACAGACAAAGGTGCCAAAGCAATCCAATGGGAAAAGAAAGTCTTTTTAACAAATGGTGTTGAACAACTAGACATCAGTATGGAAAATAACAATGTTGTCTCCTACCTTATACCATAGACAGAAGTTAATTTGAGTTGGCGATGTGGTTTGGATTTGTGTTTCCACCCAAATATCATGTCAAATTGTAATCCCCAATGTTGCGGGAGGGGCCTGCTGGGAGGTAATTGGATCATGGAAGCACATTTCCCACTAGCTGTTCTCATGATAGTGAGTTCTCACGAGATCTGATTGTTTAAAAGTGTGTAGCACCTCCCACTTCACTCTCTTCCTCCTGCTCCAGCCATGTAAGATGTGCTTGCTTCCCTTTCTACCATGACTGAAAATTTCCTGAGGCATGCCCAGGGATGCTTCCTGTATAGCCTGTGGAACCATGAACCAATTCAAAATAAAAAAAAAAAAAAACAAAAAAACAAACAAACAAAAAAAGAAGATGGCCGAATAGGAACAGCTCCAGTCTACAGCTCCCAGCATGAGCGATGCAGAAGATGGGTGATTTCTGCATTTCCAACTAAGGTACCAGGTTCATCTCACTGTGGCTTGTCGGACACTGGGTGCAGGAAAGTGGGTGCAGTGCCCCGAGCATGAGCCGAAGCAGGGCGAGGCATTGCCTCACCCACGAAGTGCAAGGGGTCAGGGAATTCCCTTTCCTAGCCAAGCAAAGCTGTGACAGACAGCACCTGGAAAATCGGGTCACTCCCACCCTAATACTGTGCTTTTCCAATGGTCTTAGGAAACGGAACACCAGGAGATTATATCCTACACCTGGCTCAGAGGGTCCCATGCCCACAGAGCCTCACTCATTCCTAGCACAGCAGTCTGAGATCGAACTGCAAGGCGGCAGTGAGGCTGGGGGAGGGGCACCCACCATTGCTGAGGCTTGAGTAGGTAAACAAAGTGGCTGGGAAGCTCGAACTGGGTGGAGCCCACCGCAGCTCAAGGAGGCCTGCCTGCCTCTGTAGACTCCACCTCTGGGGGCAGGGCATAGCCGAACAAAAGGCAGCAGAAACGTCTGAAGACTTAAAATGTCCCTGTCTGACAGCTATGAAGAGAGTGGTGGTTCTCCCAGCACAGAGTTTGAAATCTGAAAATGGACAGACTGACTCCTCAAGTAGGTCCCTGAGCCCGGAGTAGCCTAACTGGGAGGCACCCCCCCAGTAGGGGCAGACTGACACCTCACACGGCCAGGTACCCCTCTGAGATGAAACTTCCAGAGGAATGATCAGGCAGCAACATTTGCTGTTCAGCAATATTCGCTGTTCTGCAGCCTCTGCTGCTGATATCCAGGCAAACAGGGTCTGGAGTGGACCTCCGGCAAACTCCAACAGACCTGCAGCTGAGTGTCCTGACTGTTAGAAGGAAAACTAACAAACAGAAAGGACATGCACACCAAAACCCCATCTGTACGTCACCATCATCAAAGACCAAAGGTAGATAAAACCACAAAGATGGGGAAATAACAGAGCAGAAAAACTGAAAATTCTAAAAATCAGAGCACCTCTCCTCCTCGAAAGGAATGCACCTCCTCACCAGCAGTGGAACAAAGCTGGAGGGAGAATGACCTTGACGAATAGAGAGAAGAAGGCTTCAGAAAATCAAACTTCTCTGAGATACAGGAGGAAGTTCGAACCCATCACGAAAAAGTTAAAAACCTTGAAAAAAGATTAGATGAATGGCTAACTAGAATAACCAGTGTAGAGAAGTCCTTAAAGGACCTGATGGAGCTGAAAACCATGGCACGAGAACTACGTGACGAATGCACAAGCTTCAGTAACCGATTTCATCAACTGGAAGAAAGGGTATCAGGGATTGAAGATCAAATGAATGAAATGAAATGAGAAATTTAGAGAAAAAAGAATAAAAAGAAATGAAGAAAGCCTCCAAGAAATATAGGACTATGTGAAAAGACCAAATCTACGTCTGATTGGTGTACCTGAAAGTGACGGGGAGAATGGAACCAAGTTGGAAAACACTCTGCAGGATATTATCCAGGAGAACTTCCCCAACCTAGGAAGGCAGGCCAACATTCAAATTCAGGAAATACAGAGAATGCCACAAAGATACTCCTCAAGAAGAGCAACTCCAAGACACATAATTGTCAGACTCACCAAAGTTGAAATGAAGGAAAAAGTCTTAGGGCAGCCAGAGAGAAAGGTCGGGTTACCCACAAAGGGAAGCCCATCAGACTAACAGTGGATCTCTCGGCAGAAACTCTACAAGCCAAAAGAGAGTGGAGGTCAATATTCAACATTCTTAAAGAAAAGAATTTTCAACCCAGAATTTCATATCCAGCCAAACTAAGCTTCATAAGTGAAGGAGAAATAAAATCCTTTACAGACAAGCAAATGCTTAGAGATTTTGTCACCACCAGGCCTGCCCTAAAAGAGCTCCTGAAGGAAGCACTAAACATGGAAAGGAACAACCGGTACCAGCCACTGCAAAAACAAGCCGAATTGTAAAGACCATCGAGGCTAGGAAGAAACTGCATCAACTAACGAGCAAAATAACCAGTTAACATCATAATGACAGTATCCAATTCACACATAATAATATTAACCTTAAATGAAAATGGGCTAAATGCTCCCAATTAAAAGGCACAGACTGGCAAATTGGATAAACAGTCAAGACCCATCAGTGTGCTGTATTCAGAAAACCCATCTCAAGTGCAGAGACACACATAGGCTCAAAATAAAGGGATGGAGGAAAATCTACCAAGCAAATGGAAAACAAAAAAAGGCAGGGGTTGCAATCCTAGTCTCTGATAAAACAGACTTTAAATCAACAAAGATCAAAAGAGACAAAGAAGGCCATTACATAATGGTAAAGGGATCAATTCAACAAGAAGAGCTAACTATCCTAAATATATATGCACCCAATACCGGAGCACCCAGATTCATGAAGCAAGTCCTTAGAGACCTACAAAGAGACTTAGACTCCCACACAATAATAATGGGAGACTTTAACACCCCACTGTCAACATTAGACAGATCAACGAGACAGAAAGTTAAAAAGGATATCCAGGAATTGAACTCAGCTCTGCACCAAGCGGACCTAATAGACATCTACAGAACTCTCCACCCCAAATCAACAGAATATACATTCTTCTCAGCACCACATCACACCTTCCTAAATCGACCACATAATTGGAAGTAAAGCACTCCTCAGCAAATGTAAAACAACAGAAATTATAACAAACTGTCTCTCAGACCACAGTGCAATCAAATTAGAACTCAGGATTAAGAAACTTACTCAAATCTGTTCAACTACATGGAAACTGAACAACCTGCTCCTGAATGACTACTGGGTACACAACAAAATGAAGGCAGAAATAAAGATGTTCTTTGAAACCAAGGAGAACAAAGACACAACATACCAGAATCTCTGGGACACATTGAAAGCAGTGTGTAGAGGGAAATTTATAGCACTAAATGCCCACGAGAGAAGGCAGGAAAGATCTAAAATTGACACCCTAACATCACAAATAAAAGAACTAGAGAAGCAAGAGCAAACACATTCAAAAGCTAGCAGAAGGCAAGAAATAACTAAGATCAGAGCAGAACTGAAGGAGATAGAGACACAAAAAACCCTTCAAAAAATCAATGAATCCAGGACGTGGTTTTTTGAAAAGATCAACAAAATGGATAGACCACTAGCAAAAGTAATAAAGAAGAAAAGAAAAGAGAGAAGAATCAAATAGATGCAATAAAAAATGATAAAGGGGATATCACCACCGATCCCACAGAAATACAAACTGCCATCAGAGAATACTATAAACACCTCTACACAAATAAACTAGAAAATCTAGAAGAAATGGATAAATTCCTCAACACATATACCCTCCCAAGACTAAACCAGGAAGAAGTTGAATCTCTGAATACACCAATAACAGGCTCTGAAATTGAGGCAATAATTAATAGCTGACCAACCAAAAAAAGTCCAGGACCAGATGGATTCACAGCCGAATTCTACCAGAGGTACAAGGCGGAGCTTGTACCATTCCCTCTGAAATTATTCCAATCAATAGAAAAAGAGGGAATCCTCCTTAACTCATTTTATGAGGCCGGCATCATCCTGATGCCAAAGCCTGGCAGAGACACAACAAAAAAAGAGAATTTTAGACCAATATCCCTGATGAACATCGATGCAAAAATCCTCAATAAAATATTGGCAAACGGAATCCAGCAGCACATCAAAAAGCTTATCCACCATAATCAAGTGGGCTTCATCCCTGGGATGCAAGGCTGGTTCAACATACGCAAATCAGTAAACGTAATCCAGCATATAAACAGAACCAACGACAAAAACCATATGATTATCTCAATAGATGCAGAAAAGGCCTTTGACAAAATTCAACAACGCTTCATGCTAAAAACTCTCAATAAATTAGGTATTGATGGGATGTATCTCAAAATAATAAGAGCTATTTATGACAAACCCACAGGAAATATCATACTGAATGGGCAAAAACTGGAAGCATTCCCTTTGAAAACTGGCACAAGACAGGGATGCCCTCTCTCACCACTCCTATTCAACATAGTGTTGGAAGTTCTGGCCAGGGCAATCAGGCAGGAGAAAGAAATAAAGGGTATTCTATTAGGAAAAGAGGAAGTCAAATTGTCCCTGTTTGCAGATGACATGATTGTATATCTAGAAAACCCCATTGTCTCAGCCCAAAATCTCCTCAAGCTGATAAGCATCTTCAGCAAAGTCTCAGGATACAAAATCAATGTGCAAAAATCACAAGCATTCTTATACACCAATAACAGAGACAGAGCCAAATCATGAGTGAACTCCCATTCACAATTGCTTCAAAGAGAATAAAATACCTAGGAATCCAACTTACAAGGGATGTGAAGGACCTCTTCAAGAAGAACTACAAACCACTGCTCAGCAAAAGAAAAGAGGATACAAACAAATGGAAGAACATTTCATGCAAATGGATGGGAAGAATCAATATCCTGAAAATGGCCATACTGCCCAAGGTAATTTATAGATTCAATGCCATCCCCATCAAGCTACCAATGACTTTCTTCACAGAATTGGAAAAAACTACTTTAACGTTCATATGGAACCAAAAAAGGGCCCACATTGCCAAGTCAATCCTAAGCCAAAAGAACAAAGCTGGAGGCATCACGCTACCTGACTTCAAACTATACTACAAGGCCACAGTAACCAAAACAGCATGGTACTGGTACCAAAACAGAGATATAGACCAATGGAACAGATTGGAGCCCTCAGAAATAATACCACACATCTACAACCATCTGATCTTTGACAAACCTGACAAAAAACGAGCAATGGGGAAAGGATTCCCTATTTAATAAATGGTGCTGGGAAAACTGGCTAGCCATATGTAGAAAGCTGAAACTGGATGCCTTCCTTACACCTTATACAAAAATTAATTCAAGATGGATTAAAGACTTAAATGTTAGACCTAAAGCCATAAAAACCCTAGAAGAAATCCTAGGAAATACCATGCAGGACATAGGCATGGGCAATGACTTCATGTCTAAAACACCAAAAGCAATGGCAACAAAAGCCAAAATTGACAGATGGGATCTAATTAAACTAAAGAGCTCCTGCACAGCAAAGGAAACTACCATCAGAGTGAACAGGCAACCTACAGAATGGGAGAAAATTTTTGCAATCTACTCATCTGACAAAGGGCTAATACCCAGAATCTACAAAGAACTCAAACCAATTTACAAGAAAAAAACAACCCCATCAAAAAGTGGCAAAGGATATGAACAGACACTTCTCTAAAGAAGACTTTTATGCAGCCAACAGACATATGAAAAAATGCTCATCATCACTGGCCATCAGAGAAATGCAAATCAAAACCACAATGGGATACCATCTCACACCAGTTAGAATGGCAATCATTAAAAAGTCAGGAAACAACAGGTGCTGGAGAGGATGTGGAGAAATAGGAACACTTTTACACTGTTGGTGGGACTGTAAACTAGTTCAACCATTGTGGAAGACAGTGTGGCAATTCCTCAGGGATCTAGAACTAGAAATACCATTTGACCCAGCAATCCCATTACTGGGTATGTACCCAAAGGATTATAAATCATGCTGCTATAAAGACACATGCACACGTATGTTTATTGTGGCACTATTCACAATAGCAAAGACTTGGAACCAATCCAAATGTCCATCAGTGATAGACTGGATTAAGAAAATGTGGCACATATACACCATGGAATACTATGCAGCCATAAAAAAGGATGAGTTCATGTCCTTTGTAGGGACATGGATGAAGCTGGAAACCATTACTCTCAGCAAACTATCACAAGGACAAAAAAACAAACACTGCATGTTCTCACTCATAGGTGGGAATTGAACAATGAGAACACATGGACACAGGAAGGGGAACATCACACACTGGGGCCTGTTGTGGGGTGGGGGGAGGGGGAGAGATAGCATTAGGAGATATACCTAATGTAAATGACGAGTTAATGGGTGCAGCACACCAACATGGCACATGTATACATATGTAACAAACCTGCATGTTGTGCACATGTACCCTAGAACTTAAAGTATAACAATAAAGAAAAAAAATCCACCGGCACTCCATTTCCAGATAATTGAAAAGACATAGGGCCTTGCTCTGGATTAGGCGTTGGCTTGATGGTATGTTATAACTTGTTTGATATTCTATATGAATCACTAAAATGTTCTCCATATCAGCAATAAGGCTGTTTGGCTTTCTCAATATATATGTGTTTAGTGAAGTAACACTTTTAATTTTTTTCAAGAACTTTTCCTTTGCTTCCACAACTTTGCTATTTGGTGCAAGAGGCCTAGACTTCAGCCACTCAGCCTGCCATGTGCCTTCCTCACTAAGTTTAATCATTTTGAGATTTTGATATAAGGTGAAGAAAGTGCAAGTCTTCCTACCACTTAAACAACTAGAGGCCATTTCAGGATTACTGTGTCTCCTATATTCAGTATGTTTCTGTCTCAGGCAATAGGGAGGCCCTAGGTGGAGAAAGAAGATGAGGTAACAACTCATCAGAAAAGCAGTCAGAACACATTTGCTGATTAAGTTCATGATTTTACCTAAGTGAGATTCATAGTTCAATATCATAATAAAAATGGTAATAAGAATTCTGAAGAAAGTTCACTTACTATACCTAACAATGATAAAGAAAAGTGGAAAATTAACAAAATGTGGTATAGAGACACAAAGTCAACACAATGCTGCTGGAAAAAATGGCACCAACTGACTTGCTGGATGGAGGGTTGCCACATGGGTGGGTTTAAAAAAAAAACCCACCATGATATCTGAGAAACATAATAAAGCCACATGCAATAAAAGTAAAAATTTTTAATATTTGGTGTGTAGGCATTAAAATTCCTTGGGTAATTTAATTCTAAATATTTTATTTTTTGTTAGATATTGTAAATGGGATTGTTTTCTTGATTTGTGTCAGATAGCTTGCTGTTTCATTATAGAAATATTACTAATTTGTTTTTGTTGCATTTGTCTCCTCCAGTGATATTTAATTCCTTTTGTAGACTTGTTTTTGGTGAAATTCTTAAGAGTTTTCTGTACATATGATCATGTCATGTTTAAAAAATAAATAAATAAATAAATAATAACTCTTTCCAAGTTAAATGCTTTTTATTTTCTTGCCTTATTGCTGTGGTGAAAACTTCCAGTACTATGTTGAATGCAAGTGATGAGATTGGGCATTTGTGATGTGTTTTTTATTTGAGGAAAAGCTTTTATGTTTTCCCCTCTGAATAACATGTTAGCTCTAGGTTTTAAAATCATGGGATTTATTGCACTAGTGGCCTAGATTTCAGCCACTCAGCCTTCAACATTCCTTCCTCACTAAGTTCAATCATTGTTAGAGGCCATTTCAGGGTTACTGTTTGTCCTATTTTCAGTGTGGTTCTGTCTCAGGGAATAGGGAGACCCAATTCTTTGCCTAAATGTTTGAGTTGTTACCATGAAAAAATTATAAATATTCTCAAATGCTTTTATGATATTGACTGAGATGATCATATGGTTTTAATCCTTTGTTCTCTTAGTGTAATGCATAACATTAATTTCCATATATACAATCATTTTTGCATCACTGGGATGAATACCGCTTGATTATGAAAAATAAAATGTTTAATGCAGTGTTGAATTCAGGTTGCTAGTTTGTTGTAGAGCATTTGTGTGTCTATGTTCATCATAGATATTGGCCTCTGCTTGTCATAATTTTTTAATTTTTCTTTTTCATTATCTCAAAATTATAATTGCATATATTTATTGAATTTAGTGTGATGTTTTCGTATGTATTTAGGTTGCATATTAATCCAATCACATGCAGTTATCATTTCTTAGTGGTGAAAACATTGAAAAGTGTCTATTCTAACTCTTTTGAAATATACAGTATTTTACATTTAACCATAGTCATGATAGTGTGTGAAAGAACAGAATAATTTACTAGTCTTCTCTAATTGTCACTTTGTACCTAATGGCCAAATCAAAGGCCCCTCCCCTGTCTATTGTAACCACAGTTCTACTCTCTGACCTTAGGATATCAAATTTTTATTTTCTTAGTATCCATTTGAGTAAGATAATACAGCATTAGTCATTCAGTATCTAGCTTATTACAGTTAAAATGCTGTCTTCAAAATTTATTCATGTTATTGCAAATTACAGGATTCCTCCTTGGTCACTTTTCAGCAGCAGCCTGCTCTTCTTTTGCAATCTCTTCAGGATCTCTGTAGAAGTAGAGATCAGGCATGAACTCCCACGGGTGTTCACGGGAAATGGTGCCACGCATGCGCAGAACTTCCCGAGCCAGCATCCACCACATCAAACCCACTGAGTGAGCTCCCTTGTTGTTGCATGGGATGGCAATGTCCACGTATCACAGAGGAGAATCTGTGTTACACAGAGCAATGGTAAGTTGGTTAACATAAGATGCCTCCGTGAGAGGCTGGTGGTCAGCCCTGGGGTCAGTAACCACAAGCCATGGCTCCCGGAAGGCTGCCTGGATCTGGTTAGTGAAGGTTCCAGGAGTGAAGCAGCCAGCAATTTTTGCCAATTTTTTAAAATTCATATTACTTTTTTCTTGCTATTGAATTACGTTGGTTATATCTTCTTAACTCTTTGTCACATATACTGTTTGCAAATATTTTCTCCAATACTGTAAATTGACTCCTCACTCTTTTATTTTTTATTATTATTATACTTTAAGTTTTAGGGTACATGTGCACAATGTGCAGGTTAGTTACATATGTATACATGTGCCATGCTGGTGTGCTGCGCCCATTAACTCGTCATTTAGCATTAGGTATACCTCCCAATGCTATCCCTCCCCCCTCCCCCCACCCCACAACAGTCCCCAGAGTGTGATGTTCCCCTTCCTGTGTCCATGTGTTCTCATTGTTCAATTCCCACCTATGAGTGAGAACATGCAGTGTTTGGTTTTTTGTCCTTGCGATAGTTTACTGAGAATGATGATTTCCAATTTCATCCATGTCCCTACAAAGGACATGAACTCATCCTTTTTTATGGCTGCATAGTATTCCATGGTGTATATATGCCACATTTTCTTAATCCAGTCTATCATTGTTGGACATTTGGGTTGGTTCCAAGTCTTTGCTATTGTGAATAGTGCCACAATAAACATACATGTGCATGTATCTTTATAGCAGCATGATTTATAGTCCTTTGGGTATATACCCAGTAATGGGATGGCTGGGTCAAATGGTATTTCTAGTTCTAGATCCCTGAGGAATTGCCACACTGACTTCCACAAAGGCCGAGAAGCGATGACTCCTCACTCTTTTAATACTCTTTCGCTGTGCAAAAGCTTTAAACTTTGATATACTCTCATTTGGTTATTTTTCCTTTTATTCCCTGAAAAGTTCAGGTCTCATTTCTAAATCCTTGCCCAGCAAAATATCATGAATCATTTCCCCCATTTTCTTCAAGAAGTTTCATAGTTTCCAATTTTACATTTAATTCTTTATTCAATTGGGAGTTAATTTTTGTGTATTTTTAGATGTAGACTTCTAATCTAATTCTTTTGCATGTAATTATCAAATTTTCCCAGTACCATTTACACGGTAAATGTTTTATTTTCCCTGAAGTGTGCTCCTGGCAACTTTGTGAAGAATCAGTTATGTTTAGGAGCTTTAGTTTATTTCCTTTCTACTCTGTTCCAGTTGTGTCTGTGTCTGTCTTATGCCAGACAATGCTGTTCTGGTTACTATAATTTTGTAGTCTATATTAAAGCCAGATACTTCAATTACCCTGGATCTCCTCATTTTCTTTAATATTTTTTCATTTAAGATTTTTGTTGCTCCATACAATTTCAGAATTATTTTCTTCTGTTTATAGACAAAACTAACATAACATCAGAAATTTAATAGGGATGCACAGATCAATAGATTGCTTTGAGTAGTATATATATTTTAAGATATAAATTATTCTAACACATAAATATAAAATATATTTCTACTCATTTGTGTCGTCAATTTCTTCCTTCAATGCTTTTATTACAAAATGAATTATTTTTTAAAGAGTTTTCATTACAGAAATCTTTGGCTTGTTCAGATCTCTTCCTCGGTACTTTTGTAAGCTATTGTCAATGAGACTCATTTCTTGTTTTCTTTTTGAAATTACCCACTGGTGGGATATAGAAATGCTACAGGTTTTTGTATGGCTGTTTTGTATTATGCAATTTTACTGAATTTCTTTATCACTTCCAAAAGGTTTTAAGGGGAGAGTGTATTTTCTTTCTTTCTTTCTTTTTTTTTTTTTTTTTGAGACAGAGTCTTGCTCTGTCACCCAGGCTGGAGTGCAGTGGCACGATCTTGGCTCACTGCAAGCTCCGCCTCCCAGGTTCATGTCATTCTCCTGCCTCAGCCTCCTGAGTAGCTGGGACTACAAGCGCCCGCCACCACCCCCAGCTAATTTATTTTTTTGTTTTTCTTTTAGTAGAGACGGGGTTTCACCGTGTTAGCCAGGATGGTCTCGATCTCCTGACCTCATGATCCACCCGCCTTGGCCTCCCAAAGTGCTGGGATTACAGGCGTGAACCACCGCGCCCGGCCAGGAGAGTGTATTTTCTACACATAAGTTCAGGTCATCTCCACACAGACCCAGTTTGCCTCCCTCTTTTCCGATCTGAATGCCTTTAATTTCCTTCTCTTGCCTAACTGTACTGGCTAGAACATCCCGAACTAGGTTGAATGAGGTGCTGAGAGTGGGCATAATTGGCTTCTTTACCTCCGAAGAAAATATTTCATGTTTTCTTCATTGATTATGATGTTAGTTGTGGGTATTTCATTTACTGCCTATATGGTATAAAGATACATTCCTTCTATGCCTAATTGGTTGACAGCTTTTATTATATCAAATTCTATAAAACTGTTTTATTTTTAAATCTATTGAGATGATCAAATGGCGGTGTCCCTCCTCCTTTATAAGACTATTTAAAACATCCTTGCCTCAGAGGGACAAATCCCATTTGAACATGGCAAGTAATCCTCTTAATATAAAGTGGAATTAGGTTTGACAGAAATTACCAGTGAAGCACTATGGGCATATATTTGATAGGAGATTTTTATTATGGATACAATTTACTTGTTATTGGTCTCTTCAGATATTCTTTCTCATGACTGGATTTGCGTACGTTGTATGAGTACAAATTTTTTCATTTATTCTACGCTGCTCTTTATTATATGCTTCCTTCTGTAAAATTTGGACTGTTTGTTCTTCCCATTATATTAATAGTTGCTTCAGGTGTAACATAAGGTTATTTTTTAAGTACTTTTCTGGTATCACAAATATTGGTGTTTTGTGTTTCATCTTTCATTTGTCAAAATATTTTTTAACTTCCATTTGGATTTAATGATTCACCCATTCATTATTCAAAAGCATATTGTTTAATTTCTATGTGTTTGTGAACATTCTAATGTTCATTCTACTAATAGTTCCTAGGTTCATGCAATGTGCTTAAAAATGTGGTATAATTTCTGTATTATTAAATGTAAAACTAGTCTTGATTCGTAACATAAGGCCTACGCAAAGATCCATCTTCTGCAGAGAAGAATGTAGATTGTGCCGCTGTTAGACGAAGTATTCTGTATACGTCAGTTTGCTTTATTTGGCATAAAGTGTAGTGTAAGCCAGATGTAGTGTAAGTCAGATCCAGATGATCTGCCCATTGCTGAAACTTCAGTACTTAAGTCCCCTATTATTATTGTATGGCAATCTATCTGTCCACTCAGAAGTTATTATATTTGTTTTATATGATTGAGCACTTCTGTTTTGGGTATATATGTATTTACAATTACTATAACCTCTTGCTGAATTAACCCCTTTTACCATTATGTAATAAACTTATTTCCCAAATTTTATGGTTTCTGGCTTCATGTATAGTTTGATGGAATAAGTTTAGCTACTGATACTCGTTTGCTTTCGATTTCTATACAATAGTTTTTCATCCCATTACTTTCAGTCCATGTGTCCTTACAAGTGAAGTGAGTGTCTTATAGGCAGTATTTTATAATATCCATTCTGCTACTCTATTTTTAATGAAGAATTTATTCCATTTAGATTCAAAATATTGTTAATATTTAAAGAAATGTTTGTAAATTGCTTTCTTGTTTATTACTAGATCCTTCCTTCATTTTTTTATTCTCCCACTATCTTGTAATTATTTTTTAATCTTGTGGTGTTGTAAAATGTCTTACTTTTTATTTTTTGTGTATCTACTATAGATATTTGGTGGTTCCATGAGACAACAAAAACACCTGATAAGCTATTTTAATAACAATTTTGATGGAAAAATAAGCGGTAACATTTTCACACTAATCTCTGAATTTTGAATATTCACCTGGATACATAAAAGTTGTACATTTTAGAGGGTACATGTGGTATTTTGATACATGAATACAGTCAGTAGTAATTGAACTAGGGTAGTTGAAACATGCATCACCCCAAACATTAGTCTCTTTTTATGTTAGGAACATTATAATTCCTCTATTATTTCAGCAACCTTAAACAATAACATGAAATACTGTTTACTGTTGTCACCTTACTGTACTATCAAATATTAGGACTTATTTATTCTACTTGTTTTTGTACTCATTAGTCAAAATTGTTGTCTTCCCCCCTTGAATAGAAGATCATTCAGTAACCAGCAATCAACTCTGCGCACCAAGCAGATCAACTATTTTATATTTTAACATATACATGAGAACACGCAGTGTTTATTTTTTTGTGCTTGGCTTCTTTCACTTACCATAATGACCTCCAATTCCAGTCATATTACTGAAAGTGATATGATTTTGTTCCTTTTAATTAACAATTTTCAATAGTGCATATATATAATATTGCCATTTTCCATGCATCCCTTGATGAACTTTCAGGTTAATTCAAAAGCTATTGTGAATAGAGCTGCAATAAGGAGATGGATGAAAATATCCTCCTAATATACTGATACCTTTCATTGTGATAAATACTGAGTAGTGGAATTGACACAGTATAGTGGTTACATCATTTGTTTTATGAGACAACACAATACTGTTTTCAAGAATGGCTATACAAATTTACATTCTCAGAAACAGTACATGAGCATAACCAATTGTATGCATGCTCAACACCATCTGTTGTCTTTTAGATATTTGTTTTAATTGCACAACATTCCATTGTGGCTTGAAATTGCACTTCCATGATGATTAGTGATGATGAAAAATTTTACATATACCTGTTGGCAACTTATGCCTTCTTTTAATCTATCCTTTAAAATCAGATTATTTGCTTGCCTTCTGATGATATGAATATATATTCTCATCGCTGTAAAAAACATAGTTATCAGGTTTTTTCCCATTATAATTTTGGTTTCACTATTTTGTTACCTCTATTGTGCAAAAGCATTTTAGCTAGATGTATGAACTTATGTCTATTTTTGCTTTTGTTGCCTCTGCTTTTCAGAGCTTACCAAAATATCTTTGCCTAGACAAATATCCAGAAGCATTTATACAAAGATTTTATCTACCACTTTTTATAGTTTCAGACATAAGCACTTAACCCATATTAATTTTATTTTTACATATGGTAAGATTCATTCTTCTGCATATGATTACCAAGTTTTCCCAGCAACTTTCATTGAAAGCACTATCCTTTCCACAACATATATTTATGGTGATTTTTAAAAATGAATTTTTTGTAAATGTCTGTATTTATCACTGGGTTCTTGATTTCATCCCACTGATCTACGTGTATATCATGCCAATATCATCACATTGTGTTTACAATGACATTGTAGTATCTTTTGAAGTAGTATGATGTCTTCATCTTTGCTTTTCCTCAGGATTACTTTTGATACTCAGTATCTCCTGTGGTCTCATGAATTTTATGAATTCTTTTTCTATTTCTATGAGGAATATCATTGATTTTTGATACAAAAAGAATGAATCTGCAGACTGCTTTAGGCAGTAATGATATTTTAATTATGAATAATTTCCCATTTCATTGTGTCCTATTCAGTTTCCATTATCAATGTTTTCCTTTTTGTTGCGGGAAGTCAGGGACCCCAAATGGAGGGACCTGCTGAAGCCATGGCAGAAGAACATAAATTGTAAAGATTTCATGGACATTTGTTTGTTCCCAAATTAATACTTTTATAATTTCTTACGCCTGTCTTTACTGCAATCTCTAAATATAAATTGTGAAGATTTCATGGACATTTATCACTTCCCCAATCAATACTCTTATAATCTCCTATGCCTGTCTTTAATCTCTTAATCCTGTTGTCTTCGTAAGCTGAGGATGTATGTCGCCTCAGGACCCTGTGATGATTGTGTTAACTGCACACGTTGTTTGTAAAGCATGTGTGTTTGAACAACATGAAATCTGGGCACCTTGAAAAAAAGGACAGGATAACAGCGATGTTCGGGGAACAAGGGAGATAACCATTAGGTTTGACTGCCTGGGAGCCAGGCAGGACAGAGTCATATTTCTCTTATTGCCGAAAATGGGTAAGAGAAATATCGCTGAATTCTTTCCCCAGTAAGGAATATTAATAATTAACAGCCCTGGGAAAAGAATGCATTCCCAGGGGGAGGCCTCTAAAATGGCCGCTCTGGGAGTGTCTGCCTTATGCAGTTGTAGATGGGGATGAAACATGCCCTGGTCTCCTGCAGCACCCCCAGGCTTGCTAGGATTAGGAAATTCCAGCCTGGCAAATTCTAGTCAGACTGGTTCTCTGCTCTTGAACTCTGTTTCCTGTTAAGATGTTTATCAATGACAATGCATGCACAGTGGGACATGAAACTTCATCAGCAATTCTAGTTTCACCCTGGCCTTGTGACCTTGCCCTGCCCATTTGCCTTGTGATATTTTATTGCCTTTGAAGCATGTGATCTCTGTGATCCACACCCTATTCGTACACTCTCTCCCCTTTGAAAATCGCTAATAAAAACTTGCTGGTTTTGTGGCTCGGGGCATCACAGAACCTGCTGACATGTGATGTCTTCCCCAGACACCCAGCTTTAAAATTTCTCTCTTTTGTACTCTTACCCTTTATTTCTCAGACCGGCCAACACTTAGGAAAAATAGAAAAGAACCTACATTGAAATATTGGGGGCCGGTTCCCTCAATACCTTGTAGGGATGTTTCATGACTTCAAAGTTTGACTATTTGATTTTTTTGTAGAGATTCCAAATGAGATTGCTTTCTTGAGTTCTTTTTCAGATTTTTCACTGTTGGCAAATGTAAATGCTAAAAATTTCTGTATTGCTCCTTAGAATCCTGCAGCAATATTATTTAACTTCTCTTCATTTGGATGCCCATTATTTCTTTCACTTGCCTAATAGCTCTGGATAGAATGTTATATGGAATAAAAGTGGTGAAAGTGGGCATCCTATCCTGTTCCAGATATTAGAGGAAGGAATTTCAATTGTTCATTATATTAGCTGTAGACTTGTTATATATAGATTTATGCTTGTTTTTATTTTAGATTTATCTACCCCTAACTAGTTCACTTGTTTATAAAAATCACATATGCTTAAATATTATTGGGACATGATAGTTGTATATATGTACATATATATGGGACACATGATATTGCAATACAAATGTGTCATGTGCAACAATCAAAACAAGGTAATGGAGATATACATTCCCTCGAGCATTCATCATTTCTCTGTGTTAGGAACAATCAACTTCTACTCTTGTAATTACTTTCAAATATACAATAATTATTTACTATAGCTGTCCTATTGTTCTCCCGCAAAACAGATCTTATTCCTACTTTCAAATGGCATTTTGTACTCCTTAACCATACCCTCCTTATTTCCTTTTCCTAACACATCAACCCATTACTGATAACCGTCATTCCACCCTCTAAATCCATAGGTTCTTTGTACCTACCACAAATGAGTGAGAATACACAGTCTTTCCATGCCTGGCTTATTTTACTTATTATGTCCTACTGTTCCATACATGTAGTTGCAAGTGACAGGATGTCATTCTTAAGTATGACTGAATATTCATTCTATTGTGTATACATACCACACTTTCTTTATCCATTCATCAACTGATGGACACACAGGGTGATTCTATATCCTAGTGATTGTAAATACTGCCATAAACATATCAGTGCAGCTATCTCTTCAATATATTTACATCCCTTCTTTTGGATGTAGCCCATGGAAGAAATGCTGAATAGTATGGTAGTTTTATCAACTAATTGTTTTAGAAAACCGTGAATATTGGCTGGGCGTGGTGGCTCACACCTGTAATCCCGGCACTTTGGGAGGCCAAGGCGGGTGGATCACCTGAGGTCAGGAGTTGGAGACCAGCCTGGCCAACATGGTGAAACTCTGCCTCTACTAAAAATACAAAAATTAGCTAGGTGTGGTGGCATATGCCTATAATCCCAGCTACTTGGGAGGCTGGGGCAGGAAAATTGCTTGAATCTGGAAGGCAAAAGTTGCAGTGAACCGAGATCATGCCACTGCACTCCAGCCTGGAATACAGAGCAAGACTCCCCCAACAGTGTTATCAGAGATCCCTTTTGCCTTCTTGCTTGACAGCATTATTTGTCCTTTTGATAACAGCTATTTGAACTGCAGTGAGAGAATCTCACATTGTGGTTTTGACTTGTGGTTTTTTTTCAGTTACTTCTTGGTCATGTTTGTGTATTCTTTGGAGAAATGGTTACTCTATTTGCCCATTTACAAAATCATATGGTTCCTTTTCTTCTGATGATTTGACATTGCTGCCACGTATTTTCAAAATAGTTCAACCATGTTGGTGCAAAGGACATAATTTCATTCTTTTTTATGATGTTGTAGTGTACCATGGTGTACATGTATGTTTTCTTCATATGGTCAGCCATCAGTGGGTGTTAAGCTTCACTTCATATCTTCACTATTATGAAGAGTGCTCCAATTGACATGCACATTCATGTGTCTTTATGGTCCTAAAATCTATACTCCTTTTGGTATAAAACCAATAATGGGATTCCTGCATCAAATGGTATTTCTGTTTGATGTTCTTGTTATTGGCAAAATCACCAAGCTGCTATCCACAATGGATGAAATAATTTACAATTCAACGAGCAATCCATAAGCATTCCCTTTTATCTGTAGATTCGACAACGTACTATTTTTGACTTTTTAGTAACAGCCATTCTGGTTGGTGTAAGACAGAATTGCATTGTGGTTTTAATTAGCATTTCTCTATAGATTAGTGATGTTCAGCATTTTGTCATATGACTCCTAGCTGTATGCATGTCTTCCTTTGAAAAAATGTCTATGTACTTTTTCATATTTTCAATGTGGTTTTCTCCCCATGAATTTAAGTAGCTTATAAATTCTGGATATTAGAACTTTGTCAGATGCATAATTTGCAGATATTTCTCCCATTCTGTACATTGTGTTCACCATTGATAGATTCTCTTGCTGTGCAGAATCTCTATAGTTTAACTAGGTTCTATTTGTCAATTTTTGTTTTTGCTGTAATTGCATTTGGAGTCTTCATCATAAATATTTTTCAGAACCTATGTTCAGCATGGTATTTCCTAAGTTATATTTTAGCATTTTTATGGTATTATATTTTACATTTAAGCCCTTAATCTATATTGAGTCATTATATGTAATGTAAGGAAGCGGTCCAGTGTCAACCTTGAATATATACGTAGTCAGTTATGCCAGCACCATTTATTGAACAGGAAGTCCTGTCTTCATTGCTTGTTTTGTCAACTTTGTTGAGAAGCAGATGACTGTTGGTGTACAGCTTTGTGTTCTATATTCTGCTCCATTGGCCTCCATGTCTACTTTTATACCGGTACCATGCTGTTATGGTTACTGTAATCTTGTAGAATACTTTCAAATTCAGGTAATGTTATGCTTCCAAGTTTGTTTTTTGTCTAGAATTGCCTTGGCTATTAGGACTTTTTCACTCCATATGAATTTTTAAAGGTTGTATTAATTCTGCAAAGAATGTCATTGGTAGTTTGAATAGCAATTAATGTATAAATTGCTTTGGGGATTATGGCCATTTTAACAATGTCATTTCTTCCTATTTGTGTCATCTATGATTTCCTTCAGTAGTGTTTTGTAATTCTCCTTATAGTGATCTTTCACCTTCCTGGTTAAATGTGTTCCTGGGTGATTTATGCTTTTTGTGGCTATTGTGAATGGGTTTGCCTTCCTGATTCAATTCTGAGCTTTGATGTTGGTGCTGTATAGAAATGCTAAGTTACAGACTGACTTTTTATACTGAAACTTTGTTGAAGTTTTGTATCTAATCTAGGAGCTTTGGGGCTTTGAGGTTTTCTATGTATAAAATCATGTTGTCTGCAGAGATAGTTTTACTTCTTTTCCTATTTGGATGCCTTTTCTATTAACTGATTGCTCTAGCTAGAACTTCCAGTAGTATGTTGAATAGGTGTGGTGACACTGAGCATCCTTGACTTGCTCTGGTCATAAAAGGAATGCTTCCAACTTTTGCCAGTTGATTATGAGGTTGGCTGTGAGTTTGTAACAGATGGGTCATTATTTTGAGATATGTTTCTTCAATGCCTAATTTGTTGAGGGTTCATAACATGAAGTAATGTTAAATAAATAGTTTCTGCATCTATAGAGATGAACATGGTTTTAGCTCTGCTTATGTGATAAATCACATTTTTTTCGTAAGTTCTGTATGTTGTACCAACCTTGCATCACACAAATATAGCCTCCTTAATCATGGGGAATTTGCTTTCTGATATGCAAGTGGATTAGGTTTGCTGGTATTTTCTTGAGAATTTTTCCTTTTAAGTTCATCAAGGATATTTGTCTCAAGTTTGTGTTGTGTCTCTGCCAAGTTTTGGTATCAGGATCATGCTGGCTTCATAAAATGATTAAGGGAGGAGTCCTTCCTCCTTGATATTTTGGAATAGCTTAACTAGGAATTTCACCAGCTCTTTCTTACATATCTGGTTGTATTCAGCCATAAATCCATCAGGTCCAGGTAGGGTTGGTAGGGTTTTTATTACTGATTCAATTTCAAAACTGGTTAGTTATTTCTTGTCTGCTGCTAGCTTTGGAATTAGTGTACTCGTTTTCTAATTCCTCTGTTTGTTATATTAGCTTGTTAAATTGAGATATTGAACTTGTCCATTTCTGCTTTAACTTCATTATTTATGCCAACATAATTAAGGATCAAGTTGCTTAATTTCCATGTAATTGTATAGTGTTGAGTAATCTTCGTGTTGATTTCTATTTTTATTGTGCTCTGGTCCAAAGATCTGTTTAGTATGATTTTGCTGTTATTTGAATTTGGTGAGGATTGTTTTATGGCCCACTGTGTAGTCAACTATAGAGTATGTGCCATGTGCAGATGAGAAGAATGTGTACTTGGTGGTTTTGGGTGGACATTAATATGGATGTCTGATAGGTCCATTTGGTCAAGTGTCAAGTACAGGACTAAAATATCTCTTAGCTTTCAGCCTCAGTGATCTAATAGTGTCAATGGGGTAGTGAAGTTTCCCACTCTTATTGTCTGCTTATCTAAGTCTCTTCATAGGTCTGTAGGAACTTCTTTTATGAACGCGCATGATCCTGTGTTCAGTGCATATATAGTTAGCTCTTGTTGAGTTGAACTCTTCATGATTATATCTTTCTCTGTCCTTATTGACAATTGCTGTTTTAAAGTCTATTTTCTATGAAGTTAGAATAGCAATCTGTCCCTCCTCCTTTTTTCTGTTTGCTTGGTAGAATTTTCTCCATCCCTTTACCTTGAGTCAATGGGTGCCATTACTTCTGAAATGGGTTTCAGGAAGACAGCATACAGTTCGGTCTTTTTTATCCAACTTGCCTCTTTTTATCATTTATTAGGACAGTAGTCTATTTAATTTCAAACGTAACACTGATATGTTTATATTTGATTCTGTATTACTATTAGCTGGTTGCTGGTTAATTGTGCATTTGGTTTATAGTGTCAGTGGTCTGTGTACTTAAATGTGTTTTTTTGGTGGCCAATAATGGTCATTCCTTTTCATATTGAGCACTCAGTTAAGGACCTCTGGTAAGGCAGGTCTGGTGGTAATGAAATGCCTTGGCACTTCCTTGCCTGTAAAGGATCTTATTTCTCCTTCACCTATAAAGCTTAATTTGGCTGAATATGAAATTACTGGTTGGAATCACTTCATATTAAAAACGCCGAATATAGGTATCCATATCTTCTGGCTTCTAGGGATTCTGCTGAAAGGTATGCCGTTAGCCTGATGGGCTTCCCTTTGTAGTTTACCCGGCCCTTCTCTATAGTTGTTTTGGACATTTTCTTTCATTTCAATCTGATAACTGTCTGGGGGACAGTATTTTGCAGTGTTCTCAGAATTTCCTGAATTTGAATTTTGGCCTCTCTAGCAAGGTTGCAGAAAAACTGATGGACAATAAACTAAAAAGTTGCTTGCTTTCTTTGCCTCTTTCAGGAATGTCAGTGACTCATAGATTTGAATGCCATATTTCATAGAGATTTTGTTTAGTTTTTAAATTTTTTAAAATATTTGTCTGACAGCTAATTCAACTAAATAGTCTTAGAGCTGAGATTCTCCTTAGCTTCATCTATGCTGTTAATACTCCCAATTACATTATGTAATTATGTAGTGTGCTTTTCAGCTCTACCAGATTTTAAAATGGCCATTTCAGTTTTCAACATCTGTATTGTTTTATTGTGTTCCTTAAATTCCTTAGATTAGGTTTCAACTTTCTCCTGAATCTCAATGATCTTCATTCATACCCATATTCTTTACCCTGTGTCATTTAACCCATCTCAGCCTGGTTAAGAACCTCTCCCAGAAAGCTAGTGTGGCCCTTTGGAAGTTAGAAGACACTATGGCTTTTCAAACTGCCAGAGTTCTTGCAATACTTCTTTCTCATGTATGTGGACTAATATTCTTTCCATCTTTGAAGATGCTGTGCTTTGTATGATGTTTTTCTTTAATCTTCTTCAATGCCCTTGGGTTTTGATTGAGGTGTAAAGTGGGTTCAGTTGACTGGCTTCATTTCTGGAAGATTTTAGGGGGCCAAGGCTCACCTCAGGATTCCTGGGCTGCATGCTCTAACTCTGGGGAAGCAGGGTCAAGAAAGGACGCTGTGTTCTCTGGTCCCTCAAGGTTAGAAACATGCCGAACTGGAGGGGCGGATGTGTTCCTGTTACGCTGCCCACAGTTTTCAAATAGGGGGTGGTAGCCATACTATTTCATTGGGTTGGTGGCAGTGGGATCCAGGCTCACTTGCTCGTGCCAGTAGCCTCAACAGCATGGAAGAGTGTACATGTGTCAGATGGGGAGGGACACTGGAAGAGTAGGGTTTAACATCGTCCATGCTAGAACTCATGCCACTGGCTGCAAATATGAGGCCCTAGAGGAGGCTAGTTGCTGCCACCCATGTGCACATTTGCACTTGGGGCAGAATGGTAGGTGTGGAGTTGCTGGTGCCCATTCGCACCAGTAACAACAAACAAGGGGCGAGGTTACCGTTGTTCATGCACACGATTGCACGAGTGATGGCCCAGCAGGAGCGGGATTACAAACACCTATAAATACATTTGTGCTGGCAGCACTCACTCAACCTGTGGAGCCTGGGCTGTTGGAGCTCTCTGATAGGCCAAGTTTAGTTTCAATACATGGATTTCTGGTTTGTAGATGTTACATTGGTGTATGTATATGTATGCAAGTCACATTCGGTTTTGGTTAGTGTTACGTTGTCATATAATTTTAAGTCAGGTAATGTGATGACTCCAGCTTTGTTCTTTTGGCTCAGGATTACTGTGTCTATTCTTCGTCTTGTTCCTATTTCTGTGAAAAAATAACACTGGCATTTTGAAACTATAGATTGCTATATGTAGTATGGGTTTTTAACAATATAACTTCTCCCGCTAAATGAACATGCAGTATCTTTTCATTTACTAGTGTCCTCTTCAATTTCTATCAATGACTCATAGTTTTCCTTGTAGATACATTTTACTTGATTGGTTAAGTTTCTTCCTATATATTTTATTTGTATCTGTTGGGATATTTATAATTCTCCCTTTCTAATATGAATGCCCTTATTTGTTTCTCTTTTATACTTGCTCTGACTAGAACTCCCAGTAACATGGTGAACTAAAGTGCTGAACATGGGCATTTTTAATGTCTTCCAAATCTAGCAGTATGCTTGTCAGTTTTCCTTGCTCACAAGGACAGTGTAAGTTCAACTGCCAGTCTGTTGAGATATCTTAACTCTATACCCAATTTTGAGATAATTTTTAATAAAATATTTAATTTATAAAATACTTTTTGGACATCCATTACAACATTATGGTTGTTGACTTTGTTATACGACATAAAACTAATTGATTTGCATAGCTTGAACAATCCATGCATTCCTAAGATTAATCCACCTTGATAAGTATGAATTATATTTTTAGTGTGTTGTTGAATACAGTTTACTAGCATTTTCTTCTGGATTGTTCCATCTGTGTGAATCAGACATATTTGTCTTCTGGGGTTTATTGTTGTTTGGGGGTTTTTAGACCTTTTCCTTTAGTTATCGGGGAAACACTGGCCTTGTAGAATGAAACTGAAAGTGTTTGCTCCTTTTCCATTCTTTCAAATTTTGCTTAGTTGGTCCTCTCGTCCATTCTTCTTTCCTCCCTGTATTCCATTAACTAATTTTTTTCTGATAGTATATTTTAATTCCTTGCTTTTATTTTCTGAGGTTTTTGCATGGTTGTTGTCATGCGGCTTGCAAAAACCATCATATAACCAATAATTTTAAATTAATGACAAGGTATCTGTAGTCACAAGGAATGACAAGCAAAGAGAAAACCAAAGAACTCCACACTTAATCTCCACCCTACATGCTATGATCTTATCTTTGTTATGTTTATCTATCTCTAATATTTTTGTAGTTATAATTTTAATAGAATTACCTTTTAGTCTTCTTCCTGCTAAAAATATGTTTACATACCACAATCACAGTATTATTCTATATTTATGTACCTCCTTTTTCTATGAGTTGTAAACATTCGGATGTTTTCTTTTTGCTCATTAATGTCCTTTCAGACTGAATTACTCTTTCTAGCATTTAAGACAAGTCTGATGTTGACAAAAATTCCTCAGCTGTTGTGTGTCTGGTAAAGTATTTATTTTTCAAGTTTGAAGAATATTTTGCTGAATTTGATATTCTGATTTGGCAGGTTATTTCCTTCAGCACTAAATATGTCATCATACTCCCTCCTAGCCTGTAAACTCTTCACTACCGGATGTATCAGAGCTCATTTATACATTATTTGCTTGTTTTCTTGCAGCTTTTAGGACCATTTAAATTTTTCTCTACCTCTGAACATTTGATTGTTACATTCCTTGGCAAAGCCTTATTTTGGTTGAATCTGCTTGTTTTTGTTTTTTACTGTCTTCTACCTGGGTAATCACATCTGGATATACACATACATAGCTCACTGCAACCTCTGCCTCCCTGGTTCAAGCAATTTTCGTGCCTCAGCCTCCCAAGTAGCTGGGACTACAGGCGTGAGCCACCACGCCCAGCTAACTTTTGTATTTTTAGTAGAGACGTGGGTTTCACCATGTTGGGCAGGCTCGTCTCGAACTCCCGACCTCAGGTGATCCACCCACCTCGGCCTCCCAAAGCGCTGGGATTACAGGCGTGAGCCACCATGCCCGGCCTACTTCTCTAAACTTTCAACTCCAAACTCTCCCTCTTTAAGAATGGTAACTCTGAGGTTTGTGCTTTCAAGATTATTTTCTTCACCTTGTACGCATGCTTCATACTTTTTTGTTCTTTTTGCTTCTTTCTGCACTCACTGTGCATTTTCATATAGCCTGTCTTTAATAATACTGATTCTTGTTCTGCTGGATCAGTGCTGCTGTTGAGACCTTCTGGTGCATTTGTCCATTCAGTCATTATTTCTCAGTTCCAGTATTTCAGTTTGGTTATCTATTGTTTCAGTATTTGTTACATTTAATAAATTACTGAATTGCTTTCCTGCATTATCATGGTGTTTGCTATTTTCCCAAAACGTTTCTCCTGAATTCTTACCCTGACATCACACACATCACCATCTCATTAGGGTCGGTCAGTGGCTACTTCCTTTGTATATTTTAGATCATAGTTCCTAGCTATTTTGAGTTTCCTGTATGAGAGGCAACATAACTACATCGCTCCAAAACTAGATCCCATAGTCCTTTTGGAGATGTCATGTCTCCTGGATGGTCTTATGCTTGTGGAAGTTCTCCAGTGTCCAGGCATTTAAGAGTTAGGTATTTATTCCAATCTTTGTAGTCTGCTACTTCGTAGCTGCCCTTCTTCACAGGGCGTCCCAAAAATTAAATGTGATTGTGTTGTTTTATCTAAGAATGTGGTCACTGCAACCATTTCATCACTAGAGGGCGCCCTAGGACCAGGAACACAGCCAGGCTTAAAGCCTGGCACATACACAGCACTGGTGGACTTGGGGAATACCAGGGTAGAACTGCCTGGGTTACTAGGCAAATTATCCCACTGTCTTCTATTTCGTTCCCCCAGTTGGAATAAGCCTCTGTGTACTCAGGTGACAAGAGTTGAGGAAGGGTTACTAAAGTCCCCTACTATTACTGTATTGCAGTTTCTCTCGCTTTAGGTCGCTTACAGTTTGCTTTATATATTTTGGTGTTCTGCTGCAGGATGCATACATATTTACGATTTTTATACCCTCTTCCTGAATTGACCCTTCATAAGTATTTACTACATAATACTTTTTTGTCTCTATTCACACCTTTTCACCTAATAAATATTAAGTGAAAATTTTCTGTTATCTGATACAAATACAGCTGCTATTTATTGGTTTCCATTTGAAAACTTTTTGCATCCCTTCACTTTTAGTCAATGTGTATATGTAAGTTAATTTTTTACATGCAGCATATAGTTGGGACTGACTATTGTTATTATTTTGAGACAGAATTTCGCTCGTTGCCCAGGCTGAAGTGCAATGGCGTGATCTTGGCTCACTGCAACCTCCGCCTCCCGGGTTCAAGCTGTTCTCCTGTCTCAGCCTCCCGAGTAGCTGAGATTACATGCGCATGCCACCAAGCCCGGCTAATTTTTTTGTATTATTTTTAGTAGAGACGCGGTTTCATCATATTGGTCAGGCTAGTCTCCTGACCTCAGGTGATCCGCCCACCTAGGCCTCCCAAAGTGCTGGGATTACAGGCGTAAGCCACCACACCCAGCCGATTTTTTAAAATATCCACTGAGCCACTCTCTGTTCTTTTTAGGGGGATCCTAGATAATACCTATCAATATTATTATTGATAGGTAAGAAATCACTATTGACATTTTGATTGGTACTTTTTTGTCGTTTTCCAAATTATTTCTTTCTTCCTTCTCCCATTGTGGTTAAGTGACTTTCTTTGGTAGTATCTCATAGATAAAAGTATTTTTAAACCGATAATAATTTTCATCATAAGGAATATAAACAGCCAATCAATTTTATGCTTTAATTCAATTCCCCCACATTTTGACTTTCTCATGTCTATTTTTAAATTGGCTATATTTTATGATGCTGCTATAGTTACTTTTCATAGACTTGCATCTTACTCCTCGTATTATGGATATAAGAGGCTTACACAAAACAAGCGTATTAATTTATTCTGCATTTGCCTATGTATTTGCATTGGCCACTGAGTTTTGTAATGTCAAACTTTTTCTCTTTGGACGTTAGCATAATTTTCTTCAGGATAAAGAACTTAGCATTTCTTGAATGACGAGTCTAGTGATGAATTCTCACCATGTTTCCTTTTCTTTTTGTAAACGATGTTATCTCTCAATCTTTCAAGGAAATCTTTTGTGGGTACAGTATTGTTGGTTAACTTTTTTCCTTTAGCACTTTATGTCACTTCACTCCCTCCTGGTATGTACAATTTCTGATCAGAAGTCTGTTAACAAACAAATTGGAAGTATATAATGTTATTTGCTTTTCTCTTGCTGTTTTCAGTGTCCTTTCTCTTTGTAGTATGTTTTTGAGATGATTATATATATATATATATATATATATATACACACACACACACCTTGGGGTATTCTTAATTAAACTGAATCTATTTGGTCTTTAACGTTGTTGTACCTGAAAAGTACTTTCCTCTACATTTGGAATGTATTGTTATTTCATTGA
This sequence comes from Homo sapiens, assembly GCF_000001405.40. Classification (NCBI taxonomy): domain Eukaryota; kingdom Metazoa; phylum Chordata; class Mammalia; order Primates; family Hominidae; genus Homo; species Homo sapiens. The sequence goes on along the minus strand of NC_000023.11, from coordinate 74,013,840 downwards.
ATAAGCTTTACTGCCCTTGCTATTCCAAAACTACCACTTGAACACCAATGATTATTTAATTTGCTGTTTGGACGTTATTCTCTATATCCTGTAGCTATTCTCTAGGCCTTTTCTATTTCTTTAATCTCTACAGATTCTCCAATACCCTATCTTTAAGATCACTGTTTTTTTATGCTTGATCCATTCTGCTAATGACATCCTCTAATAATTATTTCAGTTGAAACAATTATTTCTCATTTGCAATATTTGTTTGGTGTATTATTTCAATCTCTTCAAGTTTCTAATACATTCTTGGATTCCTTTTCTGCATTATCTTGGGTTTTGCTACATTTCCTTAAAATTGCATTTATGAATTCTTGATTCTAGAGTTCAAACATTACCATCTCATTAGGGATGGCAACTGGCTCCATGCTTTCTCTGTTCAGGGTAGTCATGGTTATTGGCTTGCTGCTGTTTCTTGTAGACGTATGCCTACAGTTTCACATTGAACAATTAATTATATATTTATTCCAGTCTCAGCTGTCTAGCTTTTTTTGGTCTTCCTAGAGTATATTTTCTTAGATATTATTATTTGTAGTTCCCTGTCAAGACTACTTAATCCGTGAGTGCTGCCTGTTTTAGATTTGACTCAGCTCTCACAAACATTTGGAGCATTGCCCATCCCATATAGGGGTCCCAAAGTCAATCCTCTGGCTGTGCAGGAAGGTTGGATAGGCATTTGTGCAAAGAACTATGAACTCTGCCTACTACATTATAGTGCTGCTGAACAGCCACTCTGACTTGGCATCTATGTTGTCTGACGTAAAGAAAATTTTCAGGCTGGAGTTGTGAATCTCAACTGGCCCAATTGTCTTTCACTGCCATCATGGGATTTTCTTTCTACAAGCACACACAATACTTCCCATGTTTTAAGCTATTAACAGCTTTTCAACAAGAGAAGCCAAGATGGTGAAGAAGCTGTGTGCCAAAATCTCACATTTATCCCATGTTGAACTGGTGAATGTCGATAAAATTTTCCACACATGATGGCAGGCACATAGGAGTCTCATAAATACAGAAGAAGCCTTTTATCATCTGCTCCAAGTTTTTCACTTCTCTGTAGTCTGAGGAAATGTCTCAGCCTCGGATTTCAGTTCTGGGATATAACTTGTGATAATATTGGTGCTGGATATATTACTGAGGTTCTATGGGGGTGAGTAAAACCAGAGTGTTTTTACTCTGAGATTTTGGTGACCCATTATGTTCTTGATGTCACACCTTACATATATTTATATCACATATGGCTAAACAAATTGTTGTAATTATTAATAGTTTTGTAGATGGACATCATGGCAGGTGCCCATAATACCGTCTAATCAGAAGGCTGAGGGGGGAAAATTGCTTGAGCCCAGAAGTTTCAGACCAGCCTGAGCAACATAGCAACAGCCATCTCATTAAAAAAGTTTTGTGTATTAACCTTAACAATAAAGATATACGTTATTTGTACACCACCATTACAGTATACCAGTACTGTGAATTTGAGTTACTTACCTTTTACCAGTCAGTTTTATACATTCATGTTTTTGTGTTATGCATGAGCTGCTTCTTTCAATTTGAAGAATTCCCTATAACATTTCACTTGTTTTAATGAATAATGAGATAAAAAAGGTTAAGTCTTCAATATCTGTGGATCCGTTAATATTTTCAGTTTATTTTCCAGATATATTAAAATTCTGTATAGTTCCATCCAAATATTGGAATTTAGGAATCATCCCAGATAATTTTCCCTGTCCTTTATTTCTCTGTTCCACCCTTCCTTTGGTAAGTGTTCACATTATTTATCATTTTTCTTTCTCTTGCTTATAAGCTGTTACTCTCCTGTATTAAAACCATTCTTCTAGTTGCTTTACATATTTACATATTATGTTAAAATAAAGACTCACAAAATGCTGCAAATATAGTACCGTTTACACATACCACTCAATTTTCCCCAGTGGTGATATTTTCCATTAACATTGTACAATATCACAACCAGCACATTGTCATTGGTGAAATGTGCACATTTACATGACATTTTATCACATGTATACATTTTTGTAACCACTGCATGAATCAGAATGCAGAACTCATCCATCATTAAAAACGTATCCCTTCCACTAGTCTTATAATCACATACAACCCTAACTTCTACCATCCCTAACAGATGAATACGAACAATGTTCTCTAAACTATTTAACTTCATCACATTAAGATACATAAAAATAAGCATTATGTTACAACTTGAAATGGGTTTTTCCTTCAGAATTGAGAATCATCTAAGGCTTATTTGTATAGTAGTAGTTTATTCCTTTTAATTTTTGAGTTGTATTACACAATACGGAAATAACAGACTTATTTAACTGTTTACCTGGTGAATAACATGTGAGTTGTTTCCAGGTTCTGACTATTACAAATAAAATTTCTGTGAACAGTCAAGTGCAGGTTTGGTCTACACATAAATTTTCATTTCTATGAAATAGGCCATGACAGCAATTGCTAAGCCTAACTAACTGTATGTGTGTGTTTAGCTTTAAAAGAAATTGCCAAATTATTTTCCAATGTGGTATACAGTTTTATATTCCCATCAGCAATAAAGATTCAATTTTTTCTGCATGCTTCTCAGCCTTTGGAATCATTATGTTTTAACTATTTCAGCTACTGAAATAAATCTGCTGTAGGCCAGGTGTGGTGGCTCACACCTCTTAATTCCAGCACTTTGGGAGGCTGAGGCAGGTGGGTCACCTGAGGTCAGGAGTTTGAGACCAGCTTGGCCAACATGGAGAAACCCCGTCTCTACTAAAAATACAAAAAAAAAAAAAAAAAAAAAAATTAGCTGGGCGTGGTGGCAGGCGCCTGTAATCCCAGCTACTTGGGAGGCTGAGGCAGGAGAATCGCTGGAACCCGGGAGGTGGAGGTTGCAGTGAGCTGAGATCATGCCACTGCACTCCAGCCTCGGTGACAGAGGCAGACTCCGCCTCAAAGAAAAATAAATCTTCTGTAATATCTCATCATAGTATTAATTTCCATCATGTCCTTATTGACATTTCCCTATCCTCAGGGGAATGTTCTTTCATGACTTTTGCCCATTTTCTAATTTAAAGCTTTGGATTTTTAATACTATCTTTTGAGAATTATGTAAATATTCTAGCCATAAGTCCAATGTTGGATATGAGATTTGAAAACAAAGGGCCGGGCATGGTGGCTCACACCTATAATCCCAGTACTTTGGGAGGCAGAGGCGAGCAGATTACCTGAGGTCGGGAATTCGAGACCAGCCTGACCAACATGGAGAAACCTCATCTCTACTAGAAATAACAAAAAAATTAGGCGGGCGTACTGGCACATGCCTGTAATCCCATCTATTTGGGAGGTTGAGGCAGGAGAATCACTTGAACCCGGGAGGCAGAGGTTGTGGTGAGCTGAGATCGTGCCATTGCACTCCAGCCTGGGAAACAAGAGCAAAATTCTGTCTCAAAAAAAATAAAAACAAAACATTTTCCATGAATATAGTTTGTATTTTCATACTATTTATGGTTATTATGAAAAAGTAAAAGCATTAAACTTTGATGTCCTTCCCTTTTTCAATTTATTATTTCCATTAATGAACTATCCTTTTGATGCTTTTTTTTTTTTTTTTTTGAGAGGGAGCCTAGCTCTGTTGCCCAGGCTGGAGTGCAGTGGCCCGATCTTGGCTCACTGCAACCTCCGCCTCCCGGGATCAAGAGATTCTCCTGCCTCAGCCTAGAGGGATTGGGATTACAGGCATGCGCCACCACACCCGCCTAATTTTTTTGTATTTTTAGTAGAGACGGGGTTTCACCATATTGGCCAGGCTGGTCTCGAACTCCCGACCTTGTGATCCGCCCACCTCAGCCTACCAAAGTGCTGGGATTACAGGCGTGAGCCACCGCACCTAGCGATGCTTAAATCTTCTAGTCCACAAATATGAGATGTCTTTCCACATATGTAGATATTCCTCAACTCCTCTGACAAATATTTTGTGTTATTCACAGTTCATGCTGAATTTCACTTTATCCCACAGTATTTTGCCTTAATAATATTGTAAATAAAAATGTTTCAATGATGTCACTTTTGACTTCTTTAATAATATATAGAAATACAACTGATTTTTGGATTGTAATCTTAAATCACAAAAACTTGCTGAGATGATCTTGTTATTGGAATCCAAATTTATTGGATCCACTGGGGTTGTGTATGTACAAAACCATGTCATCTGCAAAAGGTTTTGCTGCTTCCTATTTAAAAAATTTTATTTCCTTCCATATGCAATGCAATTAATGTCACAGATACTTCCAGTACACTGTTGAACAGAACTGGCAAGAATGTTTTATCCTGTCCTTGCTCCTCTTCTTACAGAGAAAGCATTCTTTAAATACTAAGTGTAACATTAGTTTTGAGGGTTTTGGGTTTTCTGTTTTGTTTTGCTTTTTAGAGACAGGGTCTCACTCTGTTGTTCAGTCAGGAGTACAGTGGCATCATCATAGCTCATTGTAAACATGAACCTCAGCTTCCCAAGTAGCTAGGCGTACAGGCATGTGTCATCACATCTGGATTTTTTTTTTTTTTTTAAGATACAGAGTATCCTTATATTGCCTAGGCTGATCTCAGACTTCTGGCCTCAAGTAATCCTGCTTTGGCTTCCCCAAGTGCTGGGATTACAGCCACGGCACCAGGTTCTAGTTGTGAATTCTTAAAATATGCCCTTTACTAGGTTGTGGTTTACTTCTTAGTTTACCAAATACTTTTTCCACCTTCTATTTTTTTTTTCTCTCTCTTTTTTTTTAAACATAGTCTTGCTGTGTCAGCCAGGTCCAAGTGCAGTGGCACAATCTCCGCTCACTGCAACCTCCACCTCCTGGGTTCAAGTGATTCTACTGCCTCAGACTCCCGAGTAGCTGGGATTACAGGCACTTGCCACCATGCACAGGTAATTTTAGTATTTTTAGTAGAGATGGGGTTTCACCATGTTGGCCAGGCTGGTCTCGAACTCCTGACCTCAAGTGATCCGCCCACCTCAGCCTCCCCCAGTGCTAGGATTACAGGCGTGAGTCACTGAGCCCAGCCCATGGCTATTACAAAGTCAAAAACAAACAAACAAACAAACAAAAAAACAGATTCTGGTGAAGTTACAGAGAAAAAGGAATGCTTATACACTGTTGGTAGGAGTATTAGGATTACAGGCGTGAGCCTCCACTTCCAGCCGTCCACAATCTATTGAGATGACCATGTTGTTTTCTTCCTTCAGTCTGTTGCACTAATCATTTCCAGCTGATGAAATAACGTTGCATTCCAGGGATACACTGTACTGGGTACTGGTGTACATTCCTGTTTATATGTTACTGTATTTGGTTTGCCAAAATTTACTAGGAAATTTCACAGATCCACTCATAAGCGATATTATCAGAGTTTTCCCTGTGTATGATGTTTCACTTTGGTATCTAGATAACAATAGCATCATAGAACCAGTAAAAAATATTACATGCTCTTCCAAGTTTTTAAGACATTTTTATCGAATTGGTAATTTTCATGTGTTTGGTATAATATACAAAAGAATACATTTGAACTGGGAATTTACATGTGTGTCAGGGGCAGGGGTGAGAGTTTTTAAATTACCAATTTATTGTCTTCACTTTGTTCTTGAATGAGTTGTGGTAGTCAGTGTCTTTCTAGGAATTTGTCTACTTCCACAAAGATATTTGTCAAAATACTAATCCCTTGTATGGAATAAGGTCATTAGGAACATCACGTTTTACATTTCTCATTTTAATAAAGCTTTATTTTATGAATAAGTCAACGAAGTGCTGTGTTTCTCAATTATTTTTAATTCTCTATTTCCACACTAAACTTTATATCCTTTCTGCTTTGATTTTAATTTGTTCTTTTTTTACTGTATTTTCTAAAGTTGGAAAGTTAGGTTAGTAATTTGAAGTACTTCTCATTTCATTACAATGTTCATAGCTATTAATTTCACTGTAAGCGTTGCTTTCACACATCTCACAGAATTTGATATGTTGTTTCTGTATTTTCATTCACCTCAAAGTATTTTCTGATTTCCTTATAAATTCTCCTTTGACTTGTTGGTTACGTAACTTTTTTTTTTTTTTTTTTTTTTTGACAGTCTTTGTCGCCCAGGCTGCAGTGCAGTGGTGTGATCTCGGCTCACTGCCACCTCTGCCTCCTAGGCTCAAGTGATTCTAGTGCCTCAGCCACCCGAGTAGCTGGGACTACAGGCGCACACCACCACATCTGGCTAATTTTCTGTATTTTTAGTAGAGACAGGGTTTCACCATGTTGGCCAGGCTGGTCTCCAACTCCTGACTTCAAGTGATCCACCCTCCCCGGCCTCCCAAAGTGCTGGGATTACAGGTGTGAGCCACCACACTCAGCATAACTTTTTAAATTTGCACAAATATGTATAGTTCCTATCTCTGTGTTATTTCTAATTTCATTAAATTTTAGTCATAGAACATATTTTGTATAATTTCAATATTTTTAACCTTCATTTGGTTTGTTTTGTATGATGTTAGTGCAGACATTCCAGTTTTTTTGTGGTTGCTACTTGGATATTTCTATTTCCATCCTATTTCTTTCAACACTTTTGTATTTTATAAACTGCCTACAACAGACACCTTATAGTTTGATTGTTTTTTAAATATCCACTTGGTCAATCAGACTGGTTTGGATTGCTTGATCCATCAGTACAGCTGGATTTAAATTTTCCATTATACATTTTAAAATTCTATGTCTATCTTCTTTTACAGAATCCCTCCTATACTACTTTTTATAAGTTAATATTTTCTAAAATAATGTATTATTATCTTTAACGATTTTTCCCTCTATTATATGAAAATCCTTTTTAGTGGTTGCAGTAGGGCTTTTTTTTATAATTGACAAGTAATAATTGTATATAATTCCAGGGAACTATCTGATGTTTTTGTATGTATACATAGTGTAATAACTAAATCAAGCACATTAACATATCCATAACTTCACCTACTTTTGTTGTGACAACTTTAATATCTACTTATAACAATTTTAAAATATACAGTCAGTGACAATGGTCACCATGCTGTGAAATATGTCTAAAACTTATTCCTCCTAACAGAAAATTGGTACTCTTTGACCAACGTCTTGCCTTTGCCCATCTCTCCAACACCCACATCCTGGAAACCATAACATCCAACTTTCTACTTGTATGAGTTAGCCTTTCTTAGATTCCACATACAAATATAATGTAGTATTTGCCTCTCTGTGCCTGTCTTACAACACTTAGCATAGTATACTACAGATTCATCCATGTTGTCACAAATGACAATTTTCCTTCTTTTCCAAGGATAAAAAATATTCCAATATGTATATACAACACATCTTCTATGTCCATTCATCTGTTATGAAAACTTAAGTCTTTTCCATTTATTAGCTTTGTAAATAATTTCAAAATAAGGGAGTGCAAGATCTCAACATACTGCTTCAATTCCTTTGGATATATACCTAAGTAGAGATTGCTAGATCATATAGTAATTGTACTTTTAGTTTCTTAAGGAACCACCATATAGTTTCCTAAATTGGCTATACTAATTTATATTCCCACTAACAGAATGTTGGGACTTCCTTTTATCCACATCCTTGCCAGCACCTGTCTTTCATCCTTTTAATAATAGCCATTCTAAAAGGTGTAAGGTAATATCTTGCAGTTTTGATTTGCAACTCACTAATGATTAGAGATGTTGAGCATTTTTTTCATGTATCAATCAATTGGCCACTCATGTCTTCCTCTGAAAAATTTAAGTTGAGGTCCTTTTCCCCCTTTTAAAGACAGTTGTTTTCTTGCTATTGGGCTTGGGTTTCTTAATACATTTTGGATATTAGCCCCTTATCAGATATATGATTTGAAAATGGTTTCTCAAAACCCGTGTCTTCATTCTGTTAACTGTACCCTTTGCAGTGCAGATGCTTTTTAGTTTGATGCAACTCAAGTTGTCTGTTGCGGGAAGTCAGGGACCCCAAACGGAGGGACTGGCTGAAGCCATGGCGGAAGAACGTGGATCGTGAAGATTTCATGGACATTTATTAGTTCCCCAAATTAATACTTTTATAATTTCTTATGCCTGTCTTTACTGCAATCTCTAAACATAAATTGTGAAGATTTCATGGACACTTATCACTTCCCCAATCAATACCCTTGTGATTTCCTATGCCTGTTTTAATCTCTTAATCCTGTCATCTCGTAAGCCGAGGAGGACGTATGTCGCCTCAGGACCCTGTGATAATTGTGTTAAGTGCAGAAATTGTAGAGCATGTGTGTTTAAACAATATGAAATCTAGGCACCTTGAAAAAAGAACAGGATAACAGCAATGTTCAGGGAATAAGAGAGATAACCTTAAACTCTGACCGCCGGTGAGCCAGGCGGAACAGAGCCATATTTCTCTTCTTTCAAAAGCAAATGGGAGAAATATCGCCGAATTCTTTTTCTCAGCAAGGAACATCCCTGAGAAAGAGAATGTGCCCCTGAGGGTGGGCCTCTAAAATGGCCCCCTTGGGTGTAGCTGTCTTCTATGGTCGAGACTGTAGGGATGAAATAAGCCCCAGTCTCCCATAGCGCTCCCAGGCTTATTAGGACGAGGAAATTCCCACCTAATAAATTTTGGTCAGACAGGTTGCTCTCAAACCCTGTCTCCTGATAAGATGTTATCAATGACGATGGTGCCCGAAACTTCATTAGCAATTTTAATTTCAACCCAGTCCTGTGGTCCTGTGATCTCGCCCTGCCTCCATTTGCCTTGTGATATTCTATTACCTTGTGAAGCACGTGATCTCTGTGACCCACCTCCTATTCGTATACTCCCTCCCCTTTGAAAATCCCTAATAAAAACTTACTGGTTTTACGGCTCAGGGGGCATCACGGAACCTACCGACATGTGATGTCTCCCCAGGATGCCCAGCTTTAAAATTTCTCTCTTTTGTACTCTGTCCCTTTATTTCTCAACCCGGCCAATGCTTAGGGAAAATAGAAAAGAACCTATGTGACTATCTGGGCAGGTTCCCTGATAGTTGTCTGGCTGTTTTTGCTGCCCATGCTTTTAAGGATGTATCCAAGAAATCATTGCCCAGAACAACATCATAGAGCTTTTCCCCTATATTTTCTACTAGTAGTTTTACAGTTTCAAAGGCAACATTTCAGGCTTTAATCCATTTTGAGTTGATTTTTCTATATGCTATGAGAAAATGGTTCAATTTCACATATAGATATACAGATATCTCAAAACAATTTATTTATTTATTTGTCCTCTCCCCATTCTGTGTGCCACTTTTGTCAAAAATCAATTGGATGGAAATGTATGAGTTATGTCTGGGCTTTCCTGTTCCACTGGTCAGTGAATCTGTTTTTATGCTGGTACCACAGTTTTTTGATAATGGATTACAAAATCAGGTAGAGTGATGCCTCCAGCTGTGTCCTTGTTGCTCAAGATTACTTTGATTATTTAATGTCTTTTGTAGTTCCATACAAGTTTTAGAATTTTTTTTGTATTTCTGTAAAAAAAATAAAAATAAAAAGGACATTGAAATATTGATTACACAGAATCTGTATGTTTCTTTTGGCAGTATGAAAATTATAACAATATAAATTTCCCAATCCATGTACAAAGAAAAATTTCTATTTTTGTAATCTTCAATTCGTTTCATCAATGTTTTCACTATACAGATCTTTAACCTACTTGGTTAAATTCATTCATAAGTTTGTTTACTTAGTAAATAGTGTAAATGTGATTAGTTTCCTGATTACTTTTTTGGATAGATTGTTGTTTGTTAGTGTATAGAAATGCTACAGACTTAATTGTCAATTTTGTACGTAGCACTTTTTATGGAATTCATTTTATTAGTTCTATAGTTTTTTTTTTTTTAATGGAGTCTTTAAGGTTTTCTAGCTATAAGATAAGATAATCAGGAGAGGCAAGTTTTTTCTTCTTTTCCTACTTAGATGTCTTTTATTTCTCTTGCCTAAATGCTCTTGCTATGACTTCCAGTACAACACTGAACAGAAGGAGAAAAAATGGCATCCATGTCTTGTTCCTGATCTTAGAGAAAAAGCCTTCAACTCTTCGGTGTTAAGATTTCAGCTCTGGGCCGGTCATATAGGGCCTTTAATGTGTTGAGACATCTTCCTTTTATACCTAACTTGTTCAGGTTTTTATCATGCAAAGATGTTAAGTATTGGGCCGGGGACTGTGGCTCATGCCTGTAATCCCAGCACTTTGGGAGGTCAAGGAGGGTGGATCACCTGAGGTTAGGGGTTCAAGACCAACCTAGCCAACATGGTGAAACCCTGTCTCAACTAAAAATACAAAAGTTAGCTAGGCATGGTGGCAGATGCCTGTAATCCCAGCTGCTCGGGAGGCTGAGGCAGGAGAACCCAGGAGGCAGAGGTTGCAGTGAGCCAAGATAGTGCCACCACACTCCAACCTGGGTGACAGAGCAAGACTCTGTCTCCGAAAAAAAAAAAAAAAAAAAAGGTTGTTAAATATTGTCAATTCTTTTTCTGGAAGTATTGAGACATGTAGTTTTTGATGTTCACTTTAATGTGATCTATCAAATTTATTGATTTATGTATGTTTAACCATCCTTAAATGCAAAAGGTTATCTCCCCATGTGATCATGGGAAAATGATCTTTTAAATTTGTTGTTGAATTCAGTTTGCTGGTATTTTGTTGGGGGTTTCTGCATCTATGTTCATCAGGGATATTGGCCTGTAATTTTGTATTCTTTTAGTGTCTTCATCTGACTTTGGTATCAGGTTAACGTTGGCCTCATAAAGTGTGATTGGAACTTATTCCCTCCTCTTCAACTTTTATAAAGAGTATGAAAAGGATTGATATTAGCTTTTCTTTAACTCTTTTCCCATTTAGGAAAAAAAAAGGGCAGCTCGCTGCCAGGACTTAAATATTTTACATAAACATGCGCTTTGAGGCTGATGCAAATCTGACTGATTTTCAATGTGAAAATAAAATACAAAAACTGTTCTTGGAGTTATTTCTAAACAGAACATCACAATCATCGGAATTGTCTATTTCTGAAGAAAATCAATGCATCTTTGGACAATAACTGTTCAAGAATATTAACATCATACACAGGAATACTATGTTTTCTAGAATTTGACATTTTCAGTGATTGAGAGTTACTATACTTTGTAAATGGAAATACCACTACTAAAGACAGAATGCTATAAATAGAAAAATGTGTTTTGCTTCCAAAGTCAATATACTAGAGCAATACGAAAATAATGAAAGCAAGATATTTTGTAGCAAAGTTATCTCAGGGTAAATGCTACAGCCACAAGGGCCACCAGCGAGTTTGGGGCAAACGGGAAAAGGGTTAAACATCTGTAGAATTCAGAAGGGAATCTATAAGTTCCTGGTTTTATGAGAAACTTTTAATTATTGATTCAGCCTTCTTACTCACTATTGGACTGTCTTTTTACTTATTTTATTGTTCATTGCTTAATTTTTTTAGTTTATCAAAATATCCCCTCAGTTTTGTTGGTATTTTCTATTATTTTTCTAGTCTCATTTATACTATAATCTTTGTTACGTTCTTCTTTTAGTTCTCTTAGGTATAACATTAAATTGTTTGAGCTATTTCTTCTTTGTACTTCTAGACATTTATTGCTAAAATTTCCCTCTAGGAATTGCTTTTCTTGCATATTATAAGTTTTGGTATTTTGTGTTTCCATTTTTGTTTTTCTGAAAATAACTTTTAATTTCTTCCTTGAACCACTGATTGATATGTTATTTAATTTCCATGTGCTTGTGAATATTCTAAAATTCCTCCTATAACTGATTTCTAGTTTCATACCATTATGGTCAGAAAAGATATTCAATATTACTTCAATCTTTTAAAATTTCTTAAGACTTCTTTTGTGACCTAACGTATGATTTACTCTGGAGAATATTCTGTGTGCACTTTTGAAAAACGTGTATTCCACTGCTGTTGAACAGAAGACTGCATCAATGTCTTTTAGGTCCATATGGGCAACTTTGGTTTTCAATTGTGGTTTAAGTCTGATGTCTCATTGATGTTCTGTCTGAATGATCTCACCATTGCTTAAAGAGGTGTGCTGAAGTCCCATCAATTATTGTATTAGATTTTATATTTTCCTTCAAAGCTTTTAATATTGGCTTTATATATTTAGGTGCTGTAATGTTGAGTGCATATACCTTTATGACTTTTATACCCCATGGATGAACAGACCACTTTTTATCATTATATAATGACCCTGTCTCTGCTTAAAAATTTTTACTTTAATTCTATTTCATCTGATGTAAATATTAAGAGATCTGCCTCTGCTCTCTGTTAGTTTCCATTTACATGGCATATCTGTCCATCCTTTCACTTTCAATTTATATGTATCCTTAAAAATGAACTGTCTTGTAGGCAACATATAGATGAGACTTTTCAAAATCCATTCATCCACTTTATGTACTTTGATTAGAGAATTTAATCTATTTACATTCAAAGCACTTATTGACAGGTAAAGAATTTCTGCTGTCATTTTGCAATTTGTTTTCTGGTTGATTACAAATTCTTTGCTTTTCTCTTCCTTTCTTGCTGTTTTTTTATGTGATTCAATGTTTTCCTTTTTATATTTTGCATATCTACTTTCTTTTTATATTTTGCATATCTACTAAGGGTTTTTTGCAAACGTTGTGGTTACCATGAACCTTAAACAGTCTCTTACACTTATGAGACTATTTTAAATTAATACAACTAAAATTAGATCAATTACTCAAATGCTATGCTTTTACTTTCAACCCCACATTGTGTTCCTGATGACACAATTTATATCATTTTATAATTTGTATAATTTAAATTATTGTTGCTACAAGTTAAGTTTTGTCTTAACTTTTATGATAAATACATAATTTGTTTTCACACCACCGTTACAGTATTAGCATATTCTCAGTTTGACTGTGTACTTTTTCTGTTTTGAGATGGAGTCTTGCTCTGTCACCCAGGCTGGAGTGCAGTGGTGCCATCTCGGCTCAGTGCAACCTCCACCTCCCAGGTTCAAGCGATTCTCCTGCCTCAGCCTCCAGAGTAGCTGGCATTACAGGCACATACCACCACGCCTGGCTAATTTTTGTATTTTTAGTAAAGACGATGTTGTGCCATGTTGGCCAGGCTGGTCTCGAACTCCTGACCTCAGGTGATGTGCCTGCCTCGGCCTCCCAAACTGCTAGGATTACAGGCGTGAGCCACCGCACCCAGCCAACTATGTACTTACTTTTATCAGCGAGTTTTATACTCACGTTTTCATGTTTCTAATTAGCACTCTTTTACTACAGCTTGAAGGACTCCCTTTAGCAATTCTTCCCGTGCAGGTCTAGTGGTGGTAAACTCCCACATCTTTTGTTTGAGAACTTTATATTTCTCCTTAATTTTTGAAACACAGGATAGTTGGAGATAGTATTCCTGGATGGCAGTGTTTTCCTTTCAGCTTTTTGTATATATCACGACTGCCTTCTGGCGTGAAAGTTTTCTGGTGAAGTCTGCTGACAGTCTTCCGTGGATCATTTTGTATGTAAGAAGAGACTATTCCCTTGCTGCTCTGAAGATTGTCTTTAACCTTTATTTAATTACAATATGGTTTGGTGTGAGTCTCCTTGGATTCATCATACCTGATGTTCGAGATTCTTAGATCTAAATTTCTATTTCCTTGCCAGAATTATGAGGTTTTCTGACATTATTTCTTCAAATATGTTTTCTGTCCTTTTCCCTCTATCTTCTCCATCTGGTAATGTATAAATTATTCCCCTTTGAGGATGTCTCAAAAGTCTCTTAAACTATCTTCAATCTTTTTTCTTTTTTCTCCTCACATTACATGATTTCCAATGGCCTATCTACAAGTTTGATAGCCCTTTCTTCTGCTTCATCGATTCTTCTGTTGGACACATTAAATTTTTGAGTCCAGTTATTGTATTCTTCAACTTTATACTTTTTGTTATCTTTTATTTCTTTATGAAAATTCTCAGTTTGTTCATGCATTGCTCCCATGAGACTCTTTATGGTTGCTCTTTTTAATTTCCTGTCAGGTTAATCACATATCTTCATTTCATTAGGGTTGGTTTCTGAAGACTTATCTTCTTTTATTTAGAGTGTTTCTGTGTTTCATTTTTCTTGACTCAATGTGTTGATTTCTGTGAATTAGATAAGATAACCTCCTCTACCAGTCTTGTTAAACTGGCCTTCGGTAGGAGATGTTTCTCTCCAAATAACCCAGTGAAAGATCTAGATGCCTCTTTGTTCTTCTATAACCCACTTTTACTGGCCTCCAGAGGTGAGGATGAACTAAGTCATAATTTTGCCTTGAGACAGGTACTGGTCCCTCATAATGCAGCTGGAAGGGTTAGTGTTATATGTGTGTTCCAGTTGCTTCTTTCCTTTGAAGAAACTGAGAGACAAAGTTTACATCATACTGATTTTGCACCACACCAAGTAGAGAATTTGTGGTAGATGTCTGTAATCTCTTTGAGACTACTCAATCTGAAACTGAGGCGATAACTTCTGAATGTTTCCAAGTTTGAAAATCACCTATTCTTGCTGGACGCGGTGGCTCATGCCTGTAATCCCAGCACTTTGGGAGGCTGAGGCGGGCGGATCACCTGAGGTCGGGAGTTCGAGACCAGCCTGACCAACATGGAGAAACCCCGTCTCTAGTGAAAATACAAAATTAGACGGGCGTGGTGGTGCATGCTTGTAATCTCAGGTATTCAGGAGGCTGAGGCAGGAGAATCACTTGAACACGGGAGGTGAAGGTTGCAGAGAGCCGAGATTGCGCCACTGCACTCCAGCCTGGGCAACAGTAGTGAAACTCCATCAAAAAAAGAAAAGAAAAAAGAAAAGAAAAGGGGGGGAGGGGAGGGGAGGGGAGGGGAGAGGAGAGGAGAGGAGAGAAAACTACCTATTCTCAGTGGTACAGGAGACTCAGGAATGAAGAGCTCTTTCAACTCCAGAGCTGGGTGATACAGGAGCCAGTACCTTGAATGAGGGATGTAAAATATGGGGCAGTCAGTATGTGTACAAATTACTCCCAGGGAAAGTCTGCAGAAACGAATTCATCACCAGAGCAGGCCAAGTAGGAAAGCATGGGAAGTACCCAATCTCACAATAAGGCACAGTAAGTCACACAACCTCCTGCCAGTAAGGATTTGGAAGCCTGGACTTATTGCTGGAGCAATCTGAAGAAGAAATTGCGAAGAACATTCATCTCCCTTTAAGGCTTCCTGAAGTCTCACAAACTCACTTCACACAGAATCTCCAGGCCAATATGTTGTTGGAACAAGACTGGTACATAGGAAGGCAGGTGAAGTACAGTTCCTCACATATAGCATAAGAGAGGTCTGTCTCCCAGTCTCCTTCCAGGGAGAGATTACAAGGTTATACATATCTGGAGAAAGCTGGGAAAAGGCATGGTGGGTTTTGACCCTTCCATTTTTGCTCACTGAGGCCTCAAATCTCTTTCAAGGGAAACTATAGACCTGGATTAATCACTAGAGCAATCCAGGGAAGATGTAGGGAGTGCCATCCCTCCCATTAACACTTGAGGAGGTTTATGCTTCATTTGCTACACGGGCTCCTAGGTGCAGGCATGATAGAAGACACAAACACAAGAAGCTGCTAGAAATGTGCAGCCAAACTGTTTCCAGTGAGAAGCTAGAGGGTATACTGATCCCAGGAGATACAGCTGTTGGAAGTGCTCCTGCAGTTCAACCCCCCACCCATTCTACTGTTCTTCAAGGAAATACTCTAGTGCCAAGTCCTTGTGCTCCTCATATAATGGGATTTAAGGGCCAAGCCTTCTGGTAGAGAATGTAAGAACTGGGACACTATATGTGTGCTATCAACCCGTCACCCCTCAGGAAGAGGGTGGGAGTTAAGGATTCTTTCCAAATTATACCAGCCTGTGCTCAAGGTGAGGTTTAACCATCAGTATACCTCAGTTTATCCTTCCCATTTTGTTGTAGATATTTTCTCAGTCATCCAGTGTGTGAGCATCCTTCAACTACATTTTGGCTTTCTCTTGGATAGAATTGATCCACATGCATGTACTTACTTGGTGTATCCATGAAAGGAGGGACAAAACAGGTACCTCCAATTCTTTTTTTTTTTAAATTATACTTTAAGTTCTAGGATACATGTGCACAATGTGCAGGTTTGTTACATATGTATACATGTGCCATGTTGGTGTGCTGCACCCACTAACTCGTCATTTACATTAGGTATATCTCCTAATGCTATCCCTCGCCTAGCCCCCCACCCCACGACAGACCTGTGTGTGATGTTCCCCACCCTGTGTCCAAGTGTTCTCATTGTTCAATTCCCACCTATGAGTGAGAACATGCGGTGTTTGATTTTTTGTCCTTGCGATAGTTTGCTGAGAATGATGGTTTCCAGCTTCATCCATGTCCCTACAAAGGACATGAACTCACCCTTTTTTATGGCTGCACAGTATTCCATAGTGTATATGAGGCAGCTCCAATTCTATTATGTCACTGACATCTCTCTAGGACTTTTCTTACACATCCTAAAGGACTCGACTTCATATTTACACTAACATGAGTATAATATAGAAATATTACCTCTATATGGGCTGGGCGCAGTGGCTCACGCCTGTAATCCCAGCACTTTGGGAGGCCAAGGCGGGTGGATTGCTTGAGGTCAGAAGTTCGAGATCAGCCTGGCCAAAAGGTGAAACCCCTTTTCTACTAAAAATACAAAAATTAGCTGGGCCTGGTGGTGCGTGCCTGTAATTTCAGCTACTCAGGAGGCTGAGACAGGAGAATCGCTTGAACCCAGGAGGTGGAGATTGCAGTGAGCTGAGATCACACCACTGCACCCCAGCCTGGGCAACAGAGCAAGACTCCCTCTCAAAAAAAAAAAAAAAAAAAGAAAGGAAAAATCATTATACCTCTATATATCTCTATAACTTCTCCCTTTTCAGCCATTATTATAATACAATAAAATCCTCAAAATTATATACTTAGTTATATAATTTTATATAATCAGGTCAGAGAAGAATGGTAAGAAAATTTTTTTTTAGCATTTTATTATCCTTCTTATTATTTCTGGTTCTTTTATATTACCCCTGTGGATCTGAGTTACCATCAAGAATTATTTCCTGGCCAGGTGTGGTGGCTCACGCCTGTAATCCCAGCACTTTGGGAGGCCCAGGCAGGCAGATCACCTGAGGTTGGGAGTTTGAGACCAGCCTGACCAACATGGAGAAAACCTGTCTCTACTAAAAATACAAAAAATTAGCCGGGTGTGGTGGCTCATGCCTGTAATCCCAGCTACTTGGGAGGCTGAGGCAGGAGAATCGCTTGAACCTGAGAGGTGGAGGTTGTGGTGAGCCAAGATCGTGCCATTGCACTCCAGCCTGGGCAATAAGAGCGAAACTCTGTCTCCAAAAAAAAAAGATTCATTTCCTTATTACAACAGTTTTGTTCTCAACCACATACTTTGTGATATTATTAAATAGATCTCATTTCTATATGTTGTAAGCTCACAAATACAAATATGGAAATACTGCACACAATACACATATATGAATATTTATAAGTATACAGTGTATAGGCATATATGCCAGCTAATACATAAAAAATATGCATTTATACTAGCCTCTATAATTATTACATAATTATGACTGGTACTCTGATTTTTCATAGGAATTTCAATTACAGTTTGGGGTCAGTATTCTTCATTCTCAAAAACTAGCTTTTCTTACAAGGTGGGTCTGCTAAGAACACATTCCCAGTTTTTGTTTATCTAGCAATGTCTTTACTTTGATTTAAGAATGTCAGTCGTGCTTCAGGTAAAATTTTGAATTTACTTCTTCTACACTATTAATATGTCATACACCTCCACTGTGGCCTTAATTATTACTGTATTATTAGAGTTTCCTTGTATATCAGCCATTATTCTCTTCATGCTTCCAAGATGTTTTTTTACTTTCATAATTTTACTTTGATGTGTCTAAGGGGGAATATATTTGCAATTATTATACTTCAAATTCTTTACACTTCTTGGATTTTTTTTTCATAATATAGAAAATTTTCAGGTATTATTTCTTTAAATATTTTTTCTCTCAGCTCGTTGTCCTTATGTTCTGGCACTACCACTGCACATATGTTGGTATTCTCAATGGCTTCTGCCATTTCTCTGAAACTGCATTTTACTTACTTCTTTATTCTGTATTTTTTAAACTGGGTGATTTCTATCAATCTATCTTCAAATTCAATGATTGTTTATTCTACCAGTTAAAATCTAGTATTAAACCTCTCTAATGAATTGTAATTTCTGTTATTATACTTTACAACTCCAGATTTCCATATGGTTCTTTTCTATAATTCTTACCTATTTATTTATATTCTCTAGTTGCAAAATTATTGTAATTATATCATTGCCTCCTGAGGTATGGTGTCCTCTAGTTCTTTTAAGATATTTATAATGGCCAATTTGAAATATTTGTCTGCTTAGTAACACATCTTATGCCTTCAAAGTTGAGATGTTTTGCCAGTCTTCTTCCCCATAAGGTCACGTTTTCTTACTTCTCTTTATCTCTCAATTATTTTTGTTGTTGAAAATTAAACATTGTCAGTAATATATGGTAGCAATACTGGCTACTATCACTCCAGGACAAGGTGTTACTATTTACTGTCTTATTTTTACTAATTGGCTGTAATATTTTAGTGAAGTCTATTTCTCCTACAAGACCAGTCTGACCAACATGGAGAAACCCCGTCTCTACTAAAAATACAAAATTAGCCGGGCGTGGTAGCGCATACCTGTAATCTCAGCTACTCGGGAGGCTGAGGCAGGAGAACCACTTGAACTGGGGAGGCAGAGGTTGCAGTGAGCCAAGGTCATGCCATTGCATTCCAGCCTGGGCAACAAGAGCGAACTCCATCTCAAAAAAAAAAGGGTAGGAATATGAGTCCCTCATGGTACTAAACAAATAAGGGAGAAGGGAGGTCTTGTGCTTACAGTATTTTGCTAAGGCCTGACTAGTAAATCTAGCAGGAGTACTACAGTTGCAAAGTAACCAAGGTAAAGAATGAGCAAGGAAAAGGGTAATCAATGAATGCCAAATCCACAGGGAATATATCTTAAAATGTCTCACTACCTTATCATGAAACCATTCTGTATCTAGACTGTAACAGTGTGAATAGTCTGGTTGGGATAGTGTACTACAGTTTTACAAGGCTGTGGAAACACCATAGATGACAGAAGGCTAAAAATACATGACAACCAAATGTAATACCTGCTTCTAGACTGGATCCAGTATTGAAGAGGTTAAAAATGCTATTAAGAAAACATTTTTATAAAACATGGAAGGTAGTTTAGACAAAAGTATGATATCAGTGTAAATTTATGAGGTTGACAAATGTACTGTGGTTATAAGGTTATAAGTAAGGGTGCTTAGGAAGCACCCACAGAAAGTATATTTCAAAATAGCTAAAAGATGTAGAATGTTACCAATACAAAGAAATGATAAATGTTTGAGGTGACAGATAAACCAATTACACATGGTATGTATGTATCAAAATATCACATGTGCCCCATAAATATGGGTAAATATTATGTATCAATTTAAAAAACTGCCTCTAAACATCTTGCCAAAAGCCCTCTAGGGGGCCAAAACCACCCCTGGTTGAGGACAACTGGACTAAATGCATCAGACATTCAATCCTACCTGAGTTCTGTGAGGGTAAAGAAAAGGAATGACATGAAGAAAACCTTGAATTTTGCTGAATTTGCTAGAAAACAAAAGCATCTGAATGATTGAAACAGGAAAAAAAAACACAAATCTCATAAAATCACTATACCCTTCTACCTATTCCCTAGAGATGAAAGGAAGAATACTGACAAGACTGTTTCTTATAATATAAATAACTAGTATATACATGCTAAACAGAATATTCTCTACAATATAAGAATAAAAGTAATAGATCTGGAGTTAGGAGGCATGAGTTCTCACTAAATAGCTTCATTTCATTGGGCTTCAGCTTAATGATCTGTAAAATGGAGGTGTCATGGGAAGGCAGTAGAGAGGGCTGTAAATAGATTTCTGAATTTTTTTAATTCAACAAATGTCAATGACTTATATTCTAGGTACAATAGTCATTATTATATAAATGATGAAAAGACAGATCTCCTCCTGCAAGGAGATTACAGTCTATTAGAATGACAGACAAAATTAAAAAACAACTACAATAATATATATAAGCATTATAATAGAAGCATGTACAAAGAGCAGCAGAACCCTAGAAACGTAACCCAAATCTGCTTAAGGAAATCAGGAAAACCTTTACAAGGAAGTGGCATTTGAGCTAGAACTTGAAAGATGAATAAGAATTTTGTGAGAACACAAGAAGGGGGAAGATATTCCAGTTAGAAAGGCAACTGCACAGAGATTTGCTGCTTTTTCAAAAAGAATAGCATATTTAAGGAACTACAAGCACTGCAGTGGTGCTAGAAGATAAATGGAAAAGAGGTGAAAAGAGATCAAGCGGAATATCTAGACTAAATTATTGAAGCTTGTATGCCATGAAAACTGTTTTACTACTGTAGATGATAATTCAAAATCTATGTGGTAGACAGATCACCCTTGCAGTAGTGTAGAGAACAAGATTGGAGGGGAACAAGCCAAGAGACCAATCAAGTGACTATTGCTATAGTCCACATTAAGGTAGTGAAGGCCTACAAAAGGACAATGGTTATATGGACAGGAATAAAGAATACTGAGGAAAGAGAATAGGCAGAACTTAAGTCTGAATGTTGGAGGGATTATAACCAATGTTTACTGAGAATTTTGCTAAGTACCTTTTTGTTGGTAATACTTCATTTAATCCTTATAATACTCCTAATAGGGATGGAAAGCAGTCCAACATGCTAAAAGCTAATTTGCCAAAGAATAAGTTTGCCATATTTACCAAATATTTGTTTTTGGGAATATTTATCCTGGATATATTTAATAAATGTATCCTGGTTAACTCAAAAAAGAAAGAAGAAAGGACACTGGCCGTAAATAACTACTGTGGTTACACCAGTCCAAACTTCCGGAATATCCCATAAGTCAAAAATAATAATAAGTGAGAAAAACAAGTTGCAGAATAAGTAAAATATAGATAGCATTTTTAAGAAACTTTAATAACATGGAGAATGCCACCTTTTTATTAGTATATAGCTATACAGTAAAAGTATTTTAAAAATGCATGGTAAGGATATATGACTTCAGAATAGAACTTCATGGTGGTATGAGATGGAAAGGTACAAAGCTTCAATTGTATCTATGATGTATTAATTTCTTAAAATCTGAAACAAATATAGTAAGGTATAAGATTTGTTAAAGCAGGGTAGCGGTAATAAGTGTTCAGTATGTCATTCTATGTATTTTCTGTTTGAAATATTTCATTTAAAAAACTCCTTTAAAAACTTTAGACGCTAAGCTTGCTATTTTACACAGAATAAAGTCCAAGTTATCAAGGAAGGTACTCTAGGTTCTGTACACTCTAGACTCAAACTGCTTTTCCTATTGCATCACCTACTGCTCTCCACCTAACATAACCCATATGCCACAGATAAAGTCAATATACCATTCTAGGCCAGGTGCTGTGGGGTCGCGCCAGTAATCCTAGCACTTTGGGGGGCCAAGGCGTGTGGATCACTTGAGACTTGGAGTTCGAGACCAGCCTGGCCAACATGAAGAAATCCATCTCTACTAAAAATTTAAAAATTAGCTGGGGCTAGTGGTGGCACATGCCTGTAATCCCAGCTACTTGGGAGGCTCAGGCACCAGAACTGCTTGAACCAGTAGGCAGAGGTTACAGTGAGCCGAGATTGCACCGATGGACTCCAGCAAGACTCTGTCTCAAAAAAATAAAAATACGGTTCTAAATATGCCAAAAGCCTGAAAAATAAAATTATTTTGCTCTTATTTCCTCTCAGAATATTCTTTTTCCCAATCTGTATCAGGAAAAACTTACACTAATTCTTGAAAGCCAAACACAAATTTTACCACCTCTCTGAAACCACCTTTGAAAACCAAATTCAGATCAGCCTCTGTGTTCCACACTATGTACTTTATTCCTTTACTATTACAACATGTCGCATTGTCAATTTCTTGTTCACTGAAGATAAGGGTTTATTACTGTTGTTGATCTTACCAAAGAACCAGATTTTGGCTTTTTAAAGTTTCTCTATTATCTGTTTTCCACATCATTGATTCCTACTCTATTGTTTCCTTACTTGTACTTACTCCAGGTTTACTTTGCTGTTCTTGTTCTAGCTTCCTAAGGTAGAAACTTTGGTTACTGACATTTAGACTTTTCTTCCTTTATAATAAAAGCATTTAAACTATAATTTGCCCTCCAAGCACTGCTTTAGCTACATTCCATGAATTTTGACATTATATTATCATTACCATTCGATTAAAAATGTCTTCTAATTGTGATTTCCCTTTGACTCATGATCATTTAAACTTGTGTTGTCTAATTTCCAAATATTTGGATCATTCCTAGATATTTTAATAATTTCTATTTTAATTTTACTTCCATTGTGGTGACAGAACATATATAAATTTCAATCATTTTAAATTTACCAGCTGGGCATGGTGGCTCACATCTGTAATCCCAGCACTTTGGGAGGCTGAAGTGGGAGGATCACCTGAGGTCTGGAGTTTGAGACCAGCCTGGCCAACATGGTGAAACCCTGTCTCTACTAAAAATACAAAAATTAGCCAGGCGTGGTAGCATGCACCTGTAATACCAGCTACTCGGGAGGCTGAGGCATGCAGAATAGCTTGAACCCAGGAAGCGGAGGTTGCAGTAAGCCAAGATCGCGCCATTGCACTCCAGCCTGGGTGACAGAGCAAGTGAGACTGTCTCAAGAAATAAATAAATTTATCAAGACACACACAAAAAATTTATCAAGGCATATTTCATGGTCCACCATTTGGTCTATGTTGAATATATGATGTACAATTGATAAGAATATCTTCTTCACAATTCGGGGAAGTAGTGTTCAATACTTATCAATTATATTGAGGTGGTTTGTAGTATTCCTCAGATCATCTATGTCTTTACTAATTTTGTTTTTTTGCTAGAAATTCTATCAATTGGTCAGAGTAGGGTGGTAAAAATCTTCAGCACTAATTGTAAAAGTATCTTTTACCTCTTAATTTTGTCGATTTTTGCTATATATACTTTTTTTTTTTTTTTTGAGATAGAGTTTCACCATTTTGCCCAGGCTGAAGTGAAGTGGGGCAATCTCAGCTCACTGCAACCTCCGTCCCCCAGGTTCAGGCAATTCTCCTGCCTTGGCCTCCCAAGTAGCTAGGATTATAGGCGCCCACCACCACACTCAGCTAACTTTTGTATTTTTAGTAGAGACCGGGTTTCGCCATGTTGGCCAGGCTGGTCTTGAACTCCTGACCTCAGGTGATCCACCCCCGCCTCAGCCTCCCAAAGTGCTGGGATTTCAGGCGTGAGACACCGCGCCCAGCCACTTTATATATTTTTAATAAAAATATGTTTATAATCATATATAAATTTATGATTGCTACCGCTTTCTGATGAATTGATACTTTTAACATTATGAAAAATCCCTCTTTATTTCTGATAATACTCTGTCTTATGGTCTATTTTGTATGTATTAATAGCACTACCCCACCCCCAGCTTATCTGTACCTTCAAGGGTTTCTTTTTTTTTTTTTTTTTTTTTTTTGAGACGGATTTTCACTCTTTTGCCAAGGCTGGAGTAAAGTGGCGCAATCGCAATCTTGGCTCACTGCAGCCTCTGCCCCTCGGGTTCAAGCAATTCTCCTGCTTCAGCCTCCCAAGTAGCTAGGATTACAGGCACCCGCCACCATGCCTGGCGATTTTTTGTATTTTTAGTAGAGATGGGGTTTTGCCATGTTGGCCAGGCTGGTCTCTAACTCCTGACCTCAGGTGATCCACCCACCTCAGCCTCCCAAAGTGCTAGGATTTCAGGCGTGAGCTACCGTGCCCAGCCTGTACTTTTATATTTTAAGTAAATTTCATGTTGATAGCATATAAATGGGTCTTGCTTTTTAATCCATTCTGATAATCTCTGACTTTTAATTGAAGTGTTTAGCCCATTAACAATATAGTTGCTTAAGACTCCCATTTACTTATTTTCTATTTGCTTTCTCTGTTTTTTTGAACCTCTGTTCCCCTTCTTCATATCACACTGCAAACAGGGATGTGTTATTCAAATAACAATTTCAGTGCCTACCCACATTAGGGTTTTTACTGAGGCTACACTCAGTAAAAATGCAGAATAAATTAATTAGTAAAACCAGATAAATATAAGATGTAAATGAAAACTTAAGGGGCAATTTCATTCAACATATACTGACAACACTATATATTAACTTGAAAAATAGAATAATTTATATTCAGCTCTGGAATACACTTAAATGTTATGATTGGTGGTGCCAGAAATTTACAATATTTCATATATAATAACAAACAGAAAGGTACCAACTCCATATAACTACAAAGCTCTTTTTTTCTTTTATTTTTTTCAATTTTCCTTACTCTATTTCAGGGATTAGTATCATCAGCTCTCAAAATTATGACAAACACTAATCTAAGAAACACTTCATACCCTTTTTCTCTTTGAACCTGCTCTTTTCTGGTTCATACCTTTCCTAGGATGGAAGACAGTTTTGCTTTGAAGCATTTGCCTTTTTAAAAAATATTCTTTTCTTATTTAATTAATAATCAGGTTTTGATTTTTTTAACCTAAGACTTACTACCTAAAATAAAAAATCAAATAATACAAAAAAGGCCAGGCATGATGGCTCACACCTGTAATCCCAGCACTTTGGCAGGCTAAAGCTGGCAGATTGCTTCAGCCCAGGAGTCCCTGAGACCAGCCTGGGAAACATGGCAAAACCCTGTCTCTACAAAAAAAAACACAAAATTAGCCAGATGTGGTAGCAAGTGCCGGTAATCTCAGCTACTTGGGAGGCTGAGGTGGTAAGATTTCTTGAGCCTGGGAGGTCGAGGCTGCAGTGAGCTATGATTATGCCACTGCACTCCAACCTGCGTGACAGAGCAAGACCTTGTCTCAAAAAAAAAAAAAACAAAACACAATACAGAAAAGTATAAATAAGAAAGCAATGAATTACCCAAACTGCCATCATCCTAAAAAGCTTAACATTTATTGGACATTTTTTGGCATATAATTTAGCAAGAAAAATGTGAATGTATTAAAAACACAGTTAGAAATAATTTCATTAACCTGGGAACCTGGGATTATACCACAAAGTGGCTACTGGGAAGAGGAGAACTGACTGGAAAGGAGCACAAGGAAATTTTCAGGAGTAAAGAAAATGTGATCTATTTTGTCAAATGGAACACCTATGATGCATTTTAATGTATGTAAATTATACCTCAATATTTTAAAATGGGGTTATTTTAATGCCATTTATTATATAATTTATTTCAAATTACTCCATTTAATTTTACTTGCTATAAAGACAGGAAAATGAGAGCAAAATGACAGTGAAGGAGTTACTAATGTTCAGATAAATGTTATTTCACAAGAAATATAACTACCTAAAAAAGGACCACTGAAAAAACTTTTTAATAAAAAATAGGGTAAAACATTTTGTATTTATTTATGTATATAAATGAATATATATTTACATATAAAATAAAATTAATAAAATAAAAATAATTGAATAAAATATATTTATATGCATAAATTATATATATTATACACATATAATATATATATAAAATGTTTTACCACATAGTAACTTTAGAGTAAGTATTGGCACCATACCATGATAAGATTAGCACTCAATAATTATTCCTACACCTTTCAGAAAAACATTTTATTATGCAATCTTAATTCCCTCAGTTGCTCTTCTAGTTCAATACTTACATGGATTCAATGAATAGCACCAGCCCACTGTCACATTTCTTCTATTCCAGTGTTATTTTTGTTTACTTCTTGGTTAACTATAATTGACTGTTAAATACCTTGATCAAGAAGGGTTTATAGATGTTAATCCCAATAGTTATTTTATATTTGATAACATCTGCCAGTCTCCTTAATATTTGCAGGACAACTTGTCTGGTTATAAAAAAAATTGTGATGTGCTCCAGTCGTCATGGTGAACTTAAGTGCTATAGAAAACCTCACCCAAAGCAACAGAAAGTAGAAATGCTGAATAAAACAAAACAAAACAATAAAAATACATAAGAAATACCAAAAGGATGAGAAGAAATTCCTCAGGTACCAGAAACAGGGCAGAACTCAAAGCCACTGTTGTAAAGTCTGAGTAACAAATGTGGCCTCAAAGCATGAAGAGGTGCTTAAAGCAGGAGCTCCCTGATGAGGCCAAAGCACTACCTATCCAAAAAAGAAAGTGAAAATTCACAGTTCCCACAAGCAATATATAAAAGTAACCTTTCCCCATCACTGCCAACAGTAGTTGTATCCAGTTAATTTTATCCCAATAAAGTAGATGAGAAAGGATCTTGTACTAACACTACAAATTTGCATTTACTTCAGTATCATTTTTATGTCTTTTATTGATTGGATAAGCACTGCCATTGAATTAACTATTCATTTATTTTACCCATTAATCTACGATTTTTCTTACTAATTCCTTGAAATGGCATAAATAGCAAGCCTTTATCTTTTTTTGGAACAGGGTTTTACTCTGTCACCCAGGCTGGAAATGGCGTGATCTCAGCTCACAGCAACCTCCACCTCCTGGGCTCAAGGGATCCTCCTGCCTCAGCCTCCTGAGTAGCTGGGACTACAGACGCACACTACCATGCCCAGCTAATTTTTGTATTTTTGGTCGAGATTGGGTTTCGCCATGTTACCCACCAGGCTAGTCTCAAACTCCTAAGCTCAAGTGATTGTTGTCTCAGCCTCCTGTGAGCCACCATGCCCAGCCAAGCCTTTATTTACCTTTTATACACAAAGCAAGTTAGGTATCTTTCGAATTGTTTGTGGCATATTTTATCATAAAACTTTTTATCTTTAAACATTATATATTTAAATCTAATTTTGTTTTTAAAAATTCAGTATTTTATTTAGAAGCTGTAATTTTCAAAACTGAAAAAAGTTAATTTTCAGAAATATTAAAATGTTCTAAGTCTTCACAGTTTTAGCACTCGCCTTCATCATCTATTACTAAAAAATTGATGCAATGGCCGGGCACGGTGGCTCCCACCTGTAATCCCAGCACTTTGGGAGGCCGAGGTGGGTGGATCACCTGAGGTCGGAAGTTTGAGACCAGCCTGACCAACATGGAGAAACCTCGTCTCTACTAAAAATACAAAATTAGCCAGGTGTGGTGGCACATGCCTGTAATCCCTGCTACTCAGGAGGCTGAGGCAGGAGAATCACTTGAGCCCAGGAGGCGGAGGTTGCAGTGAGCCGAGATGCGCCATTGCACTCCAGCCTGGGTAGTAAGAGCGAAACTCTGTCTCAAAAAAAAAAAAAAAAAAAAAAGATGCAAGTCTTAACACAGCCTGAACAAATTTATTATCAGCAATCCCTTGGAATCAATAATTTAAAAATGATTTATGTTTAAAAAACAATCATTTTTTAAATTATTTTTCCAAGTTTTCTTTCCTTCATGGGTTAATTTCCTACAGACCAAAGACCCCTTGGGCAGACAAAGCAGATTTCTGAACAAAGAATACTACCATGGATGAAGACCATTTCATAATGACAAAGAAGTTAAGATAGACTTAACAGTGTTAAAAGTCTATGCAGAGCTTCAAAATAAATTAAGCAAGAATTACTAGAATTTCAAGGAAAAACAGACTAATTCACAATTAGATTGAAAGACTTCAATATATCTTTCTCCATAAATGACAGAAGTGGATAGAAAAATCACTAAGGATATAAAAGACTTGAAAACTCAAATGACTTACTTGACCTAGCTGATATTTTATAACTCTTCAGTCAACAATGGCAGAACACACATTTTTTAAAGAAGACACTGAACATTTACCAAGACATACCACATTCTGGGTCATAAAACAATCTTGAACCAATTTTTAAAAAATGTAATTCATACAAAGTATATTCTTTGACCATATGAGAATTAAAATAGGTAACAGTCACAGAAACATCTCTGAAATATCCCTAAATATACATAAACTAAATAGCACATTCCAGGACCAAAAAGAAATCAAGAGGGAAATCAGAAAGTATATTGAACAGAATCAAAATGAAAATGTCAGAATATGTGGGGTGACACCAAAAAACGTATGTAGAAAAAAACAGCACAAAATGCCAATTTGAAAAAGAAAAACCTCAATTCAGTGACTTGGAGTTAAGAAACTAGAAAAAGAACAAATTAAACAAAAAGCAAGCAGAAAATAAGAAAATAATAAACACCAAACCAAAAATCGATGAAATAACTTCCTTAGTAATCTTTTCTTATCCACCTTTTATCTTTTAATTCCTTAAGATACAAACTACCAAAGAATATAGAGGCCGGGTGCGGTGGCTCACACCTGTAATCCCAGCACTTTGGGAGGCCGAGGCAGGTAGATCATTTGAGGTCAGGAGTTCAAGACCAGCCTGGTCAACATAGCAAAACTCTGTCTCTACTAAAAATACAAAAATTAGCTGGGTGGTAATGGTGTGCACTTGTAATCCCAGGTACTCGGGAGGCTGAGGTAGGAGAATCATTTGAGCCTGGGAGGTGGAGGGTGCCAGTAAGCCAAGATCGCTCCAGGTGGAGGGTGCTGGTGAGCCGAGATCGTGCCACTGCACTCCAGTCTGAGCAAGAGAGTGAGACCCTGTCTCCAAAAAAAAAAAAAAAAAAAAAGATACAAACTACCAAAGCTCGTTCAAAAAATATATAACCTGGCTGGGCACAGTGGCTCAGACCTATAATCCCAACACTTTGGGAAGCTGAGGCGGGCTGATCACCTGAAGTTAGGAGTTTGAGACCAGCCTGGCCAACATGGTGAAACACTGTGGCTACTAAAAATACAAAAATTAGCCGGGTGTGGTGGTGCGCACCTATAGTCCCAGGTACTTTGGGAGGCTGAGACTCAAGAATCACTTGAACCCCGGAGGTGGAGGTTGCAGTGAGCCGCGATCACACCATTGCACAGTGCACTCCAGCCTGGGCAACAGAGTGAGAATGTCTCAAAAGAAAAAAAAAAAAAAATCGGGCGTGGTGGCAGGCACCTGTAATCCCAGCTACTTGGGAGGCTGAGGCAGGAGAATCGCTTGAACCCGGGAGGCGGAAGTTGCAGTGAGACGAGATGGCGCCATTGCACTCCAGCCTGGGGGACAAGAACGAGACTTCATCTCAAAAAACAAAACAAAACAACACAACAACAACAAATATATCTACATATAACCTGAATATTCATATATCCATTAATGACATAGAATTAGTAATTTTAAAACTTCCATAAGGAAAACAACAGACCAAGCTGTTTCACTGATAAATTCACAAGTGAATTCTACCAAAACATTCAAGGATTAAAAAATATGGATTCTAGGCCGGATGCAGTGGCTCACACCTGTAATCCCAGCACTTTGGGAGGTCGAGGTGGGCGGATGATCTGAGGTCAGGAGTTCCAGACCAGCCTGGCCAACATGGTGAAACCCCATCTCTACTAAACATACAAAAAAAATTAGCTGGATGTGGTGGCGCACACCAGCAATCCCAGCTACTTGGGAGACTGAGGCAGGGAGAATCGCTTGAAACGAGGCGGCAGAGGTTGCAGTGAGCCGAGATCACGCCACTGCACTCCAGCTTGGGCAACAAAGCAAGACTCCGTCTCAAAAAAATAAAATAAAATAAAATATGGATTCTAAAAAAATCATTACAGAAAACTGAAGAGGTATTACTTACTGTCCTACTCATTTTAATGTGGCCATAAACACCGTGATACTAAAACCTCATAAAGACATTATAAGAAAAGGAAATCACATTCCAATCTTCCTCATGAAGATAAATGCAACAATCCATGGGTGGTTTTTTTTTTTTTTTCAACTTTTATTTTGGTTTCAAGGTATACATGTGCAGTTTTGTTACATGGGTAAATTCTGTGTCACTGGGGTTTGGTGTACAAATTATTTAATCACCCAGGTAGTGAGCATAGTACCCAATAGGTAGTTTTTTGATCTTCACCCTCCTTCCACCACCCTCTCTTGAGTAGGCCCTGGTGTCTATTGTTCACATTAGACATTTATGTGAACATGTGTACTCATGTTTAGTTCTCATGAATAAGGGAGAACATGGGGTATTTGCTTTTCCGTTCCTGCATTAATATGCTTAGGATAAAGGTCTCCAGCTATATCCATGTTGCTGCAAAGGACATGGTTTCATTTTTTATGGCTGTATAGTATTACATGATATAAATATACCACATTTTATCTAGCCAACCATTTGGGTACCTAAGTTGACTCAAATGCAACAATTCTTAACAAAATATTAGGAAATCTAATCCAACAATATGCAAATTGGATAAATTATATCATGAGAAAGTAGGGTTTATCATAAAATGTAGGCCTGTTTCATAACTCAAAATTCAATCAATGCAGTTCAATATATTACATTTAAAATATATATATTATCACCTCGATGGACATAAAAATAGCATTTGACTAAACTGAAAACCCATTCAAGGCTTTAAAACTCTCCTAAAAGTGAGAATGAAAAAGAACTTACTTAATCTAACAAAAGAAACCTATAAGACAACAATAACAAAAACCTATAACTAACGTCATTCTTAATGGAGAAAGACTTAATGCTTTACTTTCTCCAGAAGATGGGAATAAGACATAGATTCCCATTCTCACCACTCCTTTTGTGTGTGGTGGGGGGGGAGTTGTTTGTTTTTCTTTGAGACGGGGTCTCTGTTGCCCAGGCTGGAGTGCAGTGGCACAATCATGGCTCACTGCAGCCTTGACTTCCCAGACTCAAGTAATCCTCCCACCTCAGCCTCCCTGGCAGCTGGGACTACAGGCGCATGCCACCATGCCTGGCTACTATATATTTTTTTTTTGTAGAGACAGGGTTTCGC
Organism: Homo sapiens; assembly: GCF_000001405.40. Classification (NCBI taxonomy): domain Eukaryota; kingdom Metazoa; phylum Chordata; class Mammalia; order Primates; family Hominidae; genus Homo; species Homo sapiens. The sequence goes on along the minus strand of NC_000023.11, from coordinate 73,982,691 downwards.
CATGTTGCCCAGGGTAGTCTTGAACTCCTGGACTCAAGCGATCCACCCGCCCTGGCCTCCCAAAGCGCTGGGATTACTTGCATGAGCCACTGTGCCAGCTTTCTCACCACTTCTAGTCAACGCTGTACTAGGAGTTCTAGGCAGTAAATAAGGAAAAAAAATTAAAGACAATGAGATTGGAGAAGAAATAAAATTGTCCTTATTTGCATATGAAATGATCCTATTTGTAGTTCTATTATGAAATCCTTATTCTTAACCTAAGAATTTCACAGTAAAACTACTATAACAAAGTTTAAGGAAGTAATCGGATACAAGATTAAAATCAACTATATATCTATATACTAGCAATAAACTGAAATTAAGAGAACTCTATTCTGAATAGCATCAAAAAGAGTAAAATACTTAAGAATAAATTTAACAAAAGAAGAGAAAGATTTATACATTAAAAACTGCAAAATATTGCATGGAGAAATTGAAGTAGATATATAAATGGATGAAAATATATGAAAATCCTTGTTCATGGATTTGACAATGCAATATATAATTATGAAGGCACGTCTCATCATGTTGATCTATAAATTCAATACAATCCCTATCAAAATCCCAGAAGGCTTTTTTTGTAGAAAATTGCAAGCTCATTTTAAATGCAAAGAATGTGGATCACCTGAAATAATTTTGAAAAACAACAAAGTAGGAGATCTGTCACTACCCAACTTTAAAACTTACTTTAAAACTAATCAACAGAGTATAAAACTTATGAAAAATGAGACACAGAAAATAACTGATGTAATGGACTTCACGAAAATTAAAAATTTTAGCACTTCAAATGACACCATTAAGAAAATAAAAAGACAAGCTACAGACTGAGAAAAAATATGTAAATCATATTTCTGATAAAACACTTGAGTACAAAATACATATAAAGAACTCTTACAATGCAATAAGAAAATAACTTTAAATGGAGAAAAGATTTAAATAGATATTTCATCAAAGACATACAAATGACCAATAAGCAAATGAAAAGATGCTCAATCTCATACAGTTTAAGAAAATGCAAAACAAAATCATAATGAGATACTACTTCACACCAATTAGAATGGCTATAATCAGGTAATAACAAGTGATGATGTGGAGAAATGTTAACTCATACATTGCTGGTGAAAATGTAAAATAGTATATCCACATTGGAAATCAGTTTGGTAGTTTCTTTAAAAGCTGAATAAATATTTGCTGTACAACCCAGCTATTCTATTCCAAAGAATCTACAGAATAGAAAAGAAAATATACTAGGACATTTACATTAATGTTCACAGCAATGTTTATTCATCATAATAGCCCCCCCCCACCACCAAAAAAAGGAAACAATCCAACTTTCAGTCAAGTGCTGCATGGAGAAACAAAATGTGACATTAGTAAAACTGAACAACATTCAGCTCTAAAAAGGAATGAAATACTTATTAATGCTACCACATGACTAAATCTCAGAAACATTTTAATAAATGAAGGAGGTCAGATTCAACGGAATAAATATCGTACGATTTCATTTACATGAAATGTCTAGAAAGGGTAAACTTACAGACAGAGGATATCACGGTAGCCTGGGATGGGAGCAGAAGTGACTTGAGGAAACTTTTGGAAATAATGAAATGTTCTAAACTGGATTATGATGACAACTTCAAGCCATAAGTTTACTAAAACTAGGTGAATTGTATACTTACAATAGATAATTTTATGGTATGATATTATACCTTAATAACACTTAAAGAACCAAATTGAGTTTTTTTAATGAAAACATACAACATTCACAATAAAAAATATCCACTGAAGATCTCAATAACAGAATGCAGCCAGGAACATGAAACAGAATTTGAAGACAGATCAACAGAAATTACCCAATCTGAAAAATAGAATTAAAAAATAGATTGAGCCAGGCGCGGTGGCTCAAGCCTGTAATCCCAGCACTTTGGGAGGCTGAGGCGGGCGGATCACGAGGTCAGGAGATCAAGACCATCCTGGCTAACATGGTGAAACCCCGTCTCTACTAAAAATACAAAAAAATTAGCTGGGCATGGTGGCAGGTGCCTGTACTCCCAGCTACTTGGGAGGCTGAGGCAGGAGAATGGCGTGAACCCGAGAGGCGGAGCTTGCAGTAAGCTGAGATCATGCCACTGCACTCCAGCCTGGGCGACAGAGCAAGACTCCGTCTCAAAAAAAATAATAAAATAAATAAATAAATAAAAAATAGATTGAAACAGAACAAACAGCACCTCAGGACCTATGGAACAATATCACAATATCTAATATACATGTCATCATAGTCTCAGAATGAGAAAAAAAAATCATGCAGAAAAAAAGTTTGTAGAAATAACAGCCAAAAACTTCCCAATCTGATAAAAGATAAATCTACATATTAAACAACTTCAGCAAAACCAAACAATATAAACTGAAAAGACACACCCAGAAATACTATAAACTGTTGAAAATCAAAGACAAAGGAAAAAATTTGAAAGCAGCTATTAAAAAAACAGCACATTACATCTGAGGAAGCAATGATTCAAACGACGGCAAATTTTTTATCAGAAACGATGAAGGACAGTAGTAGAAAAATAACTTTAAAGAGCAACAAGAAAAAAATCCCATCAATTAACAATTCTATATCCAGTGATTGAAAATGTCTTTCAGGAATGAAGGTGAAATGAACACATTCCTAGATGAAGGGAAATTAAGACAATTCACCTCAAGCAGAGTGCTGATTAAATGATAAAGGGAGTTCTTTAGTCTGAAGGGAAATGATACCCAGGGAAAGCTTAGATCTTTAAAAATGAGAGAACAAAGAACTGGTTTAAAAAAAAAAAAAAGAAGTGGTAAATTACTGAGTAAATATAAAAGACTATTTTTCTCCTCTTAAGTTCTTTAAAATATGTATGACTCCTGAAAGCAGAAACACAATGCAAATGTAAAACACATGGCAACTACTTAAAGAATCAGTGAGGGAGTATAAAGAGCTTTATATGGATGTAAGGCTTCTATGTTTTACCTGAAGTGGTAAAACACTGAATCTACATAAACTGTTAGATATGTATTTATGAGACAATTCGAATGTATAAAAGATAATTAAGACCGGGCACGGTGGCTCATGCCTATAATCCCAGCACTTTGGGAGGCCGAGGCAGGCAGATTACCTGAGGTCAGGAGTTCGAGACTACCCTGGCCAACATAGCAAAACCCTGCCTCTACTGAAAATACAAAAATTAGCTGGGCGTGATGGCATGCACCTGTAGTTAGTCTCAGCTACTCATGAGCCTGAGGCAGAAGAAGTGCTTGAACCCAGGAGGCGGGGGTTGCAGTGAGCTGAGATTGTGCCATTTGCACTCCAGCCTGAGCAACAGAGCGAGACTCTGTCTCAAAATAAATAAATAAATAAAGATAATTAAAATGGAATATTAAAGCCTGGGCGCGGTGGCTCACGCCTGTAATCCCAGCACTTTGGGAGGCCAAGGCAGGTGGATCACCTGAGGTCAGGAGTTCAAAACAAGCCTGACCAACATGGTGAAACCCCGTCTCTACTGAACATAAAAATAATGAGCCAGGCATAGTGGCGGGCACCTGTAACCCCAGCTACTTGGGAGTCTGAGGCAGGAGAATCGCTTGAACCCGGGAGGCGGAGGTTGCAGTGAGCTGGGATCACACCACTGCATTCCAGCCTGGGCGACAAGAGCGAAACTCCATCTCAAAAAAAAATAAATAAATAAAATAAAATACTAAAAAATGTTCAAATGATACAGAAGAAAAAATAAGAAACAGAAATAAACAAAAATAACAAAGACAACAAATCTCAAATATATAGGGCACTAGAAACAACATCACTACCTCACTTAGAAAAGGCTTGACAAAAGCAAAGTTATGATTTTCTTGACCCTATCAGAGAACTGAAGTTACAGGAAAAAAAAAAATACAGAAATCTAAAAAAATGGTAGGTGCCTGCAGGGGAAAACAGAATCTGAGCATTTGATTACTGGGACAAATGCCATGAAAATCAATATAAAAGCAGGTAGAAAGATTTAACTAGAAATTACAATAAATTGCTAAAGGCCAAGTGTGGGCTGGCCTGAGAATAGGAATCCCCTCAGGTTTCAAATATGGGGGTGGGGTTGCAGCCACCTGCAGCTGTTATCAATAGGAAGCCACAGGAAAGATCAGAGATCACAGAGAAAGACCCCTTTGGTACTATCTGGGGGAAAGGAGTAGCAGCTATGGCTGAAAATCTGCCCCAATCTACCTTTCTTAAAAAAAAAAAAAGTTTCGCTCTTGTTGCCCAGGCTGGAGTGCAATGGCGCGATCTCGGCTCACCGCAACCTCCACCTCCCGGGTTCAAGTGACTCTCCTGCCTCAGCCTTCTGAGTAGCTGGGATTACAGGCATGCACCACCACACCCAGCTAATTTTGTATTTTAAGTAGAGACAGGGTTTCTCCATGTTGGTCAGGCTGGTCTCAAACTCCTGACCTCAGGTGATCCGCCCGCCTCGGCCTCCCAAAGTGATGGGATTACAGGCGTGAACCACCACGCCCCACCAAAAAAAGTTCTTCATTTACAGAAAAGATCATGAAGCAGTGGAAGGGAATATAAAGCAGACCAAAATTCCCCAGAGGCCCGTCTCCTATCTCGCCTAAGAAGCAAAAACCTTAGAGCAATTTGCAGGGACACCCTGGAGTGGAAGCAACAGGGGCTGGGTAAGGAGGTAAGGAACACATAAAGCTTTAGCCATAGGGGAGGAATGGGAATAAATACTAGGCATTGACTGGAAAAGAAAGACTTATGACAGCCACACCCACAAGACCCAGATTCACAGTGCCTACTTAAGACTGAGTTTAAATTAGAACATTAGAGAACATGCCTCTTTTTCGCCCCAACCACAGACTAAACATCAAATAAAATTAAAGTAATGCACAGGGGAAAGCTGAAAACCACAGGCCTTCTCTAGAGAAGAGTGAAAAGGT